>NT_167246.2:1082049-1383192 GCF_000001405.40 Homo sapiens
GAGTTCAAGACCAGTCTGGCTAACATGGTAAAACCCCATTGTCGCAATCGGTTACTATGGGATATAATGAAGGGGGATGAACACAGAAATAAAGACAAAGACAAAAAGATCTGTTCTAAAAGAAGGGGTCGGGGGCTTCTTGCTTCTAGTGATTCCTTCTGGCAGCAAACTCAGTTTGTCAGTTTGCCAACATCCTGCTTTCATGAGAACAGTTTGCTGTTTGCTCATATAGCCTCCAGTGGTATACTGAGTTGATCACGACCCTCATTCTTTCGGCCTCCAATACCCCGACTCTACTAAAAATACAAAAATTAGCTGGGCGTGGTGGTGCATGCCTGTAATCCCAACTACTCGGGAGGCTGAGGCAGGAGAATTGCTTGAACTGGGAGGTGGAAGTTGCAATCAGCCAAGATAGCACCACTGCAGTTCAGCCTGGGCAACAGAGCAAGACTTCGTCTCAAAAATAAATAAATAAATAAATAAATAAATAAATAAATAAGTTTAAGTTGGCACAATCACTTTGGAAATCATATTATTATTATCTAGTATGGTTAAAGGCCATATAACATATCATCCAATCATCCCACTCCTAATCATACACTCTGCGGGCTTTCTTGCCTATGTGCCCAGGAGACAGGCACACTAATGTTTATGGCAAGAACTGGAATCAGCTACATATATATCAATAGAAAACTAGTGCAATTATGGTATAACCATAAAATGTAAACCTTCAGCAGTAAAAACGAATGAATGACAGCCTCCCACACCACAGATAACTCCTATATGTAATGTGCATCATGGGAAAATAAATGCAGTAGGAATTTGCTGTACTGGAAGCTTAAAAACCATCAAAACTAACTAATATTTGGATTGGGGATATATCTATACTTATTACACAAATCCTTAAAGAAACTCTATAATTTCTTTATAGATATTATGAAAACAGCAAGGTACTGGTACAAAAACAGGCACATAGACCAATGGAACAGAACAGAGAACTCAGAAATAAGACCACACATCTAAATAAAGGAATAATAATCACAAGACTCAGGATGGAGTCTCCTTTTGGGGGATGTGAATGGGCAGCAGCCCAGGGTAGTTTACAGGTTCTGTGTTTTACAACAGTGCTGGCTAAAGTCCAAACAACATATCATCCATTCCCTTTTAAAATGGAACTTTTAAAATAAATGTGTAATACTTGATGTTGATGATGTGTTCTGAAAACATTGAGTTGAAAGAATTGACTTAAATTCCTAATTCCTTAAACAGATTTTTTCAAAGTAAAATATGCTTGGTTTTTATAAAAATGAAAGAGAAAAGAATACCAAAGTTCATTGCAAGCATCCTTAGCAAGAACTACTTACATTGGAACAAAACCACACAGAATTGTAAGGAGCCATGTGACAGAGAGGACCACGAGGCCATGAAAATGGCTTTGGCTACAAATAGGTCATTTGATCCTTGGCTCACTGGCATCTCTGTAGATTTTCATGTATACAATCTTCAATCTGATGTGCAAGGTAATTCCATCTTGCAAAGGATTTGATGTTACATTCTACCACACATACCACTGAATTAAACTTTTACAGAATTGGAAATGCACATCATTGATCAAAATAAATGAAACAAGAAAAGAGTAGAAAGGAATAACCAGTGACGGAATAGCAATATGAATAGAAAACACAATAGGACTGCGAAAACAAAGAAACAAACAAAACCACTTCAGAAGCACCTGATGGCATGCTATTTAGAATCATAGTGGTGTCCAAATCACTTCTATCACATATCATTCAATATCACAACAAAAGATGTTAAGTGTATTATAGAATGCTGATCGAATAGCCAGTTATTGAAAAAACTAGTTTCTCAATTCGAGCTAACAATTTCGTGATACTGCATCAAACCGAAGTTATTGGCATGCTAGATGTGTTGACTGAAGTATGAGATTCACATCTTTGTAAATGAAAAGCAATCTGATTAAGCAATATTTTTCTAAGTGAAAGCAAGTTAATTAGAGAAAGAAACAAAGGATGGCTACTCCAGAGACAGAGCAGTACTTCTTTTTTTAAGTGTAGGCAAATGTTTTTTGGAAGACGATATTTCAATAAGAAAACTGGCACTAGGGGCATACTTCCCCTAAATTTGAGACATTTTAGACAAAACAAAGACTTATTTTCAAGGCACTATTTTTATAGCACTAAAGTCTTGGAACTATTTGATCTAGTTATTCTATGTTCTCAACTGTGTTAACTCATTGAAGAGAACATTGCTGTTATTAAAGATATTGGCAAGAAAAACTCAGAGATACTGTTGTATCTCCTTTCTCTGCCTCAAACTGTTTTCCCCTCAACACCTAAGGCTCTGTGATGTCTCAAACTTTTAGTCATTAATTTAAAAAGTGAAGCTTATCATAGAATTAGAAAAAAACTATTTTAAAATTCATATGGATCCAAAAAAGAGCTCCTATAGCCAGAAGAATCCTAAGCAAAAAGAACAAAGCTGGAGGCATGAGGCTACCTGACTTAAAACTATACTACAAGGCTACAGTAACTGAAACAGCAAGGTACTGGTACAAAAACAGGCACATAGGCCAATGGAATAGAATAGAGAACTCAGAAATAAGACCACACATCTAAAACCCTGTGATCTTCAATGAGCCCGACAAAAATAAGCAATGGGCAAAGGATTCCCTATTTAACAAATGGTGCTGGGAGAACTGGCTAGCAATCTGCAGAAAATTGAAACTGGACTCCTTCCTTACACCTTGCCCAAAAATTAACTTAAGATGGATTAAAGACTTAAATGTAAATCCCAAAACTATAAAAACCCTGGAAGAAAATCTAGGCAATACCAATCAGGACATAGGGATGGGCAAAGATTTTATGATGAAAATGCCAAAAGCAACTGCCACAAAAGCAAAAATTGACAAATGGGATCTAATTAAACAAAAGAGCTTCTGTAGAGTGAAAGAAACTATTATCAGAGTGAACAGACATCCTACAGAATGGGAGAAAATTTTTGCAGTCTGTCCACCTGACAAAGGTCTCATATTCAGAAGCTACAAAGAACTTAAGCAAATTTACACCAAAAAAAAAGCTTCATTAAAAAGTGGACAAAGGACCTAAACAGACACTTCTCAAAAGAAGACATACATGTGGCCAATAAACATAAGAAAAAAAGCTAAACATCACTGATCATTAGAAAAATGCAAATCAATACTACAATGAGATACCATCTCATGCCAGTCAGAATGGCAATTATTAAAAGTCAAGAAACAACAGATGCTGGCAAGGTTGCAGAGAAATAGGAAGGCTTTTACACTGTTGGTGGAAATGTAAATTGGTTCAACCATTGTGGAAGACAGTGTGGCAATTCCTCAAAGATTTAGAACCAGAAATACCATTTGACCCAGCAATCCCATTAAAGGTTATATACCCAAAGGAATATAAATCATTCTATTATAAAGGTATATGCATGTGTATGTTCATTGCAGCACTATTCACAATAGCAAAGACATGGAATCAACCCAAATGCCCACAAATGAGGAACTGGATAAAGAAAATATAGTACATATACACCACGGAATATTATGCAACCATAAAAAGGAATGAGATCAAGTCCTTTGCAGAGATACGAATGAAGCTGGAAGCCATTATCCTCAGCAAACTCACACAGGAACAGAAAACCAAACACCGCATGTTCTCACTTATAATTGGGAACTGAGCAATGAGAATACATGGAACCAGGGAGAGGAAAAACACACAATGGGGCCTGTTCGGGGAGGGCAGTGATGGGGGGATCATTAGGAAAAATAGCTAATGAATGCCAGGGTTAACACCTAGGTGATGGGTTGATAGGTACAGCCAACCACCATGGCACACGATTACCTATGTAACAAACCTGCACATCCTGCACACGTACCCTGGAACTTAAAATTAAATTAAATTAAATTAAATTAAAAGATAAGCTTAAAGCATTAAAGAAAAATAATTAGATAAAAGAAGTCTTTGATTTACAAAATCCTGAAACAATAGTTTTAATTTTGCTTTTAACATATACGTAAGTCCTTTAGTACAGCTCTCTTTCAGAGGTGCAGCTTAATTCCCTCTCTTAAGTGTGGCTTGGACTTAATGATGCACTTCTGATATGGCCTGTCTCTGTGTTCCCACCCAAATCTCATTTTGAATTGTCATGCGAATTCTAATCCCCACATATTGGCGGAGGGACTTCATGGGAGGTGATCGAATCATGGGGATGATTCCCCCAAGCTGTGGAAGTCAGCGGTTGAACCTATTTTTCCTAATGCTCCCCTCAGCACTGCCCTCCCATAATAGGCTCCAGTGTGTGATGTTCCTCTCCCTGTGTCCATGTGTTCTCATTGCTCAGCTCCCAGTTACAAGTGAGAACATGTGGTGTTTGGTTTCCTGTTCCTGTGTTAGCTTGCTGAGGATAATGGCTTCCAGCTTCATCCATATCCCTGCAAAGGACTTGATCTCATTCCTTTTTATGGCTGCATAATATTCCATGGTGTATATGTACCATATAAGGGGATTTTCCCCACTTCACTCTGCATTTTTCTCTCCTGCCACCATGTGAAGAATGACATGTTTGCTTCCCCTTCTGCCATGATTGTAAGTTTCCTGGGGCAGCCTCCTCAGCCATGCACAACTGTGAGTCAACTAAACCTCTTGCCTTTATAAATTACCCAGTCTCAGGTATTTCTTTATAGCAGTGTGAGAACAGACTAATACAACTTCTAACTGATAGAGTAATGTTGACATAACAGTTTGTGACTCTGGGTGTAGAATGTGAAACTCACTATGGCTTCCACCTTCTCTCTCTCTGTCTCTGGGATCATGAGCTCTTGGGGACCCAGCTGCTGTGCCATAAGCAGCCCTGCAGGAAGGTCCATGTGGCTAAGAACTGAGGCCCCCTGGGACCAGACAGCAAGGAACTAGGCTTTTCCAACAGCCATGTGACTAAGCCATGTTTCACGTGAATCCCTAGCCCCAGTGAAGCCCTCAGACGATGCAGCCCTAGGCTGACAACTGGACTGCAACCTTGTGAGAGGCCCTGAGCCAGAAGCACTCAGGAAAACCGCTCCTGGATTCCTGACCATTAGAAACTGTGGGAGATGATGAATATTTGTTGTTTTGAGCTGCTAAGTTTTACATAATTTGTTACACAATAGTAAATAACTAATACATTTTCACAAGAGAGGATGTATTATTACACATTAATTTGCATTTGCTCTAAATTTATCATCATCATATTACTATTTTTGAGACAGGGTCTTGCTCTGTCACCCAGGCTGGAGTGCAGTGGCATGATCACCATGCACTGCAGTGTCGACCTCCTGGGCTCAAGGGATCCTCTGATCTCAGCCTCTTGAGTAGCTGGGACTATAGGCATGAATTAACATGCCTGGCTAATTTTCTAATTTTTTTGTAGAGATGGGGGTTTCACCATGTTGCCCAGGCTGATCTTGAACTTCTGGAGTCAAATCTGCCTTCCTCTGCCTTCAACAGTGCTAGGATTGCAGGCGTGAGCCACCACCCCTGGTCTAAATTAACTATAAGATATTAAACATGTAACTTAGTTTTAAAAGGAAAGGAGAATTTCCACGGCTGAAGAGGATGTATTTTATTACTATTCACAATGATCACTTTACTTGAACTTCAATTTCCAACTGTGTCCAAATTAAACACAAAAGGAAGATCCAGCCCTTCCTGGGCTGATTCTATCATGGCTCCCAACAACCAGCTCCTGGTCATTCACCTTCCCCCAGTTATTCAACCAACTCTAATGTAGGTGCTGCTGTGAAGGGATTTAGCAGATATAATTAAGGGCCTCAATTAGTTGACTTTAGGCTGAGTTTATCCTGCTTGGACTGTCCTAATAAGGAGAGTCCTTGAAAGGACTGGGTTCTTCCTGAGCATAGAGATTCACAGTGTGAGAGGGATTCAGCATAAGGGGTTTCCTCCACTGTGGGCTTTGAAAATGAAGGGGCTGTGTAGGAAAGGACGCTGGTGGGCACCATGCATTGAGTGCAGCCCTCCCTGTTCTCTACAGTGACAGCCAGTGAGGAACAGGGACCTCAGTCTTACAACTGCCAGAAACTGCATTCTGCCACCTCTGTATAAGCCTGAAGGAGGATTCAAAATGAAAACACAGGTTTAGGAAGACCGGAACAGAGATTCCATCCACATCATGCCCAGATTTCTGATTAAGAAACTATAAAGAACAAATGAGTGTTATTTGGCCAGGCGTGGTAGTGCACACCTGTATCCTAACATTTGAGGAGCTGACACAGGAGGAACACTTGCAGCCAGGACTTTGAGACCAGCTAGGATAATATAGTGAGACACTCGTCTCTACATTTCTTTTTAATTAGCTGGGCATGGTGGCACTTGCCTGCAGTCCTAGCTACTCTGAAGACTGAGGTAGGAGGGTCCCTTGAGCCCAGGAATTTGAGGCTGCAGTGAGCCATGATCATGTGACTGCACTTCATCCTGGATGACAGAGGGAGACTCTGTCTCTAAAAATAAATCAATGAATACAATAAATGGGTGCTGTTTAAAGCCAATGTTTGTGACAATTTGTTACCCAGTCTTATAAAATTCATACACAGACTCAAAAGACTCCTGGAATGAACTGATGAATTGATACGCACACTAGTTACATAAAATAAAATCTTTTTTAACTTTTTTAGTGTTTTACATTTTATAATTTTCTGTGATGCAATTTAATACACTCATAATTCATTCATTCAGCCAAGAAAAAATAATTTAGTCCCTACAATGAACCAGGTATGCCCTCATATGCTCAAGTGCCTGACATTCTAGAAGCTTCACAAGAATGAGGTGGAGCCACTGGAGTGTTTTAGGTGGAGAAATGACACACTCTGACTCATAGTAGCAGGACCACTATAGAGAGAACACTCATGTAGCAGGTCATGGAACAGTGCTAGAGCCACAGTTCAGGAGTGAGAGGGTGGTGGGGATTAAGGGGAGAAGAGGGCCTGAGGGATGAGAGGGACGGAGGGAAGGGCTGGAGGAGCAGGAGGTGAGGAAAAGGAGCAGAGGAAAGAATTCCAAAGCAGCAGAACTCTTAGGTTTAAACACATTGTTTTATAGATTTTAATACATCCATCTACAGAGCCTCGCTGGGTGTTCTTTGCAGTTGGCCTTTAATATCTTATGTGGGTCTGCCTAGAAACTAATTGTTTTTTATGTTAATCAGGTTTAAAAAATACTAAGTATTCCTAAAAAATATACACTCCACTCACATGTGGATACTTCCTAAAAACAGGCAGTGCGTGAGCACTAGTGAGGGGCATTGTGACTGCACTGAACACTTACAACTGTGAGGTGAATAAAGTTTGTGCTGGCTCCTGGTTGCAACATATAGTAACATAGTGTGGTACTTTGTCTTGAGGAGATGTCCTGGACTCACACGGAAACTTAGGGCTACGGAATGAAGGTAAATTTAAAATAAAACAAGCGGGAGTCACAGATACACTGTCTGGGAAAGTGAAACTTAAGAGCTTTGTGAGTCCTGTTGTAATGCTTTTAGATGCATTTATATACCAACAGGCCAAAGTCACATTTTTTACCGATTAGATTCCTGATCATTCAGGGGTTACCAAGGTTATGCTACCCACTATAGTTAATAAACAAAAAGCAAACTGGTCTCTATTCTATCTCATGCACTCAGGCACAACTTTTCCAGATTTAAGGGGGAAAAAAACCCTGTCTTTACACCTACAATCCCAGGGCGAGCTCACTCTCTGGCAACAAGCTCCCTGGGGTGATTTTTCTTCTAGAAGAGTACAGGAGGACAGGCAAGGAGTGGGAGGCAGGGAGTCCAGTTCAGGGACAGGGATTCCGGGATGAAAAGTGAAGGGAGAGGGCCAGGGACCTTGCCGAGGGTTTCTCCCTGGTTTCTCAGACAGCTCCTGGGCCAAGACTCAGGGAGACACTGAGACAGAACGCTTGGCACAAGAGTAGCGGGGTCAGGGCGAAGTCCCAGGGCCTCAAGCGTGGCTCTCAGGGTCTCAGGCCCCACAGGCGGTGTATGGGTTGGGGAGGCCCCGCGTTGGGGATTCTCTCCTCCTTCTCCTAACCTGTGTCGGGTCCTTCTTCCTGGATACTCACCGGGCGGCCCCAGTTCTCACTCCCATTAGGTGACAGGTTTTTAGAGAAGCCAATCAGCGTCGCCGCGGTCCTGGTTCTAAAGTCCTCGCTCACCCACCCGGACTCATTCTCCCCAGACGCCAAGGATGGTGGTCATGGCGCCCCGAACCCTCTTCCTGCTGCTCTCGGGGGCCCTGACCCTGACCGAGACCTGGGCGGGTGAGTGCGGGGTCAGGAGGGAAACGGCCCCTGCGCGGAGGAGGGAGGGGCCGGCCCGGCGGGGGCGCAGGACTCGGCAGCCGCGCCGGGAGGAGGGTCGGGCGGGTCTCAACCCCTCCTCGCCCCCAGGCTCCCACTCCATGAGGTATTTCAGCGCCGCCGTGTCCCGGCCCGGCCGCGGGGAGCCCCGCTTCATCGCCATGGGCTACGTGGACGACACGCAGTTCGTGCGGTTCGACAGCGACTCGGCGTGTCCGAGGATGGAGCCGCGGGCGCCGTGGGTGGAGCAGGAGGGGCCGGAGTATTGGGAAGAGGAGACACGGAACACCAAGGCCCACGCACAGACTGACAGAATGAACCTGCAGACCCTGCGCGGCTACTACAACCAGAGCGAGGCCAGTGAGTAACTCCGGCCCAGGGAGCAGATCACGACCCCCACCTCCATGCCCCACGGACGGCCCGGGTACTCCCGAGTCTCCGGGTCTGGGATCCACCCCGAGGCCGCGGGACCCGCCCAGACCCTCTACCTGGGAGAACCCCAAGGCGCCTTTACCAAAATCCCCGCGGGTGGGTCCGGGCGAGGGCGAGGCTCGGTGGGCGGGGCTGACCGAGGGGGTGGGGCCAGGTTCTCACACCCTCCAGTGGATGATTGGCTGCGACCTGGGGTCCGACGGACGCCTCCTCCGCGGGTATGAACAGTATGCCTACGATGGCAAGGATTACCTCGCCCTGAACGAGGACCTGCGCTCCTGGACCGCAGCGGACACTGCGGCTCAGATCTCCAAGCGCAAGTGTGAGGCGGCCAATGTGGCTGAACAAAGGAGAGCCTACCTGGAGGGCACGTGCGTGGAGTGGCTCCACAGATACCTGGAGAACGGGAAGGAGATGCTGCAGCGCGCGGGTACCAGGGGCAGTGGGGCGCCTCCCTGATCTCCTGTAGACCTCTCAGCCTGGCCTAGCACAAGGAGAGGAGGAAAATGGGACCAACACTAGAATATCGCCCTCCCTCTGGTCCTGAGGGAGAGGAATCCTCCTGGGTTTCCAGATCCTGTACCAGAGAGTGATTCTGAGGGTCCGTCCTGCTCTCTGGGACAATTAAGGGATGAAGTCTCTGAGGGAGTGGAGGGGAAGACAATCCCTGGAAGACTGATCAGGGGTTCCCTTTGACCCCACAGCAGCCTTGGCACCAGGACTTTTCCCCTCAGGCCTTGTTCTCTGCCTCACACTCAATGTGTGTGGGGGTCTGACTCCAGCTCCTCTGAGTCCCTTGGCCTCCACTCAGGTCAGAACCGGAGGTCCCTGCTCCCCCGCTCAGAGACTAGAACTTTCCAAGGAATAGGAGATTATCCCAGGTGCCCGTGTCCAGGCTGGTGTCTGGGTTCTGTGCTCCCTTCCCCACCCCAGGTATCTGGTTCATTCTTAGGATGGTCACATCCAGGTGCTGCTGGAGTGTCCCATGAGAGATGCAAAGTGCTTGAATTTTCTGACTCTTCCTTTCAGACCCCCCCAAGACACACGTGACCCACCACCCTGTCTTTGACTATGAGGCCACCCTGAGGTGCTGGGCCCTGGGCTTCTACCCTGCGGAGATCATACTGACCTGGCAGCGGGATGGGGAGGACCAGACCCAGGACGTGGAGCTCGTGGAGACCAGGCCTGCAGGGGATGGAACCTTCCAGAAGTGGGCAGCTGTGGTGGTGCCTTCTGGAGAGGAGCAGAGATACACGTGCCATGTGCAGCATGAGGGGCTGCCGGAGCCCCTCATGCTGAGATGGAGTAAGGAGGGAGATGGAGGCATCATGTCTGTTAGGGAAAGCAGGAGCCTCTCTGAAGACCTTTAACAGGGTCGGTGGTGAGGGCTGGGGGTCAGAGACCCTCACCTTCACCTCCTTTCCCAGAGCAGTCTTCCCTGCCCACCATCCCCATCATGGGTATCGTTGCTGGCCTGGTTGTCCTTGCAGCTGTAGTCACTGGAGCTGCGGTCGCTGCTGTGCTGTGGAGAAAGAAGAGCTCAGGTAAGGAAGGGGTGACAAGTGGGGTCTGAGTTTTCTTGTCCCACTGGGGGTTTCAAGCCCCAGGTAGAAGTGTGCCCTGCCTGGTTACTGGGAAGCACCATCCACACTCATGGGCCTACCCAGCCTGGGCCCTGTGTGCCAGCACCTTCTCTTTTGTAAAGCACCTGTGACAATGAAGGACAGATTTATTACCTTGATGATTGTAGTGATGGGGACCTGATCCCAGTAATCACAGGTCAGGAGAAGGTCCCTGGCTAAGGACAGACCTTAGGAGGGCAGTTGGTCGAGGACCCACATCTGCTTTCCTTGTTTTTCCTGATCCCGCCCTGGGTCTGCAGTCACACATTTCTGGAAACTTCTCGAGGGTCCAAGACTAGGAGGTTCCTCTAGGACCTCATGGCCCTGCCACCTTTCTGGCCTCTCACAGGACATTTTCTTCCCACAGATTGAAAAGGAGGGAGCTACTCTCAGGCTGCAAGTAAGTATGAAGGAGGCTGATCCCTGAGATCCTTGGGATCTTGTGTTTGGGAGCCCATGGGGGAGCTCACCCACCCCACAATTCCTCCTCTGGCCACATCTCCTGTGGTCTCTGACCAGGTGCTGTTTTTGTTCTACTCTAGGCAGTGACAGTGCCCAGGGCTCTAATGTGTCTCTCACGGCTTGTAAATGTGACACCCCGGGGGGCCTGATGTGTGTGGGTTGTTGAGGGGAACAGGGGACATAGCTGTGCTATGAGGTTTCTTTGACTTCAATGTATTGAGCATGTGATGGGCTGTTTAAAGTGTCACCCCTCACTGTGACTGATATGAATTTGTTCATGAATATTTTTCTGTAGTGTGAAACAGCTGCCCTGTGTGGGACTGAGTGGCAAGTCCCTTTGTGACTTCAAGAACCCTGACTTCTCTTTGTGCAGAGACCAGCCCACCCCTGTGCCCACCATGACCCTCTTCCTCATGCTGAACTGCATTCCTTCCCCAATCACCTTTCCTGTTCCAGAAAAGGGGCTGGGATGTCTCCGTCTCTGTCTCAAATTTGTGGTCCACTGAGCTATAACTTACTTCTGTATTAAAATTAGAATCTGAGTATAAATTTACTTTTTCAAATTATTTCCAAGAGAGATTGATAGGTTAATTAAAGGAGAAGATTCCTGAAATTTGAGAGACAAAATAAATGGAAGACATGAGAACTTTCCACAGTACACGTGTTTCTTGTGCTGATTTGTTGCAGGAGAGGAGAGTAGATGGGGCTGCGCCCAGTGGGTGCTCAGGCCACCATGAACTTTATGTGGTCACTGCTCAGCTGGGTCATCTTTGCTGCTCCATTGTCCTTGGCCCTTCAGTAGAACCTTGTCCCACCAGGACCTGTGATCACATAGACTTGGATATCACCTAGGGTGGTCCCTACACGTAGAAGTTCCTGTGTTATCAGAAGAAAAATTTTCAGACCCCTACACCTCTTCCCCTCCTTCCAGGTCTCTTTCAATTGTATTTTCCATCTTTTTTTTTTTTTTTTTTTTTTTTTTTTTTTTTTTTTTGAGATGGAGTCTCACTCAGGCTGGAGTGCAGTGGTGCAATCTCAACTCATTGCAACCTCCACCTCCCGGGTTCAAGCAATTCTCCTGTCTCAGCCTCCCTAGTAACTGGGAGTACAGGCACATGCCACAATACCCAGCTAATTTTTTGTATTTTTAGTAAAGACGGGATTTCACCATGTTAGCCAGGATGGTCTTGATCTCCTGACCTTGTGATCTGCCCGCCTCTGCCTCCCAAAGTGCTGGGATTACAGGTGTAAGCCACCATGCCTGGCTTCCCCAACCTTCTTAAAGGAAGCAGATTCTGAAACTTCCCGAGAGGAGAGGTCCCAGAGTTTTTCATTGTAGTTTACTTTCTGTTGGAACTCCTCTTCTGCTCTCTCTCCTACTCTTCTTCCTGCCCTGAGTTGTAGTAATCCTATTGCTGGCTCCAAACCAAACTCATGGATTTGTAAAGCAGAGTCTAATTTAGATTCATATGTGGTTGGATAATTGGAGCCATAAGCCTTGGGTTATCTTTCCTCAAGAGACAAATATGGTTGTGTGCTGCAGTGTGCAGGAGGATTGGTGTGGGAGGAGGGAGGGAGGGAGGACACAAAAGCAGCCCTGGTGAGAAAAGCACTGGTGCATTTATATCCACATGAGATAATATTGTTCCACAGCGGCTACAAAATGACATTTGGCCTGAGTCTACATTAATAAAGATATTGCCTTTAGAATAGGGGGGCGCACTACAGTAATCATCCATTCAAGTGGCATTTGTTGTCTGCTAGGTATTTGACTGTTTTTGCATTTAGAAAACATCGTTAAAGTAAAAACAGAAAAATTTCTGGCCTTGTCGTGTATACATTCTAGATGCAAGCTTGTCCAACCTGCAGCTCTCGGGATGCATGTGGCCCAGGACAGCTTTAGAATGTGACGATTTTTTTGCTTATCTGTAGTGGCAGATATCATGAAAATTATCCATGCATTTTTTTTCTTTTTTCTATTTTTTTCTGCTCATCAGCTGTCATTAGTGTATTTTTTGTGTGGCTCAAGACAATTCTTCTTCCTATGTGACCCAGGGAAGCCAAAAGATTGGACACCTCTGCAGGCAGATGATATAGTATAAGCAGAGTAGGAACAGAAAATGCTTGAGTTAGAAGGTGGCAAGTGCTGTGTGGCAGGTGATCCAGAGGGTGGGCTGTGGGTACAGGGAGGTGGCTGTTGTGCTGGGTGGTCAGCATGGGCCTTGTTGCAAATGTGACCTTGGAGTAAAGATTTGAGGGATGTGAGGAGTTGTCTACACGGATGTCTCAGAAAGTTCTTTTCAGGCAGGGAAACCTTCAGTGCAGATGCACTAGGGCAGGAAATTGTCTGTGTTCCTGGAAGGAGGAAGAGGCCAGAAGTGTTGAACAGAGAGAAACTGAAATGAAGTCAGAGGTGTGCCCAGAGCAGGTTGCCCTGGAGGGTGTAGGAAGGATGTTGACCTTTGCTCTGAATGACATGGGGAGTTAGAGGACAGTTTTGGAAAGTGGGACATGGTAGGACTTATCCTTTGAAAGCTTCTCTCTGGCTGCTGTGCTGAGAACAGAATTGAGAGGTGGGGGACTAGTGAGGCAGTGGGAAAAACGGTGGGAAAGGAGTGCAGTATTCCAGGATGGAGACGTCGCTTACCTTGACTGGGGTGTGAGCAGGGGAAATAGTGGGAAGTGATGGGATTCTGGATGAATTCACAGCACTTGCTAATGGATTTATCTGTGGTGTGAGAAAGAAGAATCAAGGACACCCACAGTATTGGACTGAGTGAGCAGAAGGGTGGAGCTGCTGTCAGTGGAGATGGGGAGACTCTGGCAGGAGCATACAGAGGAGAGGGCATTGCAGGCATCCAGTGGAGGTGACATCTACGAGGAATGAAGGTGAGGGGCCCAGATGCCTCTGCAGCTACAGATTCATCATCCAATCACTATCCTACTTCCACCACCCCTGTGTCTCAGAGCCAGAGCATTGATTCTCCCCTGTGCTGTCTGCACAGGTAGGTGAAAGTCAGGGAAGTTATGGTCTGCTGTTGGTTATAATAAGTCACAGATTATTGTGCTTTCTCAGATAATTAAAGAAATAATAAGAGAATTTGTAACTAGAACACTTACTGAGAAGACCACAATAATGCAAAGGTTTTTATTCATCTAAAGAAGGCAACAGAAGAAAAATAGTTGAGCAAGAAAGATAATATTAGAAGGCAGTAAATGAAAATGGACAGACTTAAACCCAATGAGGTCAACAATGACATTAAACGTAATGGACTCAGACACTCCAATTACAAGACAAATAGTGCAGAGGGATAAAAATAAATAAGTAAATAAATAAATAACCGTAGGCTATTTACAAAAGCCATAATTTCAGTAGAAGGTACAGAAAAGTTGAAAGTAAAAAGATAGAAAAGAAATACCAGACAAACATTCATGAAAGACCACATGGAGATGCCATTTAGAAAAATTACAGCACATGAGTCTCCTGAGACATAGAGTACATGTAGACAGCTCACAGTGTCTTTTTCCTTTTTTTCAGAGACAGGGTCTGTTGCCCAGGTTGAAATGCAATGGTGATATCAGACCTTACTGTAACCTCAAACTCCTGGGCTGAAGCAATTCTCCTGCCTCAGCCTTCTGAGTAGCTAGGACGAGAAGCCTGTGCCGCCACACCTGGCTATAATGTCTCATTTTCTCATTTGCTGTGGTGTGAACAAGGAAACAATATCATACCATGTATTTGACTTGCAGCAGGTACACAACAAATGTCAGGTGAATGAAGAAATAAAACCACTTAGTAATCCAAGCCATATCCACATTTACATTTTACAGGTGAGGAGCAACATCCCAGACAAGTAAAGTAAAATAAATTGATTTACATCATCCAGAGCAGAATCGAGAACACATTCCCTGTGCTAAAGGAATCAGAACTCTACTAGGGGTCATAGCAGATATCATGCAAGTCACATATGTTAATTACTAGAACTGGAGTTGATACATTTTGAGATATACTAAACCAAGGGTTTGGAAGGATTAACTGAATGCAGAAATAAAGGAAGAAAATAGATTTGTTTAAAAGATGGTTAGAATCTTTAAAGAAACAACATCTTTTTAAAGTGGCCTTATGTGGACCAAAGCAGAGATGAGCTCAAATGTCAGGTGGGAAAATGCTTGACTAAATGCAGCTCTAGACCCAAGGGAGACCTAAAAATCCTGGGACATTTTCGGTTGTCACGTGGGGATTGGTGGGAGGGGGTGAGTGGGGTGCTGCTGGCAAACCTCCCACAATGCACAGGACAGACCACAAGGGATTCTCTGTCTCAAATTCTTAATAGGGCTGCTGTTGAGAAACCCGCCCGAGAGGTAAGTGCTGTAATGTCCTCACCATTTCACAGATTAAGAAACTGAGGCACCAGGAAGAAAAGTGTCAGTAGGACCAGAGCTGAAGGTTGAATCCAGGCCACCTGGCTGCAGGGTCTTGGCTTCCCTGGTTAAGTCAGGGACCCAGGAGCCCACCACAAACAATCCCAGCTGCGCGGTGCCTTCATGGTCTGTGGCGCCCCCTGGTGTTGACACTGGGCCTATGGCCAAATGAGGCTTGAGGGAAAAGGAAAACGGGTTTAGGTAGCGGGATCTCCTTCAGGCTCTCCAGATTTCAAGCCATGACTTACACTCAGAAAAAATAATGTTCACCTTAATTATCTCCCCAACCCTGTTTTTCCCAGTTCCGGCCAGTACCCTCCCTCGACTCCATCAACATCAGTACCTGCCAGATGCCCAGCACCCACCATGTGAGGAGTGAAAATGCCCCAGGACTAAAGGACAAGATGACGTTCCACCCCAGCCATCCCGCCCCTCCTAGAGCTCTAGCTCTGTGCATTTAGTGCTTAGGCTTTTAACCTGGGGTCCGCGAACCCACTTTCCCATGACACTGCGTGCAGAAGTGATGTTACATGCACACATGACTTCATTACAGGACATTGGATATTAATATTCATCCGATCAACTGGGGGCCCAAGATACCACTCTTCCCCCAACAGTTTGTGATCCTCTGAATTAAAGAAAGGGCAGAGATTGAGGGAGGCCCTAACTCCAAATCTTCTACCACTTCTAGGGAAGTGCTGAAAAGAAGTGCAAGGTACTCAACCCGCTCTGGGAATACAGCAGGAAAGCAGAGTGTTCATGGATTTCGAATTCCATCAAAGAAATACAACTTTGGCAAAATATCCAAGTCACTTTTCTAAGCCCCAGGCAGCAGCTCAAAACAAACAACACCAAAAACAAAACAAAATCTCGGCCCAGGTGAAATCATTGAAGACATAAAACTTTGTGAGACCTGTATTTAGAGCGAAGGACAATTCAATTTAGGGCTGCAGCAGAAAACCCCTACATCATATTGGGTTTTTCCTCATCATGAAGTTCTCCTGGAGGGACCTTCTCCCTTCAGCAGTGCATAGTGAGGCCATTTCTGTGTAAAAAGATAGAATCTCCTTGGATTCCTGATGTTTACATTTACTACTCACTTCTTTGACTTTGTAGATGCCAACTTCACATTCAACATCTTTCAATTATTTTCTTTACTTTGTCTAAGCAGAGAATTTAAACTTGTTTCTGAAGCAGAAAACCAGGGACTGGTTATTTGAGCTATCACCCCACTCTGTGGCTCTCTTATGCAATAAGCATAAGAGATTGTGGGCCAACAGAATTTGTAGCAAGATAAACATAAACCCTTCATTTCAGCCTATGTTTCTGTTTGTCTGGTGATGTTCCAGTCTTGCTCCAGTCTTAACATTTTAAAAAGTATAATTTTACTTAAATTTCATTTTATAAGAAGTCATATATATTCATTTCTGTTAGGTTTCTCAGTGAAAGCCTCCTCAAAACAACTGTGAAGTAAAGACATGTAAATAAATTCATGGTGCTCCCATGTATTCGTGCTCATTGCATCTTACAAATGTGTCAGCCCCACTGCAACAGATGGTGCATCAACAAATGGTGCTGGAAACCTGGATATCCACATGCAAAAGAATGATGCTGGACAAAATTTATGCCCTTCCATTACACCCTTTTCAAAAATTAAGTCAGAATGCCTTAAAGAACTAATCTTAAGAGTTAAACCTGTAAAACTCTTAAAAGAAAATACTGAGGGAAAGTCTTATGGTCATTAGAATTGGTAGTGGTTTCTTGGCTGGTGACCAAAAGTACAAGCAATAAAAGGAAAATGACAAATAAGACTTCATCAAAATGTAAAAACTTTTTTGCATCAAAGGACGCTATTAAGAGGTGAAAAGAGGCTAGGCGCAGTGGCTCACGCCTGTAATCCCAGCACTTTGGGAGGCCAAAGTGGGTGGATCACCTGAGGTCAGGAGTTCGAAATCAGCCTGGCCAACATGGCAAAACCCTGTCTCTACTAAAAATACAAAAATTAGCCGGGCGCAGTGGTGGGCACCTGTAATCCCAGCTACTCGGGAGGCTGAGGCAGGAGAATCGCTTGAACCTGGGAGGCAGAGGTTGCAATGAGCTGAGATTGCACCATTGCACTCCAGCTGGGGCATCAGAGAGAGACTCTGTCTCAAAAAAAAAAAAAAAAAAAAAAAAAAAAGTGAAAATAAAAGAAACTGCATAGAATAAGATAAAATATTTGCCAATCACATATCTGATAAAGAATTAATATCCAGACTACATACAGAACTACAACTTAACAATAGCAAAACAATCTCATTCAAAAATGGGTAAAAGACATGAATAGACAATTCTCCAGAGAAGATACACAGTAAGGACATAAAAATAAGGAATTCCAATAAGGACATGAAAATATGCTCAGCTTCACTAGTCCAGGTGTTGGTGAGGATGTGGAGAAAATGGAATGCTTGTGCACTGCTGCTGAGAGTGAACAACAGTGCAGCCATCATGGAAACAGGATGACGCTTTCTCAAGAAGGTAAACATAGAATTTCCATATGAAGCAACAATTCCACTTTTGGGTGTATACCCCCCAAAAATTGAAAGCAGGTATGCACACAGATAATTGTACAGTCATGCTCATAGCAGTGCTATTCCCAATAGCCAAAAGGTGGACGCAACCCAAGTGTCCATCAGAGGATGATTGGAAAAACAAAATGTGGTGCATATACACATGGAATATTAATCAGCCTTAAAAGTGAAGAATATTTGGATTGGATGGAACCTTGAAAACACGCTAAATAAAATAAGCCAAAAAAAAGGCAAATATGATATTTCACTTATATGAGGCACCTAGAATAAGCAAATTCACAAAAACAGAAAGTAGAATACAGGTTACCAGGGGCTGAAGGCAGGAACAATGGGCAGCTGTCATTTAATGGGTACAGTCTCTGTTGGGATGATGAAAATGTTCTGAAAATGCATGTTGGTGTTTGTGTAACCACCATCAATTGTAAATGTGCTTAATGCCAATGAATTGTACACTGAAAAAAATTGTTAGAAGGTAAATCGTATAGTATGTGTGTTTTACCACAATTTTAAAAATATATATCAACACCAAATCCAATCACTTCTCACTCCTCTGCCACCTCCACCCCAGAACCATCCTCACTAGGATAGAAAACCGGAAGGGCCTTCCAGCTGGGCTGCCTGCTGACTCTCATGCCCACTGTCCATCACCCACACAACAGAGAGAGCGTGCCTTTCCAATGGGAATTAGGGCATATCCTATGAACGCTCCAGCTCCTTCCCTTCTTAGGCACAAGGAAACCCCAGTTTCCCACCATTTCCTATGCACTCCTTATCACAGGGTCCCCTCTGGCCACTTTGGCCTCATCCCATTACTCTCAGCCTAGCTCATTCTTCTCCACTCACACCAGTTTCTTGTCTACTCCACCCTGTCTCCACCACCTGCCCCTGCTGTGACTCCCACATGCATGTGCTGCCCAGTGATCCACATGGCTCACTCCTCACACCATTAAGGTCCCTGCTTAAATGTCCCATGGTCAAGTGTTCAGAAATGTCTTGTCCAGTGACCTCTTCTGAAATCTATCCCCTGCCATTCCCACCACCGCCACCAATCTTCTAACCCAAGCATATTTTTCTTAATGGCAATTATCAGTGATACTATGACAGGTTTTATTTGTTTATTGTCTGTTGATTTATTAAGGTTACCAAGAAAGAAAGAACCAATAGCATAGGTACATAGATGATAGATAGATAATAGATAGATAGATGATAGATGATAGATAGATGTTAGATGATGATAGATAGATAGATAGATAGATAGATAGATAGATAGATAGATAGACAGACAGATAGATAGATAGGTGATTTATTGGGCTAATTGGCTCACACAATTATGGAGGCTGAGAAGTCCCATGATAGACTGTCTGGAAGCTGGAGAACTAGAAAAGCCAGTAGCGTGGCTCAGTCCAAAGTCAAAGCCCTGAGGACCCAGAATACAGAACAGGAGGATAAAGGGGCTCACTGGTGCAAAAGTCAGAGTCCAAAGATCATCGAACCTGGAGTTTTGATGTCCAAGGCAGGAGAAGAAGGGTGTCCCAGCCCCAGTTCCAGAGAGAGAGTCAGAGACAGAGAGAGACAGAGAGACAGAGACAGAGAGAAATTTTACTTCTATCTACCTTTCTGTTCTATCTGGGCCACTAGGTGATTGGACTGTGGCTGCCCACAGTGAGAGAGGATCTTCCCCACCAGTCCACCCACTCACATCCCTTCCAGAAAAACTCTCACAGACACTGGTTTAATACTTACAATTTGAGTAGTCTATAATTTATTTTTTTGAGATTGGGCTTGCTGGCTGGAGTGCAGTGTTGTTCATGGCTCACTGCAGCCTGAATCTTCCAGGCTTAAGCAACCCTCCCACCTCAGACACCCAAGTAGCTGGGACTACAGGCATGTGCCACCAAGCCCGGCTAATTCTTTTGAATTTTTTCTAGAGACAGGGTTTCTCTATGTTGCCTAGGCTGGTCACAAACTCAGGGGCTCAAGCAATCTGCCAGCCTGAGCCTCCCAAAGTGCTGGAAGTACAGGCATGAGCCACCATGTCCGTCCTGAGTGTTCTATGAATTTTTAAAATCACAACCATAGAAGAATCTTCATGTACAAACATGCTTGTCAAAATATTCTTTACCAAAAGACAAGATGAAAGCACATGGATCTAAAAGAACCCTGGTGACTTCTCCTTGTTTGAGATGGGATGCAGCTTCTAGAAGTGTGTAAATTTTATGCAGACTTTATGACATGGAAAACTACTTTCATAATAATACATTCAAAAAGCAACTTCAAAATAACCCACAACCACTCTGGGAGGCCAAGGTGGGTGGATCACTTGAGGTCAGGTGTTCAAAACCAGCCTGGCCAACAAGTGTAACCCCATCTATATTAAAAACACAAAATTAGCCAGGCGTGGTAGTGCACATCTGTAATCCCAGCTACTCGAGGGGCTGAGGCAGAAGACTCACTTGCATCCGAGATGCAGAGGTTGCAGTGAGCCGAGATCATGCCACTGCACTCCAGCCCCTGGGGGACAGAGTGAGACTCCATCTTAAAAAAAACCCCAAAACTTATGAATGCAACTTTCTACAATGAAAGCATATATAAAAATATATACATAGAAAACAAAAGAATGGAAGTCAGCATCACTGCAGAAGATAGCTCCAGGGATGACCATTCACACTGCAGTCCAGGAAGTTTCAATAATATGATAGCAGTGGTTCTTTGGAGGGGAAGCCTGGGTGATATTTCTTTCTTCTCTGCATTTTTTTTTCTTTAAAATTCAACCAGGTGTTGATGTGTGCATTTTAAATTCTTGTGTAATCAAATACATTTTCATATTTCTAATGTAGAAACATGTATTTTTAACATTCAAAATAAAACATTTGAAGTAAAATAACAATGAAAAGTGGCTGAACACTGTGGTGGGCACCTGTAGTCCCAGCTACTCAGGAGGCTGAGATAGGAGAATGGCTCGAGCTCACGAATTTGAGGCTATGGTCACACCTGTGAATAGTCACTGCTCTCCAGCCTGGAGAACATAGTGAGACCTCATATTTAAAATAATAATAATAAAAAGAAGTTCAGATCTCCTTCCAATCTCAACCTAAAACAAATTTCTCATTTGAAGTCCATATGGCAGAAATGCCTACTGATGGCTCCTCCAGAGAGTAAAAAAAATATTGTTCCTCTACAATCCATGACTCATCCTTCTGTTACAGTGTTCACCTGGGCAATGAAGTCAACACTGAGAATATCATCAATTTATGGAATACTGATTATCTCTTTTATAGATATATAAATTATAATTATGTATATATATATTATATTATAATATATATAATTACCATCACACCTGAGAGAGTGAGATGGATTCTTTTCTTCCACAGATGAAAATCTGAGTCCCTGAGAACCTAGGGTTTTGGTATGGGTTCACTGAAAATGTTGGCCTTGAGAATTAGGAAACAGCTTCCTGCAGGCCTGCCTGGATGTGAGCCACACCAATGGAGTCTCCACAACAGCAGGAAGAGCAACTGAGAACCCTGGAAGCTTCATACTTGTAATGTTCCATGTCCAGCGGCATTCAGTTGATGGATGGGCCAAGATAAGAATACAGCTCCTTCCTTCAATTGGGGGTGGCAGAGGGGTGAATCAGTCAGCTACACATAATGTGTGTGGTGTTTCTACAGATATCTTTAATTACTCTGCTGAGAACTCCACCTCAAATGTACAAAAACTCTGTACTCACTGGTAAGCAGGATCCTTTTTAGGAAAGCAAAGGACTTTGCTGACTTAAGCAAAACATTTTCTCTCCAAATGAATTATCCTGATTGGATAATCTCTTACTCCCACTGAAATTAGCCCCAGAGTTGCATTTGAGCATTTGGGTCAAAGACAGAAAGTCATTTTGAGGGTTGGGCCTGGCTGATCTTGGACAATGTTCTGAAAGAGGGCTTTCTACTTGCAGAAGAACAAAGGTTTGCTCTGGGTAGGAGATGATGTCCTGAGAAGAAAAGACAGATAGGCAGATTCTCAAGCAAACTCAGGAGTTTACTATACAAAAGATTTTGGAATACCTTCCTCAGCCTCTTTTTCATTGTGGTAAAATACACATAAACACAAAGGATACCACCGTAACCATTTAAAGTGCACAATGCAGTGACAATTCGTATGTTCACAATGTTATGTAACCATCATCACTCTCTAGTTCCAGAGTGTTTTTATCACCTCAGGGGGAACTCTGCACCCATTAAGCAGTCACCCTCCATTTCCACCTGCCAGCAGACCCTGTCGCCACAAATCCACTTCTTTCTCTATCGACTTGCCTCTTATGAATATTTCACAAAAATGGGCTCATAAGTTACGTAGCCTCCTGTGACTGGCTTCCTTCACTTGTCTTGTTTTCAAGATTCAGCAATGTTTTAGCATATGCCAGTGCTTTATTCATTTTATGACCAAATAATATTCTATTGTAGGAAAAAACTATATGTTGTTTCTCCATTCATTGGTCGATGGACATTTTCTTTTAAATCAAATAGGAAAAACAAGAGAGGAATTACAAATATATATATGTGTGTGTGTATATATATATGTCTTGTAGGGTTGAGACAATCTCAGTCAGCTTTTTTTAACCTGTGAATGTCATGATTTCTCCATCATTTCTGAAGGAGAGTTTTGCAGACATACAATTCTTGGTTGATAGTCCTTTTACTTTCTCAGCTTTAAATTTGTCATCCCAACGCCTCCTGAACCCCATGGTTTCTGATGAAAATTTGTATGTTAATCTTATTGAGGATCCATTGTACCTGAAAAGTTCCTTCTCTGTTATTGCTTTCAAGATGGTCTGTTTGTCATTGGTGTAGACTGGTTGATTATAACGTCTCTCAGTGTGGACTTCTAAAATTCTTGCTGCTTAAAATGTATCAAGTTTGTTGGATGAGTAAAATTATATTTTTCATCAAATTTAGGAGATTTGAAGTTATTATTCCTCCAAATAGCCATTCTTCTTTTTCTCTCTCCTTTCTTTGAGGATTCCCAAAATGCATATGCTTGGTGTTGTCTCACAGTTTTCTTAAGTTCTGTTCATTTTTCTTCATAATTTTTTTTTATTTCTGCACCTCAAACTGGATAATTTCAATTGTCTTACCTTTAAGCTTGCCGATTCTTCATTCTGCATAGTGAAAGTTGCTTTTGTAAAAAAGTAAATAGTAAATTTACTCTAGTAAAATATAGTAAAAAATAGTAAAATTACTCTAGTAAATTTTTCATTTCAGTTATTGCACTTTTCAGCTCCAAAATTTCTACTTGGTTTCTTTTTAAACTTTCTATCTTTTTATTGATGTTCTCTATTTGAGTTAAGATAGTTCTTCTGATTTCCTTTAGTTTTTTGCCCATAGTTTCCTTTAGCTCTGTGAACATATTTAAGCAGTCAATTCAAAGTTGTTTGTCCAGTAAGTATGTTCAATGGCCTTTCTCAGGAACAGTTTCTGTCAATTCCTCTTTTTTCTTGAGAATGGGTCTTACCGTCTAGTTTAATTGCATACCTCATTTTTATTTTGAATACTAACATGTGGTGACTTTGAAAATCATGTTTTCTAAACTATTTTTGTATAGACTGTATTCTTTATTGTGTGTCATCACTGAAGTCTCTATTCTGTAAGCTTAGTGGTCAACTCATGATTTGATAGATATTTCCTGAAACATCTTCAGCCAAAAAGAAATAAGAAAAGAAAATTCAATCTTTTTATCTGGGCTCTCTGTGTGTTTTGGGGCATGCCCTCAACACTCTGCTGGGCAGTTTACAATACTGCTTTGGCCTTCATTTCCTACTTGTGCAGATATTGAAAGTTAGCAAGAGGTGTGAACACAGGGCATTCTCAGGTGCTTTGTGAGTCTGTGCGACATACTGGTCATGGAGGAGGCTATACAGATTCCCAGGGATATGGAAGCTTTTCAAAACCCATATTCCCATCTCACTCACCCAGTTTCTCCTCCAGGCTTTTCTGTATGTCTATTACCTTTCTCATGTAATATATTTTTGCCCCAAGGGGGCAGCTGCTGGTTCAGTGGCACTTAAATGGTTTTAGCAGATGCCCTCTGCCTCTGTGACCTAAGAGAGTTCTGAGTAGGGAAAATAAATGCAAACCATTTATTTTCTTTTTCTTTCTTTTTTTTCTTTTTTTAGACAAGGTCTTGCTCTGAAGCCCAAGCTGGAGTGCAGTTGCACGATCCTGGCTCACTGTAGCCTCAACCTCCTGGGCTTAAGCAATCCTCCCACCTCAGCCTCTTGAGTAGCTGAGACTACAGGCACATGCCATAATGCCCAGTTAATTTTTGTATTTTTTGTAGAAATGGAGTTTCACCATGTTGTCTAGGCTGGTCTCAAACTCCTGAACTCAAGAAATGCACCCAGCTGAGCTTCCCAAAGTGCTGTGATTACAGGCATGAGTCACCATGCCCAGCCCAATGTAAGCCATTTCTTATCATCCTTCACGGAGTCACCCAACAGGAAAAGGTAGACAACCACAACACTTTGAGAACATGGTCCACTCGGCTCCCACTGGCATTGGAGCCCACACTAAGGAACCAGGCTGCTGTCTTCAAGATCACTACTGACTTGAACAGGGAGGAATGGGCCAAGGGTAAGATATGGTGCCACAAAGCTCTGCTCCTGAGTTCCAGTTGATTTTTCTGGACTTGCTAGGTTGCAATAAACCTTTGATGATTTTTCAGGGTTCCAATGCAGTTGATTCTTTATCAACCCAATCAGAATATCTGGTGGTAGGTCCAGGAATTCTTGCTTTAACAGCTCTCCGAGGGAATTTTTTTTTTTTTTTTTTTTGATGGAGTTTTGCTCTTGTTGCCCAGGGTGGAGTGCAATGGCATGATCCCGGCTAACTGCAACCTCTGCCTCCCGGGTTCAAGCGATTCTCCTTCCTCACCTCCCGAGTAGCTGGGACTACAGGCGCGAGCCACCACACCCAGCTAATTTTGTATATTTAGTAGAGACTGGGATTCTCCATGTTGATCAGTCTGGTCTCGAACTCCTGACCTCAGGTGATCCCCCCACCTCGGCCTCCCAAAGTGCTGGGATTACAGGCATGAGCCACCATGCCCAGCCAAGGGATTTTTTTTTATAGTGATGTTTTACAAGCACATTGTCTCTGTGCAGAGGTGGCCCTTGGAGTTCCTATGCCACTATGTTCTCTGATGTCACTCCTCAGCCACCTTTGAATTGTGCTTATGCATCAGAATTCCTGATCTGCTAAGTACTTCCAGGAAACTCATTCAAATGGTAAACATCATTAAGCACCTACCTTATTCTGGGTACTGTGCTCTATGGAGTTGAGCCTCAGATAAAAGAATCAAACTTCCTTGGACTTCATAGAAGTCAAAGGTGGGGGTGGGAAGATAAATAAAGAAATTATAGCACAGCATGTTATGTATTTTACATGACTTTTTTCTTTGAAAGCTACATTATTAATATTTTATGACAGTACTGAGTTACATATACCAAAGATTACAAATTAAAATTTATGCTTTCTTTCTCTCTTTTGTTCTTACATATTTCTCTGTTCTTGTAGATATTTTGAAATTGGGTATTATGGAGACAGTGCAACAGTTTCATTTATATGATAATGTTTTGTTTTACCTTTATTCATCAAAGAGAGATTTGTCAGCTGCAAATTTCTAGTTTGACATTGGTTTTCTCTCAGATCTTTGATGATTATGTTGCTTCTGGCTGCTGTGGCTGACAGGGGATAGTCAGTTACATTTTAACCAGTTGCTTCTTAGAGGATCTGTGTTTCTCCTGTGGCAAATTTTAAGATATCTGTTTCTCTTTAACATCTTCTGTTCCAGTGCAGTATGAGTAAATGTGGATCTCTTTTTATTCACAGTGCTATGATACTGTTAGGTATGAGTTCTAAATTTCTCTTAAAATAATTAACATGTCAGTATGTTCAATTCTTTGCCCTCTACTTTTAAACTTAACTTCCTCATAAAGCAACCTTTTTTGATCACCTGTTCCACCCTGACTCATCCTGATTACTTGCTCCAGCCTGACTCATTCTGGTTACCTGCTCCACCCTGACTCATTCCAGTCACCTGCTCCACCCTGACTCATTCTGATTACCTGCTCCACCCTGACTCATCCTGATTACTTGCCCCAGCCTGACTCATTCCAGTTACCTGCACCACCCTGACTCATTCTGATCACCTGTTTCACTCTCTTTAAATTAGCCAATCTGAATTAGTTTAGCCTGTGCGGTCTAACCCTAGCCAATAGGGGAATAACACAGCAGCAGGGGCCACGTGCATCAGGGATAAGAACCCCTTCCCCTTCCTTGTCCAGGGGTGTGCTCACCATTGCTCCATCTGTGAGGGCACACCCTTGTATAGAAGTAATTGCCTTGCTGAGAAGAAAAAAAGAAAATTTTATATTTGAGTGCTATTTCTTTGTGGCATCAAGACTTTATTTACAATAATACATTTCCTTAATATTTTAAGATAACCTCTTTCTGGAATGCCTCTTTCCATTTACTCACTTCTCTTCTTCTAGGAATTTAATTAGAGAAGAATTAAATTAAACCTCATTCAACCACCATATACACTGTGGAATCCAAAATAATGGCCTCACACATATGTCCAAGCCCTAAGACGCAGACCATTTAGATATGTTACTTTACACAGCAAAAGGGACTTTGCTGATATGATTAAGAGCATGGACCTTTAGATGTGGAGATTATTTTGTATTATTTGAGTGGCCCCAATCTGATTGCATGATTTCTTTAACCTGGAGATGACTGGAGAAATATGGGTCAGATGGAGTGCTGAATTTCATCTAGAATAATTTCTTAATCTAGTAAAATAACATCATCTCTGTTTTTTATTCTTTAATTAAGTGGCAAAATGCATTAAAAGGTTTAAAGTTTAAATATCCTTGCATTCTTGGGCTATATACCTTGGTCAAGACAGTCTGTTTATAACACATTGGTTAATACAGTCTACTAATATTTTTCTTAGAATTTTCACATCTAATTAATTAAAAGTGATTTTCCTATAATAGGTAAATAGTAGAAGGGGGTAAGTCTCTTATTTTACAAATTATTCAAATAATACATGAAAAGAAATGGAAGACTGAGACTACAACTCTTTGCCATCCGTAATGAATGAACAGATCTAGCCACTGAACAGCAATGACAATTTTCATCACCAAAGGGAAATAACCAGTATTAAACTCTTCCCCTTGTTGAAAAACATGATATAGTACCACCAAAACTCACGGGGAAAAAAATCTGAATAGATGCAAACCTCTATACCAAACTACAAATTTCTAGAAAATGCAGGTAATAGAGATGCATATTAAACCATAGTTTGGGGTGCAATCCACAAAATACAAACAACAGGAAACTCTACCAGACAATATTAATTTCAAAGGGATAACCTATAGAACAAATAAGAACAAAAAACTTATTTTTAAAGGTAAAACTAAACTATCATTTGGGATGATGAAAATATAAAATAGAACAAAGAAGTGAGGACCACAAAAGTCAGGATGTGATTGATTTTTATTTGAAAAAATAAAAATTTACTATTGAACTGGGTCAATTGATGGGGCTTCTAGGTCAGCTGACAAACTTCTCTCTCTTTCTGATGGTTAAAGAGTGTTTACTGTTGATTAAAGGTCACCATTTTAAGATTTTTTTTCTTTTATGTCACCTGTGTTTTATGACAAAAAGGCGAACGCAGAATAAAATGAGTTATGGGGCACGGTTCCTGTTCTGCACAAAGCCTCCTCCCCATCCTCCTCTCTGGACACTGAGCACCCAGAACAACCGGCAGCCCCAGGACCCCTGGCAGGGCTGTCTCATTACTGAGTGTGCATCCAGCTCCACGGTTCCTGTTCTGCACAAAGCCTCCTCCCCATCCTCCTCTCTGGACACTGAGCACCCAGAACAACCGGCAGCCCCAGGACCCCTGGCAAGGCTGTCTCATTACTGAGTGTGCATTCAGCTCCACGTCGCTGGAGACAATGTCCACAGTTTATTTCTTGAGTCCTGGATGAACCTGACAGGACATAGCTGAGGGGAAGCCTGGCCCAGTCTGCAGGCTTTGGCCATCAGTGTAGAGGGAGGAGGTCCTCATCTCTCCACTGGAGCAGTTACAACCAGAGCCTCCTCTCTGCGTGGGAGTGAGGCTCGGTCCTTCCCCTGAACACGGTGACAGGGATCTCTCCACAGGTAGAGATGACACCATTCCTCCTGTAACATGGTCCAATCTCACGCTTGTTCTGCTTTACAAGAAAGTTGACCCACGCTGGTGTCCCCTGAAGAAATCACAGGCACAGAGGAGGGACAGGTGGATTTCAGGGCTGTGCTTGATCTGGGAAAGGAAGAGTGCAGACCGCCAGGTGGCGCCGCTGCACTGCTTCTGCGCCCAGGAGGTGCCTGCTGGGGCTGAGATTGAAGGTGGGGAGAAGGATGTCACAGCTCATCGCACAGGTTCCCGGTAAAAATCCTCCTGCCCAGCCTAGCGGGCTCTCCCTTAATCAACTGTAGCGAAAACTGTCTCCTTCTCACGTTCCTGGAAGGTGCTTTTTGACACAAGAAAGAGGATGTGATTGCTAGGGTCATCATGTCATTGTTTATTGTGTTGCCAGTAAAGTGAAATCAAAATACACAATAAATAATAAAATAACCCATGATAAGCCAATGTTTATAATGTACTAACACCACTGAGCCAGTGTTTATAATGTACTGACACACTCCAAGTGTGGGCACAGCTGCAGACATGCCTTGTCTCTTGGGTCAGGACACAGGGTAGAGTGAAATGGAAAGAAATCCCAGTCACTGCAGAAAAGGGCCCCCATGGAAGAGGCCTGGCAGGGAGGCCAGCTGTCCCAGGGCCGCCATATTTAGGGATGACTCCCCCTTTCTGGGCAGCACTGGTTTTTTTAATTATTTTTGCATTCACAGTAGTTCTGAAATTGCAGGATGCTGAGACCCAGCACTGGTCAGTTACACCGTCTCTTCTTCACCATTAAATACTGTGCCAAACAGCACCTTCATACATTTCCATCCTCTTCCAGGAGAGAATCAAAACAACAATGGACACATTGATGCATGCAAAAATACTTTAAATATGTGCTATCAGAAGTAGCTACTAAAACATTAATTCCACTGAAATGAGGGAGGCTGTAAAAAAGAAAAACATTGCATACCCGTATTCACAGCAACATTACTCACCATAGCCAAGACAAGGAAGCAAACAAAGCACCCATCAACACATGAATAGATGAAGAACATGTGGTCTATGTAGGCAATGGAATATGATTCAACCTTAAAAAGAAGGAAATTCTGTTACATGCTGCAACATGGATGAACCTGGAGAACAATGCTAAGTGTAATAAGCCAATCACAAGGAAATTCCAATACTGCGCAATTCGTTATATGCGGCGTCTAAACTCTTAGAACCTGAAAGTAGAATGGCGGCTGCCAGTGGTTAGGCTGGGGGGATTCATGAGGAGATTTTCAGCGTAGAGTTTCAGTTTTGCAAGATGAAAAGTTCTAGAGATCTGTTGCATAACAATGTGCTACAGTTCATATTATAGTACTCTATACTTAAAAATTGTTACGATACCAAATTTTATATAATATGGATTTTGGCGCAATGAAAAAAATAATTAGCTCTGATACCAACTTAGGAAAAGAGCACATGAATTTATTGAAAATATATTAGCATGTGCTTACTATGAAAAAGAGATGCAGAAAACTGTGAGACAAAAAGAGAGATCCTTGCTACCCCAGCTATTATCCATGAACCAGCAGAACCAGCATCTCATGAAACTGGACAGAAAGGCTCACAGGCCCAGCCTTGACAGGTTGATCAGTCTGCATTTGTCAGGACCCCAGGTGGCTCCACTGCATGTAAAGCACCGCCCCAGATGGTGGTGGAGGGAGATCCTAGGAAGGTGACTCTGTCCCACAGGTAGAAGCCTCCAGTCCAGATGGGAGCAGCCAGAAGGGCCCAAGAGGGACATTTCCAAGAAAGTAAAATTAATAGAAAGTTCAAAGTCTCTAATTTCTTAACAGAGTCACAGAAATGGAACAGATATCAAAGTTAAATTAATGAGAGTTATCTAGAACATAAACAAAAACAAAGGCAAGTATTAACTTGAGGAAGAACAAATACTACGAAGCAAGTGAAAAGTAGTCAAGTTGACATATGAGAAGATGAGTCACGGAAAAAAACAAGGAGTGGCTGAATTAAACATAATTACTATATAAATATACTGGGAAAAGGAAAGAACGGGAAGAGTGAAAGAGAACAAGTGATGGATGTGGTGACGTCGCGTTCTCCCGGGCGGGGCCGGAGGCGGTACAGATGAGGGACACATTCATGGCTAACGGGACCGCTCTTCTCGTTCTGCGTTCTGCTTGCGGCCGGTAGTCTCTCCTCCCCGCCCATGGGCGGTGGTTGGAGGCAGGGGTGCGGAATCCGGCCGACCTCGCTGTCCTCGCCCTCTACCTTGTGGCATCGGTGGGGTTGGGGAGATGAGTTCTCCGACGCAGCAGGCACCCCTGCTCATCTCCTATGGCTGTTGCCTTTTGGGCAGCCCCTCTTCGCGGCGGTGGGGCTGTCGCGCCGGCCTGTCACGTTGCCCTTCCCTGGGCTTGTGAGGATTGGCTCCGCTTGGACCTTTGCGGTGCTCCCGGAGCCCTCCAGGTTGTCCCTCCGGTGCCGGAGGCCAAGCGGTGGTGTCCTTCCTGTTCCCAGCGCCCCCTCCTCCTGTCGCTGCTGCAGTGCCTGTGTGTGGGTCCTGAGGGGTTTTGGGGAGGTAGAATATTTTTATTTATTTAAATAAATTAAAAAATAAGAAAAAAATACAAAAAGAAAGAGAACAAGTAATCTTAACTATTGATTCCACCATCGTGCAGTGCAATAGTCAATGGCTGCAACTGAAAAATCAAGCAATGTTAATAAAGAAATGGTGCTTTGGTGCTTAGATATGTGAAAGTAAAGTCAAAAGAATCAGCTGAAACTTGAAAGTGGTTGCTCCCTAGAAAGGCAGAAATAGAGAAGAGAGGACTCTCCCTAGAAAGGCAGAGAAGACTCTCATTTTTCTCAGAAAGTCCTGCACAAATATTTACTCTTTCCATTATGTGCAATTGTAACTTCGAATAAAATAAAAACAAAAGCTTCAGTTAACATGCAAGTTTATGCCTAATGACAACTTTGTTTAACAATGATAAAGGGCTAACCAAAATATAAAAACACTTAAACATAAAACAGCATGTATAAATGTGTATGTGACATCAACCCTGAATACAAACTTGAAAGAATATGTCTATAAACAACTCTGGATAGATAGCCCATGAATGAATTCCCCACTCCAGCATCTTTACTGGTTGTCCTGTGAGCCTAGGCAGGGAGGGGACCAGGACCTGACTAGGGTCCCTAATACTCTTGCTTCCAGGCAAGTCCTGCATGCACTCCTGCTGCACCAAGGGCTCCCATCCCTGCCTTGGTCTGTTTCATAGGTGCTCCCCTAACTCTCTGCCACCACTGCCTTACCTGGGTGGAGCTGAGGCCGCCCTGACCAAGAAGAGCACCACCCATCTATGTGCCCCAAAACCAGAAAGTCAAAAGAAACCTTGCAACAGGGTCAGGAACTATCCCACCTCCCCACCTCCGAATCAGTCTGAACTGATGGCGGGAGATGCTGATGCTTGCTTTACTCATCCTCATTCCCTGTGCATTTATTTTTCACTAATTCAGTCCACATCTCCTAGAAGCAGACTGACCCCTACCCTTCATAATCAGGAAACCCCAGAGCACTTTTTATCCCCTCCAGAATATAACACTTCAGCTCTGCATCATCACATGAGGGCTCCAACTCTGTAGGGCAGGTGTACTCTCACAGCTTCAGGCCCTGAACATTTGCTTCAGATGTCCCCCCATCCCTTTCCAGACCTGTCTGTGTTGCTCTGAATCTGTCCTTCCCTGAGAACTGGCGGGGAGATATCAGGGAGGAGGGGAGATTTCTTTGTGCTATGTCAACGCATCTAGACAGAGCTCTCATTCTCCCTTGAACCTCAACTCTATCTGTTCCCAGACACTTGAAATAAAACACAGACCAGAAATGTCTATTTAAAAGCTAAATATCTATAGTATAAAATATGAAGACAGAGTAGAATGGGGTAATGCAGGAGAGTGTGACAGGGCGAGGGGACCTCAACGTGCCAGGAAAGTTGGTCCTTGGCTCCCCGGAGGAGCCGTCACCAGGACACTCACTCATAAAGCTCACCTGTGATAATACAACTACATGACATTAATGTATTAAAATATAATAAAATCATAACAAAATAACAAAAATAATATGGCACAGCTGCAAACACCTCATATATACTAACACTTTTCATCCACCCAACCACAAGAAATAAATGTTGTTACATTCCCCATTTCATAGATGAGAAAGCTGAGCCAGCAAGAGAAAAAGTGCTGGTGAGACCTGGGCAGGGCGTTCAATCCAGGCCGCCTGGCTGCAGAGTGTAGGTGCCCTCAGTAGAGCCAGTGGACCTGGGAGCTGAGAGCAGAGACTGAAATCCCAGCTGTGCACTGCCCTGGTGTTCTGTCTGAGTCAGGTGTTGATCTGGGCCTTGCAGGCTCATGTGCTCTGGAGAAAAGAGAGAAAATAGTAAGTGCTCCCCTGGGTGCACAGTGCTGCTTTTTACTCCCTGACGACTTCTCCCTCCTCAGTCAGTCCCAAATCAGATTCACCCTTTCTCCGAGGGAAGATGATGTCTGCACTTTTTTCTCCCTCCCATGGCACTTTTCCCAGCCCCTGCCAGTCCCCTCCCGTGACTCCATCAACATCAGCCCCTGCCCTGTGCCCACCAGCCACCATGAAAGGAGGAAAAGAGCCCCAGGACCAAAGGACAAGACCTGGGAAAAACCCAGTGCCCTCCCCTCCTCTCAAGCCTGGCCAGCTCTGACAGCAGGAGGACTCCCCAAAGAGAGGCTCTGGCCCTGGCTCCATGTCCTTCCAGGACTGGGCTGGGTCACACGCACAGTCCTTCTCTTCCTCAGTCCCCAGTCCCACCTCACCTGTAGAGACACCTGCACACAAAGGCAGGCCCTAAACACTGTGGTTCTGCCCTCCACCTGCAGCTCAGTGCTCCTCCACTTCCAGCCCTGAGCAGGCAGCTCCTAACTGGGAAGCCCATTAAGAATCCCATCAGCATGGCAGGCCCAGCATGGAAACATGTAGCTGCTATGGGGTCTGCAGCTGACCTGACCCTGGGAACCCCCTTGCTCAAGGAGCCTACCCTGACCCCCAGGCCCATGACCTGCACTTGGGCCATGCTTGCTCCAGCCTGGTCCACTCATCCCTGGAAGCACAGCTTCTCCCCAGGGCTGCTGCTTGGGGAGGCTGAAAGGCCTTCCTCTCCTGTTCCTAGCAGGGATTCCTAGCAGGGATTCCACCCAAGCCACTGCCCTCACAGCCCATAGGGGATCTTCTTCTCCCTGTGGAGTAGAAAGTTTCTTGAGACCCCTCAGCCTGAGGCTGCCTCTGCCCACCCTTTGCACTTGGGGATTGCCACTGCCACAGCCACTGTCTCCCACATGGACCGTCCTGGAGAGGGAGCTCCACATTTGAGTTCCTGTTTCATTTGATATAGGTTACAACATTAGTATTGGTGGAAATCCTTTTAAGACCCAGCTGAAACTACGAACATCTTTATTGGACATCAGCATTTAAAGCAGGAATTTTGAGAAATTAGCACATAACTTTCACACCCCTTTCCTGGCCAGTGCCCCAGTAACCTACAAGGCAACCGTTCCCACCCACGGGGAACCAGAACTGACAATCCCTCTTCAGGAGACACCACAGGTGAGAGCAGGAGCGACCACAGACCTGCACTGCCCCTGCTGTGGGTGCCTCCTGGACAGGGCCCTCTTGCTGCAGGGCAGGGGATGAACCATCCCATCTGCCCAGGCCTGAGGGGCCAACTGACAGTGCAATTAGGTTCAAGGATGAGAAATCACCACCCCCTGCCAGATACACAGAAGTGGGGAAATGGCAGAAAGACTCGGGTTTCCCGGACACTCCAGGCTCTCAGTGTCTCCTGCACTGTCTCTGTCTTTGCAGAAACACAAAACTTGCTGCTTGCTCTTTTCCCCTCCCTTCAAACAACCTGACTGTGCGGGAAATCATCCTGACCATCTCTCACTCCAAACTCATCAGGCAGTGCTTATTCTTTCAAAGGTATTTTGTGACTGTGCAAGCAAATATAAATGTATATGTGTATGTTCTTTCTCCCTTTGCACACAAATTTTAGCAAACTACATATGCTTTTCTGTACCTTGCTGTTTTCCCTTACCATTGTATCACGGAGACCATCCCATGAAGAAATATCAAGAACTACACTATGTCTTTCTTTTTTTTGTTCAAAAATTTCTTGGCAATCCATTGTATAGGCATGCATTTTTTAAAATAGAGATTACCCTTTTTGAATGCAATGCTTTTTAACCAGCTCCCTACTGATAGGCATTTGGATTATTTCTTTCAGAGAACAATTTGACATCATGTAGCATCATATGGGAAGGGTGCAGTGACCCCACTCTTACATGCATATCCTAGGGGAGCTCACATATTCTTGGAACCAGAAAGCAATGTCCCAGCATGTTCATTGCAGCAGTGTCTTTAATAAAGACTATGTAGAGGTCAATGAAGTGGGGAAGAGATAAATTGTAGCATATTCCTCCCATGGAATACTATCTAGCAATGAAAACAAATGAACTATTTGTGTGAACATTGATCCATCTCATAGACCATGTTAACGGAAAAAGCAAGCAAATGCATAACAAAATCAGCAAGAAACAATTTATAAAAAGTCTAAAAGTAAAGCCAGGCAAGGGGGCCTATACCCATAATCCTAGCATCTTGGGAGGCCAAGGTGGGCAGATTGCTTGACCCCAGGCGTTCCAGACAAGTCTGGGAAACATGATAAATCCCTTTCTCTACAAAAATTACAGAAATTAGCCAGGCATGGTGGCGCGAACCTCTAGTCCCAGCTACTCAAGAGGCCTAGAAGGGAGGAATTGCTTAAGCCTGGCAGGTAGAGGCTGAAGTGAGTTGTGTTTGTGCCACTGCATTTCAGTCCAGGTGACAAAGTGAAACCATGTTAAAAACAAACAAACAAACAAACAAAAACAAGAGACTTTTTAAAACTTAGTAAGAATATAGGGGCATACAGCAAATTCAAGACACACATTCACCAACAGTTCTTGCTTTGCTCAGTACAGTATTGACTGAAACACATGCATAACAGAACTGTGGAAAATCAGGGCTATCTACACGTGTTTCTGTTATTTTCTATGTATACTACATACAGCCAATAATATTAAAATGTCACAAATTGACAAACCTGGGTGGCAGCTTCACAAAGATTTCTTATAATTCTCTATTTTTTCTTCTAGCTAGAACTACCTTATAATAAAATTTGTGAAGTGAATCCACAGAAATTGAGCAAAATAAAAAGGAGTCGTTGAGTGTGAGGAAAGCTACAGAGAAGTAAAGACAGGTGGAGACATGACAATACTGAGCATGTTAGTGACCTTCACAGTAACTGACTTCCTGGAGGAGTGTGAGCTTAAGCCAGAATGAAGTGATAGACCGTGAAAGACGGATGAAGGAGTAGGAGCTTCTGGAGGCAAACATGGTATGTGGTTGGCTGGATTGGGATATGTGGAGGGACTCTGAACATTCTGCTTTAGGTCCAGCACTAGAGAAAGAGGACTCATCTTTATTTAGCACCTTCCACAATCTGTAGAGAAATCTGAAACATTGCAAAAGAAGATATATGAATGGCCAGTTCAGGGAAAAATGCAAAGTAAAACCACAGTGAGAAACCACTAAGCAACCATTAGAATGGCTAAAATTAAAATGATTAATAACTATAAATGCTAGCAAGGATGTGGAACAATCTGTACTCTCCTCCATTGCCTATAGGAATATAAAACATCCATTTTGAAAATCAATTTCATATCATCTAATAAAGTTAAACAAGCTAGTCCTCTACAGCTACCATTTCCACTCCTAGGTATATACTCAAGAGAAATGAAGATTTTGTCGATAATCCCTGCATAAAAATGTTCATAGTTTCTTTATTTATAATAGTAAAAAACAAGAAATAACTGCCAATGTACAAAAATCATGATTCAGTCATACAATGGAATATTATCAGCAATGAAAATGAAAGAACTACTGATACGTGCACCAACATGGATTGATCACATAGGTATTACAACAAGCGCAAAAAGCCAGATACAAGGGAGGCCATATGGGATGAGTAGATTTGTATGAAGTTTTAAAACAGGAAGAACTGTGCTATCCTGACAGCCGTCAGATCAATGGCTGCTGGAGGCATGGAAGCTGAGTTGAAGGGAGAAAAAGGGATCTTTATGTACATTGATAGTGGCAAGAGTAATATGCTGTATTGGTCAAAATTCATTGATAAATTTGATGAAGATCTGATTATTTTGGTATATGTACATTTTATAAGCTTAAAAAGCTTATAATAAAAATTATAAAGTTGCTGATAAAAATAATAATTAAAAATATTAGCAACAAAATCCAACAGTATACCAAAAGAATAATACACCATGATATGTCCATATATGGCAAACACACAGCTAACATTATACTGAATAGGGACAAGCTTATAGCCTCTCCTCCAAGATCTGGAAGAAGGCTAAGACTCCCACTTTCATCACTTTTATTCTACACAGCACTAGAAGTCCTAGCAAGAGCAATCAGCCAAGAGGAGGAAATAAAGGGCATCCAAATTGGAAAGGAGAAAGCCAACTTAGCCTTATTCGCAAATGGCATAATCTTTTACTCAGAAAAAACTAAATATTGGCCGGGTGCGGTGGCTCACGCCTGTAATCCCAGCACTTTGGGAGGCCAAGGCAGGCGGATCACGAGGTCAGGAGATCGAGACCATCCTGGCTAAAATTGTGAAACCCCGTCTCTACTAAAAATACAAAAAAAAAAAAAAAAAAAATTAGCTAGTCGTGGTGGCGGGCGCCTGTAGTCCCAGCTACTCAGGAGGCTGAGACAGGAGAATGGCGTGAACCCAGGAGGTGGAGCTTGCAGTGAGCCGAGATCGCGCCACTGCACTCCAGCCTGGATGACAGAGCGAGACTCCATCTCAAAAAAAGAAAAAGAAAGAAAGAAAGAAAAATCTAAATATTCCACCAAATAAATGGTGAGAACTAATAAGCAAATTCAGTAAAATTACAGGATACAAAATCAATGTGCAAACTTTCAGAGCATTTATATATACAAGCACCATATAATCTGAAGAAGAAATCAAGAAAGCAAAACTATTTACAAATCATAAAGAGGATAAAATAACTAAGAATCAATTTACCCCAGGAAGTAAAACAAAAACTATAAGGCACTGATGAAGGAAATTGAAGAGTACACAAAACTGGAAGAGCCAGGCGCAGTGGCACATACCTGTAATCCTGGCACTTTGGGATGATGAGACAGGAGAATTGTTTGAGCCTGGGAGTTCAAGACTAGCCTGGGAAACATAGTGAGACCTTGTCTCTAAGGAAAAAAAATAAAACACACAAATTGGGAGAATTAATATTGTTAAATATTAATTTAAAAAATGAAACACATAAATTTCATGCACATAAATTGGGAGAATATTGTTAAAATGTTCATACTACCCAAAGCAATTTACAGATTCAATTCAATCCCTATCAAAATACCAATATCATTATTCACAGAAATAGAAAAAATTATGAAATTCATATGGAATCATAAAATATCCCAAATAGCCAAAGCAATCGTGAGCAAGAAGAACAAAGCTAGAGGTATCACACTTCCTGAATTCAGAATACAATATAAAGTTATAGTAACCAAATCAGCATGGTGCTGGCATAAAAACAGACGCATAGACTAATGGAATACAAAAGAGAACTCACAATAAATCCATGCATTGATAGCCAACTCATTTTTGGTAAAGAATATACAATGGAGAAAGAACAAAAGCAACAATGGAGAATAAATGGAGCTGGGAAAATGCTACCAGATGCAGAAGAATACCACTAGAACCCTGTCTCCCACCATATACAGAAATCAACTCAAAATGGATTAAAGATTTAAATGTAAGTCCCAAAACTATAAAACTACTAGAAGAATGCTTACAGGAAACACTCCAGACATGGGTCTGGGCAAAGACTTTATGGCTAAGACCTCAAAAGCACAGGCAACAAAAATAAAATAGACAAGTGGGACTATATTAAACTAAATAGCTTCAGCACAGCAAATGAAACAATCAACAGAATGAAGAGGCAACCTGTTGAATAGAGAAAATATTTGCTATGTATTCATCCAGCAAGGAACTAACATCTAGAATATACAAGGAACTTAAAAAACTCAGCAGTAAAAACACAAATAATCCAATTAAAAAATGGACAAAGTGTCTGAATAGATGTTTCTCAAAAGGAGACATACAAATGGTCAACAGGTATACGAAAAACACTCAACCTTATTAAATATCAGGAAAATGCAAATCAAAACTATAATGAAATATCATCTTATCCTATTTAGAATGGCTACTAATAGGAAATAAAAAATAATGGATAGTGGTGAGCATGTGGAGAAATGGGAACTGTTGTACACTCTTGGGAAAGTAAGTACAGCAATTATGGAAATCAGTATAATGATTTCTCAAAAAACAAAAAATAGAACTACTATTGGATCCAACAACTCCACTCATGGGTATTTATATAAAGGAAAAGAAATCAATATATCAAAAGACTACCTGCACCCCCAGGTTTATTGAAGCACTATTCACAGTAGCGAAGTTATGAAATCAATGGGTGAATTCATCAATGGGTGAATGAATAAATGGTGGTATATATATACACAATGGAATGCAATTCAGCCATAAAAAAGAATGAAATCCTGTCAGTTGCAGAAACATGGATGTAACCAAAGGTCATTACGTTAGGTGAAATAAGCCAAGCAAGGAAAGACAAATACCACATGTTGTCACTAATATGTGCGAGCCAAAAAGGTTAATCTTAGGGAGGTAGAGAGAGTAGAATGACAGTTCCCAGAAACTGGGAAGAATGTAGGGGTGGGAAAATATAGAGATGCAGGTTAATGGATGCAAATGTCCAATTATATAGAGAAAATAAGTTCTAATGTTTGATAGCACAGCAGACTGACTAAAGTTAACAAAAATGTATATTTCAAAATAGCTATAAGAGTGGATTTGGCTGGGCGTGGTGGCTCATGCCTGTGATCCCAGCACTTTGGGAGGCCGAGGAGGGTGGATCATGAGGTCAGGAGATCGAGACCATCCTGGCTAACATGGTGAAACCCCGTCTCTACTAAAAATACAAAAAAAAAAAAAAAATTAGCCGGGCGTGGTGGTGGGTGCCTGTAGTCCCAGCTACTCGGGAGGCTGAGGCAGGAGAATGGTGTGAACCCGGGAGGCGAAGCTTGCAGTGAGCCGAGATCGTGCCACTGCACTCCAGTCTGGGTGATGGTGTGAGACTCCATCTCAAAAAACAAAACAAAACAAAAAAGAGTGAATTTAAAATGTTCTCAACAGAAAGAAATGATAAATGCTTGAGGTCATGGATACCCTAAATATCTTGACTGATACACACATTCTATGCATGTATCAAAATGTCACATGTATCCCATAAATATGTACAAATATTATGTATCAATTTTAAAAAATTTAAAAAATAAACCACACAATATGGGGCATTTAAAAAGGTACAAAAATTATGAGCATGATAAAAATTTGGCAAATATTTTCCTTTTTATTAAGATCTTTTTCATTCCATAAGTTTAAGGAGAATAAAGCCCATAAAGCATCAGAAGAAGTTGCTCTCCTGAAAGAGACTCTTCTGCTCAGTTAAAAAGACAGAAACAGAATCACTGGAGTGAGTAGGACTTTGGAGAACTGCACAGCACCATGTCTTAGTGTCTGGGATTACACAGACTTAGGGAGGAGGCCTCACCTTCCGGGAAGAACTAAACTTTGGTTCTCTTTCTTGTTTTTTCTATTGCAAGACCAAAATTTTAGAAAACCAAGAGAAAGATTTCAGCCAAAGGGTTGTACTGTCTATTACTCTCTTTTATTTTTTAGAACATCCATTGTCAAAGACGATCCAGACTGTTACAAGAGGAATTGTGTTCCTACGCCACCAAAATCCACATGTTGAAGCCCTATGTTGAGAAGGCAGAAGAAGTGGCCATCTACAAGCAAAGGAAAGAGGCCTCAGAAGAGATCAACCCTGCAGCACCTTGACCTTGCACCTGTGGCCTCTGGAACTGTGAGACAACACATATTTATTATTTAAGTCACCCAGCCTTTGGTACTTTGTTATGGCAGCCCTAGCAAATTAAAACAGGAATATTACCTTTTCTACCTTGTCCTATGTATGAACATGAGATTTTTTTAGGAGTATGAATTACCTGAGATTTCAAAAGATAGAGTGAGGCAATTGAAAATAGATGATATAGGGTCATTTCCAAGCCTCTGAGTGTCCCCTGGCCACCACAGAAAAATGAAGATGTTCCCATTCCCTTTCAGTTTCACACAAAGCAAAAGTTGTAGACCTAAACTGACATAGAATCGCCAACTGCATTAATTTATTTGAGATAATGAGGGAGCTAGTTTTGCCCAAATTTCACAGAAAGACGATGAACAAGTAGTAAGCTAAAGAGGCTTCTTTTGCAGGGGATTGCAGGTATTATATGTTTTTCTCCTACTTTTAAGATACATTTTCCTAAAAAGTTTTGTCTAGGAGTAAATGTCATCACTTTGTTTTTTTTCCTCCCAATTGAATCACTTGTTCCTCCCTGCATTTCAGTAATGTTGCTAGCATGGAGGTGTTTGTCCATGATTCACAGATGATTCAAAGAGCAGAGAGCTTCTCCTGAGGTCACACAGCACGTAAGCGGTGGAACAATGGCAGGCACATGACTCTCTAGGCCCCTAGTCCAGTTTTCTGGGTTCTATGAGAATTGTAGCCCTTGGTTTCTGTTACATGTGGTTCTCTTTTGAGCCAGAGAAGGAGGACGCACAGTGAGAAGAAAGTGCCAGAGCCCCAAGTCCTGGCTTAGATTTACTGGGCTGGGGCATGGAGAGAGAGGCTGCCACTGATTCTCTTAACTCCAGCTTCTATTACCAGTCACTAAGCTGAAAGCAGGAAAGTTTATCTTCTGCACTTGGTCCATCAGAACTAAGATGGCAGAAAGCCCCACTATCTACCACGGAAAAGACAAGGGTCCCTCTTACCTTGAACCATGACCCAGCTTTCTAACTACATATGTTTTTCTGCACATGTAGCTATTTTTCTTCTCATCAAGCTCCAGTACTCACAGTGCAAACACAGGAGATACTGAGCCTGATGCTCTGATGGAAGCTCTGAGTTGAGATTTTATTTTATACTTAGGTGCCTCTGAGTCATTAGAGTTTTTTGCCTGACTCCACTCTGGCCCCATTTCAATCAAGGTCTATATGCTCTGGGACCTCTCCAGGTTCTCATCAGAAATGAAAAAAAAAAAAAAAAAAAAGCCATGTCCAGCTCCTGGGTCCTCCCTGATAGCAGTGAGAGGCAGCTCCTAATGGGAGAGAGCCTTGGGGTGACCAAGGCCTCACAGACTTCATTATTCCTGGACCACATGGCTCCAGCCTCCTGATCACAATGGATCAGTGGTCTTAGATTCCGCTCCAATATTTGAAGTTTTTTGTTCTTCGGCCTCGGCAAATGCTCTCTGGTTGAGATGAAGGGAAAAGACACAGAGACGCAAAAGCTGTGACTGCATGGAACTCTGTCCCAGGTACCTCCCGGTGTTCTCTTACTTATGTTGGCCATGTCCTCATGAATTTAGTGAAATGGGCATGTTGTCTCTGAGTGGAAGTGAGGGGACACTACTGGGCAGAGCTCCATCGAAGGGTGGCTGGTGTCCTCTATACCATTTATCTACACATGTTGGGGTTTTTCTAGCATGAAATGTCCCAGAGGCAGCCAAACCCGAAGCTTGGCTCCTCCAAGGAATGAGTGTGAGTATCATAGCCCTGGCCAATGAGCACTGAACTCTAGAGAGACCAAGAGACCTTCTAAATATTGGGACACTTTAGTTCTGAATCCCAGAAGTTGGCTTCTTGCCTGGGAGGCAGGTGTCACTGCATCTGATCCAAAAAAGCAGCCCCATAGCTCAAGATGCTCTTCTGGATTTCTGCCTCTTCCTGGTTCCTGGCCAAGCAAATCTTCACTGCTTTGCTAGCCCATCTATAAATTCAACCAGACTTTTCAAATATGTATTTTCCTCCCATTTTTCCAGTTGTACTCAATGGGAGAAGTGGTCCAAATGACCTAATCAGCAATTGCTGGAAACCAAAGTAACAGTATACAATTCTATGTGTTAATATCATATACCAAGAGAGAAAATGTATAGATATCAGTAGTAGCCATTTAAGCACTGTAATAATATCTATCTATATCCCATGAGTATAATATATATAAATAAATGATAACAAGAAAATAATCTTTATGTGTAATACATGACTATGACTCTGACAGACAAACCTGAGAGCATAGTACGACACTTATCACCTTCACTCATGAGCCAGATAGTGTGAAATGAGAAGCAGAGATTTGAAATGTGTTGCAAAACTCTCTCAAAGAAAGTAGAGTAATATTTTTCGTGAGCAAATCAAAGCAATCTCCTCACAAATCACATTGGACTTATAATGTGTGGGATGTGTCTTTATTAAAATGGAGGTAATCCTAGGTATGTGGTCTTTTTTACATGAACCGTACTGTCACTGGCTCACTAGCTGTCACTTCACCAACAATCATTCCATTTAATAAAAGGGAGATCGCCCCATGGGCCAGCATTTCCCAGGTGGAGGCCTCTTGCAGGCATAATCTTCCAACAGAGAATTTCCCTGGGAACCTAGAAAGAAGAGAAGAGGCTCAAGCAAAAAGGATGAAAGAAATAGCAACAACGGCGGGGCATGGTGGCTCACACCTGTAATCCCAGCACTTTGGGAGGCCGGAGAGGGTGGATCACCTGAGGTCAGGAGTTCAAGACCAGACTGCCCAACATGGGGAAACTCCGTTTCTACTAAAAATACAAAAAATTAGCTGGGTGTAGTAGCGGGCGCCTGTAATCCCAGCTACTCTGGAGGCTGAGGCAGGAGAATCGCTTGAACTCAGGAGGTGGAGGTTGCAGTGAGCCGAGATGGTGCCACTGCACTCCAGCATGGGTAACGAGAGCAAAACTCCATCTAAAAAAAAAAAAAAAAAAAAAAAACCAACAGCGATAATATCATACACTGTCATGGTGCTATGTGTTAATCCGTGTCCTTAGCACTTTCAAAATATGAATTCATTTAATTGTCACGATACATCTATGGGGTGTGCCTGCTAATTTTCCGTTTTCAGGTGATACAATAGGAAAGAAGGTCGCCTACAAGTCGTGGTGGAGCTGGGCTTGCACGCAGACAATCCTGCCCCAGGGCCATGCTCACATCTCTGCACTATCCAGAATGTGAGGGTGGGTGGAGAGTCCAGCTCAGGGAGAGTGATTGGAGAGACAGAATAATAAGAAGAGTGGGCAGACTGGATCACTCTGATGGTTCTGGGGCTTCTCTTCCAGGAGAGAAGACAAAAATTATGTCACCATCAAGGAAAGTATCCAAAATCTCTGGCTTAAACCTGGGCGTCTCCAGCTCTGGGACAGGTGGCTGGGCAGGGAAGACAAACTAAGCCAAGGGCCCAGCTCGGAAGAGTTTCCTTTCCTGAGAATTCTGCAGGAGTTTCCCTGACCTCATGGCCACCTCTCATACTTTGCTCTTGTTTTTTCCCCAGGGCCGATGAGGGCGTCGTATCTGGTTTCCAGTGGGGTCTAAAGACGCCATCACAGTGAGTGGAGATTGGGCTTCATAAAGTGGGAGATCTCCAGGATCCTTCCTGGAATCCAAGATTCCCAGAGAAGCCGGATCCCGCGTCCCGGAACCCAACTCCTGCTGCTCTATGAGCCCTGACCTTGGGGAGACCTGGGCTAGTGAGGAGAGGATCAAGATGAACTGGGCTGGGGAGGCAGGAGGTAAAGGGCGGCCTGGAGAGCTCAGCAGCTCCTCCCACGGCTCTTCTGCCCCGGTCTGGGGTCTGCAGACTCCTCAGGTCATATCTCCAAGTACGCCGCCCCACGCCACCCTCCCGTGGTCCCTGTCCCTCTGTCCCCTCCCCAGCTCCCCCTACACCGTAAGAAGCTCCCAGGTAAGCGGCTCCAGGGCCGGGCGGTAGGCAGGAGGGAGCCCGGGAGGCTGGGTACCCGCGGGGAGGCGGAGAGAGCGCGTCAGGGAGACAGGGAGCGGGCGGGGTCCCTCTCCAGCCCTCAAGGTGCCGGTTCCCGGGGCCCAGGCTCGCACTCCCGGGTACTTGGAGGCCAGGGGAGAGGGAGGACTGTGGCAGGTGAGGCAAGGAGCTGTCTGAGCCGCTCAGCAGCCTCCAGGAGTCAGCTCTCTCCAGGCCTGTCTTCACTCCAGTGCCTGGTCCTGCCCAGGCCCCCACTCCCACTCTGCTCTCAACCTGGCCCCAGACAGGATCCCAAACAACTCCTGTTCCTAATGTGAAAAATGTTTCTGCCGCTTTAGGCAGAACTTGCTTTAGAGCACTGGCGCAGACTTCCGCAGGTCTTGTGTCTGAATTTCTTGGCACTGTGTCTTTTCTCACTTATTCTTCTGCAAGGAAGGAATTATATCACTGGTTGGATGAGACAATTGGCTCAGATGGGTTCATTGAGCACTCACCCACTGGGCAAGTGTCTGTCGGGGCCAGCTCTGGGCCAGATGTGCCCAAGGCTCTATAGCTAGTTGGTGGAAAGGCCTGGAGGGTTCATATTCAAGTCCACCTGACTTGAAAACTCATATTGACCTTACTTAAGTACTGATTCCCCCTTTATAATCCATGCCATAAACTTCATTGTCTTATTTTAAGAAATTGCCACAGCAGCCTTTAGCAACCACCCTCTTGAACAGCCGGTAGTCATCAACATTGAGGCAAGACCCTCCCCCAGCAAAAAGATTAAAATTAGCTGAAGCCTCAGACGACCGTTAGCATTTTTTAGCAATAGAGTAATTTTAAATTAAGGTATGTACATAGTTCTTTCATACATAATGCTATTGTACACTTACTAGGCTACAGTAGAGTGTGAATATAACTTTTATATGTACTGGAAAAACAAAAATTTGTGTGGCTTGTTTGTTACCATGGTCTGAAACCAAATCTGCAGTATCTCTGAGGTATGTCTATAATTTCCCTTTCCCTCTTTTGAACTTGTTCTTGTCCTTGTCTGGTCCTGCAAGCTGTATGAGTTTGCTTTCTCTGGTAGGTCTGGGGACATTGTATCCCTTATAACCTTGGTTCCTGGCATATGACACTGGTACCAAGCTCTGTTGGACTAGTGAGGCTCCCCACACACCTCCTGAACTAGAGCAAAAGCTCTGTGCACACACCGTGCATGTGTGAGCCTGTGAGGAGACGGGGCCTTCCTGCAGGCTGTTCTGAAGGGGTGTTCTGTTGTGACTGGAGGAAATAGCAATGGGCCCCTGGGCAGAAGTGGCTCAGAATGGAATGGATGGCCCCAGTTTTGATCATCTGGGAACAGGAAGATTCTCAGATAAAAACCCATGTTTTAGAAGACAAAACTGCCCAAGAGTGGACAGCAGCTAACCAGTAAGCTATCTGGGATATCACTGTACACTGGGAGGGAAGATGGCCTCTGCCATGGTGTAGGGTGCCTGACCCAGACAAGGAGGCCTTCCTAGGGGTCAGTGCTTCTGAAGCACCTTTAAATGAGGACAAATACCTCATGTTCATGATTAGCCGACTTGTGCCCACTCAGTGGAAAAAGAACCCAGAATTTTGCAAAATTTTCAGAGAGAGGGATTCCCCTCTTGTCTCTTAGTGCTAGGGTTATGCATGACTCGTGCTTGAATTACAGTGTGTACACAGCTGAAAGTCTTAATTATTAGAATATAAGAGGCCCAAACTACTGCTGTTACAGATATGTAAAACTACACAGTATAAGTTTAAACAACCCACAACCAATTAACAGTGAAGATAAATTAACAACCTTTGTAAAATTTAAAACAAGATTGGCAACCCTTTAGAAAAAAAATGAGACTTTTGCAAAACAATCTAAATGATACACTAATAACAAACCTTCATGAAAATGACATTTCAACCATCTGAATTTCTGCTTTAAGTTATAAACTCCAAAATGAACTAACTCCTAATAATTTACAGTAGGGAGCTCTAAGCCACAAATAAAGGTGTCAGGACAGACCTGAGACCTGGAGTGAGCACATCCCTCAGGGTCATGAGTCAATCCTGTAAGACCCTTCCTCCCTCAGACACTCCATCCAGTCATCAGGAGGTCAAGAAAAGTTCCCCACAGCACTAAGACCCAACCACCTCACTGTCCTCACCTCCATGGACAGAGCCCAGGTGAAAGCCACCCCTGCTCCTCCTCCCGCATCTCCCACAGGCTCAGCACCATCGTCGGCCTGGAGTGCACCTGGACTGAGCTCATCATGCTCTGTCCCTGTTTGTGTCAGTCACACTGGGTCCCCCACATACTCTGCACTTGCATCCCCACAAGGCTCTGCACACCTCTATTCTGTCTCCCCGACCTCCCCAGCCACAGAAATCTTCCCAGTGCACCCCCTGGATTTCTCAGTCCACATCAGCAAAACCTCCTCATCCTCTCTCAGGATGTTCCTGCATCTCGCAGCTCCAGCAGCAACCTGGGTCTCCCTGAGGACATGACCCCCTCCGAAGTCCTCCCACATGGGGGAGTTTCCCCAGGGACTTGTACCCCTGGGTTCAGAGGTGAGGTGGGGTCCTTGCTCCTCATTGTGGTTCTCAGAACTTTCTGCCTCCCTCCTCCCTAAAACCCCTAGGCTGTCATCAGATTAGAGCCCCATTTGCCTCACTGTAACCATTCCCTGTGGGCCCCAGGCTGTTCTTCTCAATCCTGAGTCTTGTAGCTCCTGGTTCACTGTCACCCTCTCCAGCATTGCTGTCTCCTTGACTCTTGGTGACTTCAACATACGCAGATGTGGTGGGCTGAGTAATGGTCCCCAAAGATGTCCAGTCTTAATCGTTGGAACCTGTGAACAGGTTGCATTGCGTGGCAAAAGGGATATTACTCATGTAATGAAGATTAAGGACCTTAAAATAGGGAGATTCTGCTGGACTCTCTGTGTGGGCCCAATCAAATCACAAGAGCCATTAAAAGCAGAGAGCCTGCCCTGGTTGGAGTCAGATTCTGCAGAGGAGGAAGGCAGAGGAGAAGCTGGAGAGGGGAGGTCAGAAGTTCCAAGCAGGAGGATTGAATGTGCCTTAGGCACCGTGTGTGAGTATCTGAGAGAAGGCTCTAGGAGCTAAGGGTGGCTCTTAACAAGGAAGTGGAAACCTCTTTTCTATCTGCAAGGAAGTGAATTCAGGCAAGAACCTGAATGAGCTTGGAAGTGGATTCTTCCCCAGAGTCTATGGAAAGGAATGCAGACCTTCCCGTATGTTGATCTTAGCCCCATGAGACTGGGTGGACTTGCAATCCACACGACTGTGCCATGATACATAGGTGCTGTTTAAAGCCATTTGGTTTGTGGTAATTTTTATGGCAGCAATAGACACCCACACAGCAGAGAAGATGCCCTCGCTTCCTGGCCTCTCAGATCCTGGAACTCCTCTCCTCCATGATCTTCTCCTGTCTGCCTGAATCTCATGCCCTTGTTATCCCCTAGGCCTCATCATGGCTAAGAACCCCAGCCCTTCCATACTCTCTATCTCACACTTCCCACTCTCTGACCATCTTTCCACTCATCCCCTTGCAAGGTGGCCACAGGCTCTGAGGACACAGATACTATCATTTTATCATATGCTGTGATGTAATATCAGTGGACCACTCATTGCATATGTGCTTGCTTTCCATGCTTGGAGTCTACCCTGTAGTACATCAATTCCAACAATCGTTCCACCCTCCTGGGATTCCCAATCCAGTGATCCTGCCATCTACTCACTGTCCCTCACCCTGGGTGTCCTGTCCTCCCTCCTCACCCATTTTGAATTCTATGGTAAATAATTTCCATCCCTCCCTTCCCTCTCCCTTGAATTGTCACACTCACCTGGCAAAACTACACAGCTGGTGGGTTCCACCTCTGCCTATGCTGAGCCTGCCCCCATGAGCTGCAGGAGGCTGGAGAGCAGCACACAGTACGCTGACTGGTCTCTTAAAATTTAGGATTCCAAACCACATAGGAAGTCCCTACCATGGCCAGCAATCACCCTCTCCCTGCATGGCTCACCCTCAGCCTCCTCCTGGCCTGGGTGACTCTTACACACCTTTTCTTTGTGCTCACACATCCAACCTGCCTTCCCCATTCTTACTTCAGCTGATAACCTTGCTTCCCACTTCACTGAGAAAACTGAACACATTAGAAGACAACTTCACAGATTCCACCACTGTCTGCTCATGCATTTGCAGCTGCACCACATGTCAGGCGTTTTACCATGTGAGGGACTGTTGTGGGTTAACCCTTCTGCTCCCAGCCAGAGCCAGACCCTCTTCTGGTGCCCCAATTGCCATCCCTTATCATCTACTTAAAGGTGTCAGTTCATCAATTAATACCATTTTTATCTTTATTGTCAACCTTTTTCCTCTCTCCCCACTGGATCATTGTGGCAGTCATGAGAATGCACATCCCAGCCCCTCATCTAGAAGAAGCAGAATTGATGATGGCCCCAGCTCTTGAAGTCTGAAATCTATTGCCACATTTGCTCTGAGACTATGCCCACCCCTGGCTTTTTCCAGCCAATGATTGAGGAAAGTAGGGCAGAAACTAAGGCAGGACATTCCTCTTCTGAAGGCTGACTGAAGCTCCAGGGCTCCCTGCCACCCTTACTGAACTTCCCTTAGCCTGCACAGGGTCTAGGATGCTTCCAGCTGACCTTCCTGCACTCTCTACATCACTGAGGCTCAGCGTTGCTTTGTGGTCCAGTGGCTTTCCCAGCATTTTCTATCTCATGAATTTCTCTCACAAGTATTTCCCCTAATAAATCCTTACATGTTTACTACTGTATTGGGGTCCGCTTCTCAGGGGACCCTAACTAACACAAGTGGCATGAAGGGTCATCCATGAAAACAGGCAAAAATGGGAATTTGAAATAAGCTTCCCACTGCCTGGCAGGCCTAGAGGATGCCACCCGGGTTGGTGGCAGACACAGAAAGTCCATGGCACAAGGTGCAGCTGAGCAGCTGGGGGTCTCACCAGTGCTGAGCTGAGAAGTTGCCTTGGTTAGGGAGTGCTATGGCACATGCAGTGATAGAATGCCCTGCATAATAAGGACAGGGTTGGAAGAAACCTACAAAGACAGTGGCTTTGGCTAGTTACTTCTCAGCTGCATCGATGCTGTGTAAAAAGATAATGAGAATCTGCGGATTGTTGACAGCTATGACTGGCTACATTTGACACCCTCGGCAGTGTCTCATGGACAGGTCTTTATCTCCTGTAGCAAAAGGGCAGATAGCAAGGAATGTTAGCTCTACATCACTATGAGGGCCACAGTGCTCCAGAGATGTTTGACACTCAGCCAAGGCAGGCCTGTTACAGGAAAGTCAGGGCTTTGGTGGGGAAACCTGAGATTCTGCAAACTGGAACAGGATTATGCGATGCATGCCCTCCAGGATCTTCTGGGCATGCAGAGGAGGCTCACCCTTCTCTAGTAATGGTTCCCACTTTCACTGCTGGAAGATGCTACACAATCCTCACCCCTATGATGCCGCGGGAATCCCACTCAGGAGGTTTGCAGGAACTAGCCAGCACGTCCCCATAGGAGCCCAGGGACTACTTCTGGGATTGGAATTTGAGGGTGTTTGATCAAGGAACCAGAATTTCAGGCTGGATGAATATAATCCTTTGGCTTGAAGACACTTTCTCAGGGCATGGATTTATCAAACACTCCAGGACTTTGATAAGTGGAGTAAACCCACTGCTGGGGTGTATCCACATAGTCTAGAAAAAAACATGCCCAACTCTCAACAAGGTAGACATGTCTTAGTTGCCCTGGAACATGTAGAGGATGGAATAACAAGCTGAGGGGAGTGGGCTTGGTGAAGGCCTACCAAAACCATGCTCTACAAGAGGGCCCAGAGGACACACCTTCCACCAGAGCCTCAGGAACTTGATGGTGAGAGGGACCTGCATCACTAAGAAGTGTCAGGGTATTGTCCTTTGTAGGCTGGGGGTGATGGTAGTAAAGATAGTCCCAGAGTTTCATTTCTAATATCACTGGGGAGAGTGTGGCCCTGAAGAGACAAAGACCAAGTGGTGGCAGTGACTTGCAAAAGCCAGAGGGCACGGTTACTATGGCAACCTCTGAGGAGAAGCCAAGAGGACTCAAGCTGCAGGGAATGTGGGGAAGTATAATAGAGGGTGGTGTCCCAGGGTTAGGACAGGCAGCTGGTTGATATCTATGATAAGAAAGCAAGAATTGAGAAGCAGGAGGGTGAAGGTGTTTGACTCAATACAAAATCATGATCCCATCCTCAATGCCTAGACCTCAGCCAAGATGCAGATTCAGATCTCAGTGACAGAGGAAGAGTCCATATCTCTAGGCGGAATACTCTGCAACCCCGTGGAAGTGTATGCTGGGACAATTCCCTCAGTCCTTCGGCAAAGGACCATATAGCCATTTACTCAGGAGATTGTACACTGGGGAAAGGAAACAGGCAGAACTGGGGAGATTATTGACACTGGGTGTGAACTGACATTGATGCTCAGATGCCCACAGCACTATCATGTCTCTCATCACAGTGGGGCTTATGGAGCTCAGGGAGTAAACCTGGACACATTATGGCCCACAATGGAACTACTGGATCCATAGACCCAGCCCTGGTTATCTTCCTATACCCTGAGTGCATAATTGACACTGATGCACTGCTAAGTGGAGTTACCCCCACCCTGGGTCCCTAGTCTGTGGAGTAAGGACTTTCATTGTGCTGAAAGCCAAAGGGAAACCTCTGACACTGCCCCCATCCTGGCCAAATCAAAAATCATAGTGTGTCCCAGGGTGGGTCTTGTGTAAGATACTTCAAGTATTGTGGGGATCACATCACCATTACAGAGCTGAAGGATGTGGGATGGTGTTGGGGCTGTCTATTGTCTCTACGTAATCCAGCAACCTGTCCCTGAAGAAGCCTGATGAAGCCTAAAGAATGAACTAGATTACTCCAGGTCTGGCCAAGTAGGAGTTATAATTGCAGCTTTTGTGCTGTCTGGATATCACTGGTAGAGCAGATTAATAAACCCTTGGACACAGAGCATGCAGCTGTGGATTTGGTGACTGCATTTCTTTCCACTCCAATTAGAAAGTGGATATGGAGTGATTCACATTCATGTGGGATCCTCAAAACATTGATTTATCATTTGTCTCAGGGCTATTGTAACTCCCCTGACCTCTATAGTATAGTCTTAAGACTATACTAAACATACTGGATATCCAATAGGATATTAAATCAGCTCATATCATTGACAACTTCCTGTTGATCTGGCTGGATGAGCAGCAGGTAGAAAGTGCACTGTAGTGCTTGGCAAAACACGGGCACTCCAGAAGGTGAAGATAAACCTTACAAAGCTTCCAGAGTGGCCACTCGGCCAGGTGCAGTGGCTCACGCCTGTAATCCCAGCACTTTGGAAGGCTGAGGTGGGTGGATCACCTGAGGTTGGGAGTTGGAGACTAGCCTGACCAACACGGAGAAACCCCGTCTCTACTAAAAATACAAAATTATCCAGGCATGGTGGCCCATGCTGGTAATCCCAGCTACTTGGGAGGCTGAGGCAGGAGAATCACTTGAACCCAGGAGGCAGAGATTGCAGTGAGCCAAGATCGTGCCATTGCACTCCAGAGTGGGCAACAAGAGCAAAATTCCATCTCAAAAAGAAAAAGATAGTGGGCATTGAAGTAAAGTTTTATGGGTGAACAATGGCCAAGTGTTTAGGGGAATGCAGGTGTGTCCCCTCCAAGGTAACAGACAAACTGTTTCATCTTGCATCCTCACCAGAAAGAAGGAAGCACACTGCCTGATGAGCCTCTTCCAGTTCTGACAACACCACTTTCCACATCTAGGTATGTTGCTTTGGCCCACACTCTAGGTGACATAGGAGGAGGCCAGCTTCAAGTAGGGCCCACACAGAAAAGGACCCTGCAGCAGATCCAGGCCATGGTGCGAGCAGCCACCATCTCTCAGACCCCCTGGTGCTGGTGATGCCATTGGTAGGGAAAGATGCAGGATGGAGCTGAACCAAGCACCAGTGGGAAAGTCACAGTGAAAGGCCTGGGATTCTGGAGTAAGGTCATGTCATTCACAGCAGAGACATATGCCACCTATTAGAAGCAACTTTTAGTGTCCCTTGTCCTGATTAGACAGAATGCTTGACCACAGGACACCAAGCAACTATGTGGTTCCGAGTGCCTGTGTGACCCACAGAGTCATAGATTAGACAGGCCCAACAGCATCCATCATGAGGTGAAAATGGTCCACCTGGGTTGAGCTTGAATCCCATGTTTACACCCAGAGAAAATACCCAAGTCTGAAGTGGCACTGAACAACCAAACAGACAAATGGAAGTTAGCCAGCCTTCACCATGGGTCAGCCCTGGTTTGGTAGGATGAGTTCATGAATGGAGCAACCACAGTGGCAGGCATGAGGCTACGTATGGGGCCAACAGCACTGACTCCCCCCTACCAAGGCAGATCCAGCTGCCGACACCTCTGAATGTCCAACTCATTAGCAATTGAGGCCCATGATGTGCCCCAGTGGGGCACTATTTCTTTAGGTGACTAACTAGCCACTAAGTAACAAGTTGACTACATTTAGCTACTTCCATCCTGGAAGGGCCAGAGGTTCATCTTCACAGGGATAGGCTCCTATTCCATGGGTGTTTTCATGTCCTGCTCTCAGAAACTCAGCCAGCACCTCTCCGGGTGCTGTTGACATTCCTGATCTGCAGGCTAGGCGGTGCTCCTAGCCCATTATCTGCCTGAAGGACCCACTTGGCTGGGAAAGTTTCAGTGTTTCCATGGCTGTGGGTTCCACTAATCCTATCACCATCTGCACCATCCAGAGGCTGCCAGCCACAAGGAATGCTGGACAGGTCTTCTACAGGCAAAACTCAGTGCCAGCCTGGAGGAAGCACTCTGAGAGGTGGGTGCCATCTTTTAGGACACGGTGCATTGTTTGAATCAGAGATGTCTCTAGAGTGCTGTGTTCTCAATAGGAAGAACATGTGTGTCCAGGGATCAAAAGATGGAAGCAGGTTTGGCTCCACGTCCAATCCCTTAGATTCACTCAATGGGGTATTTTGCACGTTTTATCTTCCAACACTGGGCTGTGCAGGGTACGAGGTCCTGGTTTCCAAGGAGGGTACCCTTAAAAGGAGACAAAAGACAGCCCACTGAACTACACATTATGGCTGTCACGAGAGAAGTTTTGATAGTTTGTGCCCAGAGACCACCTGGTGAAAAGAGGATTCTCCTCCTCTCCAGGCCCAGGTAATAGATCCTCATCTTCAGGAGAAGGCATGGCTACTTTCACACAATGAGGGCGGAAGTGTGTGTGGAAACCAGAGATCCACCTGGGGGCCTTCTGGTTTCCCTTACCTCATTGTAAGTGTGAGCAGAATCATCCAGCAATTCAGCCTGAGACAGCTTGATTTCCAAGGACCCAGACCCGTCAGGGCAGAAGGTTTGAGTAATGCTCGGTAATCTCCCAAGGCCCTGCACCTGTGCTCTGACATCCTCAGTAGCATTGGTGCTGAGGTCCTGCTTCCAATGGGCTGTTCCCAACCAGTGACAGATCACACCAGTGACACGAAAGCAGGACATTCCTGGGAGACCAGGGACTCCTCTGATGGCCAACTGTAGCTCAAGGACTCCTCCATGGCCTTGCTTAACTCTCCTTAGATTGCCTGTGGTCTATGGCACATCCAGTAAACCTTGTCTCCTTCTGTCCATCACTGGGGATCACCTTTGCATCTTGTTGCCTTTCCCAGGGTAACCTACCTCCCTTGCCATATCACCTGACAGGTGTGTCCCCTAATAAAATGCTATAACTTTAGTCCCATGATGGAACTTGCTTTTTGGAGCATTTGGACTATAAAATCATTTTCATCTGCCCACTAGTGATCTCTTACTTATTCCAAGGTGTAAAATCTTTTTGTTTATTCAACTTCTACCTGCATTGGCTCCATTTTGCTGGTATTTGTATTATGCTTTTGAGTTCCTCAATGTTTATTGTTTAATCACTAAATTTGGGGGTAGTTTGTTACACAGCAATGGATAACTAATGAAGCCCTCTTACATTTCCATTATTCTATAGAAGTTAACTACATCTCTTTTATTTTCTCCTATTTTGATAATATTAGCCACACATAGGGTTTCTAGTTTCTCAACACCTATTCTTTTCTTTATTTTAGTTTCTTTTCTCCTTTATTCCTTCCCTTTTTTTTTTTTTTTTTTTGAGATGGAGTCTCACTCTCTTGCCCAGGCTAAAGTGCAGTGGCTCAATCTCAGCTCACTGCAAGCTCTGCCTCCTGGGTTCATGCCATTCTCCTGATTCAGCTTCCCAAGTAGCTGGGACTACAGGCACCTGCCACCACGCCCAGCTAATTTTTTTGTATTTTTAGTAGAGACGGGGTTTCACCATGTTAGCCAGGAAGGTCTCTATCTCCTGACCTCATGATCTGCCTGCCTCAGCCTCCCAAAGTGCTGGGATTGCAGGCATGAGCCACCACACCTGGCCTCTTCCTTCCCTTTCTCCTTCCTTCTAACCCTCCCTCCCTCTCTTTCTTCTCTATTTCCATTCAACCTATCACCTTCCCTCCTTCTTGCTCCCTTTCCTTCCCCTTCCCCTTCCTTCTTTTCTTCTTTCACTTTTTCCTCCATTCCTCCTTCTTTCCCTCCCTTCCTCCATTTTTTCCTTTTTATTATAAAATTTTCCTAAAATATAAAATAACCCTATGTGATTGGGCTGTAAGTAAGCATTTTCTGAATCTATATGTCAAAAGCATAATGTCTTTTATATGAGAAACAAGTAAACAACAGGAAGTTATTAACAGAATAAAAATGCTTGCTATAATTCTACCACCAAGACGGTGACTTTTAACACAATTCCTTCAACTCAGTGTTTTCAGAACACATCATCAACATCAAGTATTACACATTTATTGTAAAAGTTTAAGTAGCCACAATTACTTTGGAAATCATATTATCATTATCTAGTATGGTTAAAGTCCATACAATGTATCATGCAACCAACCCATTCCTAATCATCCACTCTGGGGGCTTTGGGGCTTTCTTGCCTATGTGCACAGGAGACATGCACACTAATATTTATGGCAAAAACTGGAATCGGCCACATGTACATCAATAGGAAACTGGTGAAATTGTGGTAAAACGATATGTAAGCCTTCAGCCGTAAAAATGAATGAATGACAGCCTCCCACACCACAGATAACTCCTACACATAATGTGTATCATGGGAAAATACATGCAGTAGGAATTTGCTGTACAGGAAGCTTAAAAACCAGCAAAACTAACTGAGGTTTGTTTTGGGGAGATATAGATATACTTATTGCACAAATCTTTGAAGGAATACAAAGGAATACGTATCAGAAGACTCAGGATGGAGTCTCCTGCCGAGACCAGCTCGGTCAGGAAGACCCTAACCCAGTGGTGCTAGAGGACTTAAAGACACACACACAGAAATATAGAGGTGTGAAGTGGGAAATCGGGGGTCTCACAGTCTTCAGAGCTGAGAGCCCCAAACAGATATTTACCCACATATTTATTAACAGCAAACCGGTCATTAGTGTTGTTTCTATAGGTATTAAATTAACTAAAAGTATCCCTTATAGGAAGCAAAGGGATGGGCCGAATTAAAGGAATAGGTTGGGCTAGTTAACTGCAGCAGGAACACACCCTTAAGACACAGATCGCTCATGCTATTGTTTGTGGCTTAAGAATGCCTTTAAGCGGTTTTCCGCCCTGGGCAGGCCAGGTGTTCCTTTCCCTCATTCTTGTAAACCCGCAACCTTCCAGCTTGGACATTAGGGCCATTATGAACATGTTACGGTGCTGCAGAGATTTTGTTTATGGCCAGTCTTGGGGCCAGTTTATGGCCAGATTTTGGGGGACTTGCTCCCAACGGTCTCCTTCTATGGGGTGACTGGGTAGCAGCCCAGGGTAGCTTTACAGGTTTGTGTTTTACACCAGTGCTGGGCACCCTGGTAGATACTTGATTATAATTCCTTAAACAGAGTTTTCCAAATTAAAATATACCTGTTTTTTATAGAAATGAAAAAGAAAAGAATTTCAAAGTTCATTGCAAAGATTCTTAACAAGAACTACTTACATTGGAAGAAAACCACAGAGAATTGTAAGGAGCCATGTGACAGAGAGGACCAGGATGCCATGAAAATGGCATTGGCTACAAATAGGTCATTTGATCCTTGGCTCCCTGGCATCTCTCTAGATTTTCAATGATACAATGTTCAATCTGCTGTGCAAGATAATTTCATCTTCCAAAGATTTGATGTTACATTTTACCACACATTAAACTGAAATAAACTTTTACAGATTGGAAATGCACATCATTGATCAAAATAAATGAAACATGAAAAGAGTAGGGAGGAATACCCAGTGATGGAATAGCAAATATGAATGGAAAACAGAATAGGACTGCTAAAAAGAAAAAAAAATTCAGAAGCATGTAATAGCAGCACTATTTAGAATCATAGTGGTGTCCAAATCACTTCTATCACATCTCATTCAATACCACAACAAAAGATGTTAAGTTTATTATAGAATGCCCGTCAAATAGCCAGTTTTTGAAAAAAACTTGTTTCTCAATTAGAACTAACCATTTCGGGCTACAGCATCAAGCCAAAATTATTGGCATCATGCTAATAATTTTTACTAAAGTAAAATAAAGTTTACTGAAGTATGAGATTCACATTTTTGTAAATGAAAAGCAATTTGATAGGCATTTTTTTCTGCACAGCAAAAGAAACTATCATCAATCACAGTGAACAGACATCCTACAGAATGGGAGAAAAATTTTGCAGTCTATCCATCTGACAAAAGTCTAGTATTCAGAATCCACAAAGAACTTAAGCAAATTTACATGAAAAAAAAACTTCATTAAAAAGTAGACAAAGAACTTGAACAGACACTTCTAAAGAAGACATACATGTGGCCAACAAAAATATGAAAAAAAGCTCAACATCGCTGATCATTAGAGAAATGCAAATCAAAACCACAAATGAGATACCATCTCATGTCAGTCAGAATGGCAATTATTAAAAAGTCAAGAAACAACAGATGCTGGCGAGGTTGCAGAGAAATAGGAATGCTTTTACACTGTTGGTGGAAAAGTCAATCGGTTAATCCATTGTGGAAGACAGTGACAGTGTGGTGATTCCTCAGAGATTTAGAATCAGAAATACCATTTGATCCAGCAATCGCATTACAGGGTATATACCCAAAGGAATACAAATCATTCTATTATAAAGATACATGCATGTTTACATTCATGGCAGCACTATTCACAATAGCAAACACATGGAATCAACCCAAATGCCCATCAATGATGAACTGGATAAAGAAAATGTGGTACATATACACCATGGAATATTATGCAGCCATAAAAAGGAAGGAGATCAAGTCCTTTGCAGGGATATGGATGAAGCTGGAAGCCATTATCCTCAGCAAACTCACACAGGAACGGAAAACCAAACACCACATGTTCTCATTTATAATTGGGAACTGAGTAATGAGAACACATGGACACAGGGAGAGGAACAACACACACTGGGGCCTATTGGGGCAGGGTGGTGGTGGGAGGATCATTAGCAAAAATAGCTAATGCATGCCAGGGTTAATACCTAGGTGATGAGTTGACAGGTGCAGCAAACCAACATGGCACATGTTTACCTATGTAACAAACCTGCACATCCTGCACGTGTACCCTGGAACTTAAAAAAAATTAAATTAAAAGACAAGCTTAAAGAAAAAGACAAGCTGAAAGAGTTAATGAAAAATAATTAGATAAAAGAAGTCTTTGATTTTCAAAAACCTGAAACAATAGTTATAATTTTGCTTTTAACATATATTCAAAACATTTGATACTGTTCCCTTCCAGAGGTGCATCTTAATTCCCTCTCCTGAGTGTGGCTTGGACTTAATGAGGCACTTCTGATATGGCCTGGTTCTGTGTTCCCACCCAAATCTCATCTTGAATTGTTATGCGAATTGTAATCGCTACCTATTGGGGGAGGGACCACATGGGAGGTGATTGGATAATGGGGGTGGTGCCCCCATGCTGTTCTCGTGATACTGAGGGAATTCTCATGAGATCTGATGGTTTTATAAGGGGCTTTTCCCTGCTTCATTCTGCACTTCTCTCTCCTGTCATCATGTGAAGAAGGATGTGTTTGCTTCCACTTCTGCCATGACTGTAAGTTTCCTGGGGCAGGCTCCTCAGCCATGCAGAACTGTGAGTCAATTAAACCTCTTTCCTTTATAAATTACCCAGTCTCAGGTACTTCTTCATAGCAGTGTGAGAATGGACTAATATAACTTCTAACTTATAGAATAATGCTGACATAATGGTTTGTAACTCTGGGTGTAGAACCTAAAACTCACTGCGGCTTCCACCTTCTCTCTCTCTGTCTCTGGGATCATGAGCTCTGGGGGAAGCCAGCTGCTGTGCCACAAGCAGCCCTGCAGGAAGGTCCATGTGGCTGAGAACTGAGGCCTTCCGGGACCAGACAACAAAGAACTAGGCCTTTTCCAACAGCCATGTGACTGATCCATGTTTCATGTGAATCCTCAGCCCCAGTGAAGCCCTCAGATGATGCAGCCCTTGGCTGACAATTGGACTGCAACCTTGTGAGAGGCCCCGAGCAAGAAGCACTCAGGGAAACCTCTCCTGGACTCCTGACCATTGGAAACTGTGGCAGATGAGGAATATTTGTTGTTTTAAGCTAAGTTTTACATAATTTGTTATGCAATAGTAAATAAATAACACATTTTCACAAGAGAGGATGTATTATTACACATTAAATTGCATTTGCTTTAAATGTATCATCGTCATCATTATTATTTTTGAGACACAGTCTCGCTCTGTCACCCAGGCTGGAGTGCAGTGGCATGATCACCATGCACTGCAGTGTCGACCTCCTGGGTTCAAGGGACCCACTGATCTCAGCCTCCTGAGTAGCTGGGACTACCATCATGAACTACTATGCCTGGCTAATTTTCTAATTTTTTGTATAGATGGGGGTTTTGCCCAGGCTGATCTTGAACTTCTGGAGTCAACAAATCTGCCTTCCTCTGCCTTCCACAGTGCTAGGATGGCAGGCGTGAGCCACCATACCTGGCGTAAATTAATTATAAGATATTAAACATGTAACTTAGTTTTAAAAGGTAAGGAGAATTTCCATGGCTGAAGAGGATGTATTTTATGACCATTCACAATGATCACTTTACTTGAACTTCAATTTCCAACTGTGTCCGAAGTAAACACAAAAGGAAGATCCAACCCTTGCTAGGCTGATTCTATTATGCCCTCAACAACCAGCTCCTGGTCATTCACCATCCTCCAGTTATTCAATCAACTCTAATGTAGGTGCTGCTGTGAAGGGAGTTAGTGGATATAATTAAGGGTCTCAATTAGTTGACTTTAGGCTGGGTTTATCCTGCTTGGACTGTCCTAATCAGGTGAGACCTTGAAAGGACTGGGTTCTTCCTGAGCATAGAGACTCACAGTGTGAGAGGGACTCAGCATGAGGGGTTTCCTCCAGCATGGGCTTTGAAAATGAAAGGGCTGTGGGCCAGGTGCGGTGCCTCACGCCTGTAATCCCAGCACTTTGGGAGGCTGAGGCGGGCGGATCATGAGGTCAGGAGATTGAGACCATCCTGGCTAACATGGTGAAACCCTGTCTCTACTAAGAATACAAAAAAAAAAAAAAAAAAATTAGCCAAGCGTAGTGGCGGGTGCCTGTAGTCCCAGCTGCTTGGGAGGCTGAGACAGGAGAATGGCGTGAACCTGGGAGCCATAGCTGGCAGTGAGCCGAGATCCGGCCACTGCACCCAAGCCTGGGCTACAGAGCAAGACTCCATCTCCAAAAAATAAATAAATAAAATAAAAAATGAAGGGGCTGTGTAGGAAAGAATGCTGGTGAGGACCAGGAATCGAGCACAGCCCTCCCTGTTCTCTACATTGACAGCCAGCAAGGAACAGGGACCTCAGTCTTACAACTGCCAGAAACTGCATTCTGCCACCTCTGTATAAGCCTGAAGGAGGATTCAAAATGAAAACACAGCTTTTGGAAGCCCAGAAGAGAGATTCCATCCACAATTTTGCCCAGATTTCTGATCAAGGAACTATAAGCAGATAAATGGGTGTTGTTTCGCCAGGCATGGTAGTGCACGAATGAATTGATGAATTGATATGCACACTAGTTACATAAAATAAAAATTTTCTGAACTTTTTCCGTGTTTTGCACTTTGTAATTATCTGTAATGCAATTTAATACACTCATATTTCATTCATTCAGTCGACAAAAATTAATTTAGTCCCTACGATAAACCAGATATCCCCTCATATGCTCACGTGCCTGACACTCCAGAAGTTTCTCAAGACCGAGGTGGAGACACTGGAGTGTTTTAAGTGGAGAGATGACACACTCCGACTCCCAGGAGCAGGACCACTGTGAAAAGAACAGTCACGTAACAGGTCATGGGACAGTGCTAGTGTCACAACTCACAAGTGACAGTGTGGTGGGGACTAAGGGGACAGGAGGGCCTGAAGGATGAAAAGGACGGAGAGAAGGGCTGGAGAAGCAGGAGGTGAAGAAAAGGAGCAGAGGAAAGAATTCGAAAGCAGCAGAATTCTTAGGTTTAAATACATTGTTTTATGGATTTTAATACATCCATCTACAGAGCCTAGCAGGGTGTCCTTGGCAGTTGGTCTTTAATACCTCATGTGGGTCTGCCTAAAAACTAATTTTTTAATGTTAATCAGGTTTAAAAATTACTAAGTGTTCCTATAAAATATACACAACACTTAGCAGCGGATACTTCCTAAAAACAGGCAGTGCATGAGCACTAGTGAGGGGCATTGTGACTACACTGAACAGTTGCAACTTTGAGGTGAATAAAGCCTGTACTGACTCCTGGTTGCAACGTACCTGGTTGCAAAGTACACAGTGTGCTACTTTGTATTGAGGAGATATCCTGGACTCACACAGAAACTCAGAGCTATGGAATGATGGCAAATTTAAAATATGACAAGCGGGAGTCACAGGTACACTGCAAAAGTGAAACTTAGAAGCTTTGTGAGTCCTGTTGTAACGCTTTTGGGCACATTTATACATCATGGGGCCAAAGTCACATTTTTTACCTATTAGATTCCTGATCATTCAGGGGTTACCAAGGTTCTGCTATCCAATGTATTTAATAAACAAATAAATAAATAAACTGGTCTCTATTCTGTCTCATGCACTCAGACACAACTTTTCCCAATAAAAAAAAAAAAAAAAAGGAAAACAAAAAACAGTTTCTACACCTCCATTCCCAAAGCAAGCTCACTCTCTGTCACCAAACTCCGTGGGTGACTTTTCTTCTAGAAGAGTCCAGGTGGACAGGGAGTCCAGTTCAGGGACGGAGATTCCTGGATGAAAAGTGAAGGGAGAGGGACAGGGCCCATGCCGAGGGTTTCTTCCTGGTTTCTCAGACAGCTCCTGGGCCAAGACTCAGGGAAACACTGAGACAGAGCGCTTGGCACAGGAGGAGCGGGGTCAGGGCGAAGTCCCAGGGCCCCAGGCGTGGCTCTCAGGGTCTCAGGCCCCGAAGGCGGTGTATGGATTGGGGAGGCCCCGCCTTGGGGATTCGCCACCTCCGCAGTTTCTCTTCTTCTCACAACCTGCGACGGGTCCTTTTTCCTGGATACTCACGAAGCGGGCACAGTTCTCATTCCCACTAGGTGTCGGGTTTCTAGAGAAGCCAATCGGTGCCGCCGCGGTCCCGGTTCTAAAGTCCCCACGCACCCACCGGGACTCAGATTCTCCCCAGACGCCGAGGATGGTGCTCATGGCGCCCCGAACCCTCCTCCTGCTGCTCTCAGGGGCCCTGACCCAGACCTGGGCGCGTGAGTGCAGGGTCTGCAGGGAAATGGTCGGGAGGAGCGAGGGGCCCGCCCGGCGGGGGCGCAGGACCCAGGGAGCCGCGCAGGGAGGAGGGTCGGGCGGGTCTCAGCTCCTCCTCGCTCCCAGGCTCCCACTCCATGAGGTATTTCTACACCACCATGTCCCGGCCCGGCCGCGGGGAGCCCCGCTTCATCTCCGTCGGCTACGTGGACTATACGCAGTTCGTGCGGTTCGACAGCGACGACGCGAGTCCGAGAGAGGAGCCGCGGGCGCCGTGGATGGAGCGGGAGGGGCCGGAGTATTGGGACCGGAACACACAGATCTGCAAGGCCCAAGCACGGACTGAACGAGAGAACCTGCGGATCGCGCTCCGCTACTACAACCAGAGCGAGGGCGGTGAGTGACCCCGGCCCGGGACGCAGGTCACGACCCCTCCCCATCCCCCACGGAGGGCCGGGTCGCCTCGAGTCTCTGGGTCCGAGATCCTCCCCGAAACCGCGGGACCCCGAGACCCTTGACCTGGGAGAGGCCCAGGCGCCTTTACCCGGTTTCATTTTCAGTTTAGGCCAAAATCCCCGCGGGTTGGTCGGGGCAGGGCGGGGCTCGGGGGACCGGGCTGACCGCGGGGGCGGGGCCAGGTTCCCACACCATGCAGGTGATGTATGGCTGCGACGTGGGGCCCGACGGGCGCTTCCTCCGCGGGTATGAACAGCACGCCTACGACGGCAAGGATTACATCGCTCTGAACGAGGACCTGCGCTCCTGGACCGCGGCGGACATGGCAGCTCAGATCACCAAGCGCAAGTGGGAGGCGGCCCGTGTGGCGGAGCAGCTGAGAGCCTACCTGGAGGGCGAGTTCGTGGAGTGGCTCCGCAGATACCTGGAGAACGGGAAGGAGACGCTGCAGCGCGCGGGTACCAGGGGCCACAGGGCGCCTCCCGGATCGCCTGTAGATCTCCGGGGCTGGCCTCCCACAAGAAAGGGAGACAAATGGGACCAACACTATAATATCGCCCTCCCTCTGGTCCTGAGGGAGAAGAATCCTCCTGGGTTTCCAGAGAGTGACTCTGAGGGTCCGCCGTGCTCTCTGACACAATTAAGGGATGAAATCTCTGAGGAAATGAAGGGAAGACAATCCCTGGAATACTGATGAGTGGTTCTCTTTGACACTGGCAGCAGCCTTGGGCCCCGTGACTTTTCCTCTCAGGCCTTGTTCTCTGCTTCACACTCAATGTGTGTGGGGGTCTGAGTCCAGCTCTTCTGAGTCCCTCAGCCTCCACTCAGGTCAGGACCAGAAGTCGCTGTTCCCTCCTCAGGGACTAGAGTTTTCCACGGAATAGGAGATTATCCCAGGTGCCTGTGTCCAGGCTGTTGTCTGGGTTCTGTGCTCCCTTCCCCACCCCAGGCGTCCTGTCCATTCTCAAGATGGCCACATGCGTGCTGGTGGAGTGTCCCATGACAGATGCAAAATGCCTGAATTTTCTGACTCTTCCCGTCAGACCCCCCCAAGACACATATGACCCACTACCCCATCTCTGACCATGAGGCCACCCTGAGGTGCTGGGCCCTGGGCTTCTACCCTGCGGAGATCACACTGACCTGGCAGCGGGATGGGGAGGACCAGACCCACACACGGAGCTCGTGGAGACCAGGCCTGCAGGGGATGGAACCTTCCAGAAGTGGGCGGCTGTGGTGGTGCCTTCTGGAGAGGAGCAGAGATACACCTGCCATGTGCAGCATGAGGGTCTGCCCGAGCCCCTCACCCTGAGATGGGGTAAGGAGGGAGATGGGGGTGTCATGTCCCTTAGGGAAAGCCGGAGCCTCTCTGGAGAGCTTTAGCAGGGTCAGGGTCCCTCACCTTCCCCCCTTTTCCCAGAGCCATCTTCCCAGCCCACCATCCCCATCGTGGGCATCATTGCTGGCCTGGTTCTACTTGTAGCTGTGGTCACTGGAGCTGTGGTCACTGCTGTAATGTGGAGGAAGAAGAGCTCAGGTAAGGAAGGGGTGAGGAGTGTGGTCTGAGATTTCTTGTCTCACTGAGAGTTCCAAGCCCCAGGTAGAAGGGCCCTGCCTGGTTACTGGGAAGCACCATCCACACTCATGGGCCTACCCAGCCTGGGCCCTGTGTGCCAGCACTTACTCTTTTGTAAAGCACCTGTTACAACGAGGGACAGATTTATCACCTTGATGACTGTGGTGATGGGACCTGATCCCAGCAGTCACAAGTCACAGGGGAAGGTCCCCGAGGACAGACCTCAGAAGGGCGGTTGGTCCAGGACCCACATCTGCTTTCCTCATGTTTCCTGATCCCGCCCTGGGTCTGCAGTTGCACATTTCTGGAAACTTCTCTGGGGTCCAAGACTTGGAGGTTCCTCTAGGACCTTATGGCCCTGGCTTCTTTCTGGCATCTCACAGGACATTTTCTTCCCACAGATAGAAAAGGAGGGAGCTACTCTCAGGCTGCAAGTAAGTATGAAGGAGGCTGATCCCTGAAATCCTTTGGATATTGTGTTTGGGAGCCCATGGGGGAGCTCACCCACCCCACAATTCTTCCTCTAGCCACATCTACTGTGGGATCTGACCAGGTCCTGTTTTTATTCTACTCCAGGCGGCAACAGTGCCCAGGGCTCTGATGTGTCTCTCACGGCGTGAAAGGTGAGACCTTGGGGGGCCTGATGTGTGGGGGGTGTTGGGGGGGAACAGTGGACACAGCTGTGCTATGGGGTTCTTTGAATTTGATGTTTTGAGCATGCGATGGGCTGCCAAAGTGTCATCCATTACTGGGACAGATATGAATTTGTTCATGAATATTTTTTCTATAGTGTGAGACAGCTGCCTTGTGTGGGACTGAGAGGCAAGATTTGTTCACACCTTCCCTTTGTGACTTGAAGAACCCTGACTTTCTGCAAAGGCACCTGAATGTGTCTGTGTTCCTGTAGGCATAATGTGTGGAGGAGGGGAGACCAACCCACCCTCATGTCCACCATGACCCTCTTCCCCACGCTGATCTGTGTTCCCTCCCCAATCATCTTTCCTGTTCCAGAGAGGCGGGGCTGAGATGTCTCCATCTTTTTCTCAACTTTATGTGCACTGAGCTGTAACTTCTTACTTCCCTCTTAAAATTAGAATCTGAGTAAACATTTACTTTTTCAAATTCTTGCCATGAGAGGTTGATGACTTAATTAAAGGAGAAGATTCCTAAAATTTGAGAGACAAAATAAATGGAACACATGAGAACCTTCCAGAGTCCATGTGTTTCTTGTGCTGATTTGTTGCAGGGGAGGAGAATAGATGGGGCTGTGCCTAGTGGGTGCTCAGGCCAGTATGGACTTTATGTGGTCACTGCTCAGCTGGGTCATCTTTGCTCCTTCATTCTCCTTGGCCCTTCAGTAGAACCTTGTCCCACCACCACCTGTGATCACAGGGACTTGGATGTCACCTACGGTGGTCCCTGCATACAAATCTCATTGTGGTATCAAGAGACTAATTTTCAGACCTGTCCAGCTCTTGCCCTCCTCCCAGGACTCTTTCCTGGATTGTAGTTTTCATCTTGTCTCCAATCTTTTTAAAGGAAGCAGATTCTGAAATTTGCAGAGAGGAGGGGTCCCATAGTTTCTCATCATAGTGAACTTTCTGTTGGAGCTCCTCTTCTGCTCTCCTACTCTTCTTCCTGCCCTGAGTTGTAGTAATCCTAGTGCTGGCTCCAATCCAAACTCATGGATTTACAAAGCAGAGTCTAATTTAGATTCATACGTGGTTGGAAAATTGTACCCATAAGCCTAGGGTTATCTTTCCTGAAGAGAAAAATATGGTTGTGTGCTGCAGTGTGCAGGAGGGTTGGTGTGGGGGGAGGGAGGGAGGGAGGGAGGACACACAAGCAGTCCTGGTGAGAAAAGCACTGGCGGTATCGATGTCCACATGAGATGATGTTGTTCTTTAGCTGCCACAAAACAGCATTTGCCCTGAGGCTACCTTAACAAAGATATTGGCTTTAGAATAGAGAAGTGCTCTACAGTGATCATTCATTCAACTGACATTTGTTGTCTGCTAGGGATATGACTGCTTTTGCGTTTAGAAAGCATCATTAAGGTGAAAACAGAAAAATTTCTGGTGTTGTGGTACATATGTTCTAGATGCTAGCTTGTCTAACCCGTAGCTCGCAGGCTGAATGTGGCCCAGGACAGTTTTGAATGTGAGGAGTTTTTGCTTTTCTGTGGCGGACCTGAGACCTGGAGTGAGTGCACCCACCTCCCTCAGGATCAGGAGTGAATGCTTTAGGAACCCTCCTTTGCAGTGACCTGCAAAAGATAGAGGGCACGGTTACTGTGAGAACCCAGAGTAGCAGCCAAAGGGGCTCAACCTTCATGGAGTTTTGGGAAAGGTTAGTAAAAGGTGGTGTCCCAGCGTCAGAACAGATGGGCAGCCAGCGAGGGCACTGCTTCATATCTATGATGGGAATGCAAGAATTGAGGAGCAGGAGACTGAGGGCGTTTGATCAAATACAAAGTCATGATCCCAGTCTCAATTCCTAGACTTCAGCCAAGCTTCAGATTCAGAATCTACAGTGGGGCTTAAGGAGGCCAGGAAATAAACCTGGACACATTATGGCCCACTGTGGGACCACTGGGTTCATAAACCCAGTCCTGGTTATCTCCCCATTCTCCACATGCATAATTGGCCTTGATGCACTGGCAAAGGGAGTCACCCCCATACTACATCCCTAGTCTGGAGAGTAAGGGCTTTCATTGTGCTGAAGCCCAAAGGGAATCATCTAAAACTTCCCTCATCCCAGCCAAGCCAGAAGCAATATTGCGCCCCAGGTGGGACTTCAGGAGGGTACTGCAGGTATTGTAGGGGTGGCACTGCCATTAGAGAGCTGAAGGATGGGGGGTGGTGTTGGGATTGCCTATTATCTCCATATAATTCAGCAGTCTGTCCCTGAAGAAGCCTGATAAAGAATGAATGGAATTACTCCAGACTTGACCAAGTAGGAGTCCTGATTGCAGCTGCCATGCTGGCTGGATATCACTGCTTGGGGAGATTAATAAGGCCTCAGGCACATGGCAAACAGCCATGCATTTGGTGAGTGCATTCTTTCCCATTCCATTTAGAAAATGGATATGGAATGATTCACATTCACATGGGATTTATAATACATTTATTGATAGCTTGCCTCAGGGCTACTTTAACTCCTCAACCTTCTATAAATATCACCTTAAGAGATCTGGACAAATCAGACATCTCACAGAATACTAAATCTCTTCATTTCATTGGCAATATCACATAGATTGGGATGGATGAGTAAGAGGAGGAAAGTACGCTGAATTCTTCGGCAAAACGTGTGCACTACAGAAGGTGAAGATTAACCTTACAGAGCTTCAAGAGTGGCCACTGCAGTGAAGTGTTATGGGTCCAGTGGTTAGGGGCATGCAGGGCTGTCCCCTCCAAAGTAAAAGACAAACTTGCATCTTGCATCCTCAACAGAAGGAAGGAAGCACACTATTTGGTGAGCTTCTCTGGGTCCTGGCAACACCACATTCCACATCTAAGTATATTGTTTGGCCCACTGTCTGGGTATAATATAGGAAGAGGTCAGCTTTGAGTGCGGACTAGACAGGAAAGGACACTGCAGCAGATCCAGGCGGTGGTGTACCAGGTCATCAACTCTCAGTCCCCTGGTGCTGGGGGTGACAGTGTGGGGAAAGATGCTAGATGGAGCTGAACCAAGCAGCTGAGATCAAGTGAGCTGAGATCCCGCCCCTACACTCCAGCCTGAGCAACAAGAGTGAAACTCCATCTCAAAAAGAAAAAAAAATTAAAAGGATAAGCACCCTCCCACATCAGAGATAACTCCCCAACACATAATATACATACAGTGTGAGTTCTCTGTATGGGGAAGTTAAAAAAATACAGGTCAAACTGTGATTTGGGTATTATTGTAAAAATCTTCAGTGACAATGCCAAGGAATAGCAAATACAAGACTCAAGACATAGGTTCCTTTTAGGGGATAGGATTGGACAACAGCCTAGGGTGGCTTCATAGGTTCTGTTTCTTATGCCAGGAGGGGATATCCAGGTAGTTAGTTACTTGATCATAAAACTTTATTTATTTATTTATTTATATATTTTGAGTCTCGCTCTTGTTGCCCAGGCTGGAGTACAGTGGCATGATCTCAGTTCACTGCAACCTCCGCCTCCCAGGTTCAAGGGATTCTCCTGCCTCAGCCTCCTGAGCAGCTGGGATTGCAGGCAAATGCCACCACTCCCAGCTAATTTTTGTATTTTTAGTAGAGACGGGCTTCACCATGTTGACCAGGTTGGTCTGGAACTCCTGACCTCAGGTGATCCACCCACTTCAGCCTACCAAATTGCTGAGATTACAGGCATGAGCCACCACTCCTGGCCCACAAATCTTTAAAGTGGTATTTTTCAAAATGCACCTTGTGTGCCATTCCTGATTGATTATTTGGAAATGAAAGAGAAAAGAAAACGCCAAAGTTCATCACAAGCATCCTTTGCGATAACTACTCGTAGTAAAACAAAGCCACAGCTGGCCGGGCACGGTGGCTCACTTCTGTGATCCTAGCACTTTGGGAAGTCGAGGCCTGTGGATCACGAGATCAGGAGTTCGAGACGAGCCTGACCAACATGGTGAAACCTCGTCTTTACTAAAAATACAAAAATTAGCTGGGCGTGTTGGTGCGTGTCTGTAATCCAAGCTACTCAGAAGGCTGATGCAGGAGAATCGCTTGAACCTGGAAGGCAGAAGTTGCAGTGAGCTGAGATCCTGCCATCGCACTCCAGCCTGGGTGACAGAGCCATACTCCATCTCAAAACAAACAAACAACCACAAAAAACAAGCCACAGCCAATTTTAAGGAGCCATGTGAGAGGACCAGGATGCCATGAAAAACAGCCTTGGCTACAAATAGGTCATTTGATCCTTGGCTAGTTGGCAACTCTCTACATTTTCTGATACACAGTGTTCAATCTGATAGGTAAGGCAATAGTATCTTGCAAAGAATTTGAGAATTTGATATGTTGCTCACATTTTACCACACATACAAGTGAATTAAACTTTTACAGAATAGAAAAAAAGCATTGTTGAGCAAAATAAATTAAATGAAAAGACATAAATGAATAACTAGTGATGAAATAGCAATAAGAATGAAAAACACGAAAGAGCTGCTTTTAAAGCAACATTAGAAGCACAAAATAACAGTGTTTTTCAGAATCATACTGGAGTCCAAATCACTTCTACCACATCTAATTAAAAGCCACAGTGAAAGATGTTAAACTGATCACAGGATGCCCACTGAATAGCCAGTTACTGAAAAATCTTGTTCCTAGATTGAATTTAACCATTTCCACCTACCACATCAAACCAAATCATTGTCATGATGCTAAGCCAGTTGTACAGACAAAGATGTGAGACTCACATTTTTCTAATTGCAAAGCACCCTGATTAGGCAAATATTTTTGTAGATGCTTGAGTCAGAAAATTGTCATTTTGGGCATTCTTTTTTTTTTTTTTTTTTTTTGCCTTCAAGCATCTGTTTAACAAAGCACATCTTGCACCGCCCTTAATCCATTTAACCCTGAGTGGACACAGCACATGTTTCAGAGAGCACGGGGTTGCGGGTAAGGTTATAGATTAACAGCATCCCAAGGCAGAAGAATTTTTCTTAGTACAGAACAAAATGGAGTCTCCTATGTCTGCTTCTTTCTACACAGACACAGCAACAATCTGATTTCTCTGTCTTTTCCCCACATTTCCCCCCTTTCTATTCGACAAAACCGCCATCGTCATCATGGCCCCTTCTCAATGAGCTGTTGGGTACACCTCCCAGACGGGGTGGCGGCCGGGCAGAGGGGCTCCTCACTTCCCAGACGGGGTGGCCGGGCAGAGGCGCCCCCCACCTCCTGGACGAGGTGGCTGGCCGGGCGGGGGCTGCCCCCCACCTCCCTCCTGGACGGGGCGGCTGCCGGGCAGAGACGCTCCTCACTTCCCAGATGGGGTGGCTGCTGGGCGGAGGGGCTCCTCACCTCTCAGACGGGGCGGCCGGGGAGAGACGCTCCTTACCTCCCAGACGGGGTGGCTGCTGGGCGGAGGGGCTCCTCACATCCCAGACAGGGCGGCGGGGCAGAGGCGCTCCCCACATCTCAGATGATGGGCAGCCGGGCAGAGACGCTCCTCACTTCCTAGACCGGATGGCGGCCGGGCAGAGGCTGCGATCTTGGCACTTTGGGAGGCCAAGGCAGGCAGCTGGGAGGCAGAGGTTGTAGCGAGCCGAGATCACGCCACTGCACTCCAGCCTGGGCAACATTGAGCACTGAGTGAGAGAGACTCCGTCTGCAATCCCGGCACCTCAGGAGGCCAAGGCTGGCAGATCACTCCCAGTTAGGAGCTGGAGACCAGCCTGGCCAACACAGTGAAACCCCGTCTCCACCAAAAAAATATGAAAACCAGTCAGGCATGGTGGTGCGCTCCTGCAATCCCAGGCACTCTGCAGACTCTAAATTATTCAACGCCTCAGACACTAACTTTCCAAGGAATAGGAGATTATCCCAGGTGCCTGTGGCCAGGAGGTGTCTGGGTTCTGTGCTCCCTTCCCCACCCCAGATGTCCTATCCATTCTCAGGATGGTCACATGGGTGCTGCTGGAGTGTCCCATGAGGAATGCAAAGTGCCTCAATTTTCTTACTCTTCCCTTCAGAATCCCAGAATGCATGTGTGATCCACTACCCCATCTCAGACCATGAGGCCGCCCTGAGGTGCTGGGTCCCGGGCTTCTACCATGTGGAAATCACAGTGACCCAACTGTGGGATGGGGAGGACCAAATTTAGGACGCAGAGCTTGTGGGGACCAGACCTGCAGGGTATAGAACCTTCCAGAAGTGGGCAGCTGTGGTGCTGTCTTCTAGAGACAAGTAGAGATACACATGCCATGTGCAGCAGGAGGCACTGCCAGAGCCCCTCACACTGAGATGGGCTAAGGAGATGAATGAGGGGCCATGTCTCTTCTCAGGGAAAACAGGAGCCCTTCTGGAGGCCTTCAGCAGGGTCAGGGCTGAGGCCTGGGGGTCAGGACCCCTCACGTTCCCCTCCTTTCTTAGGGCCATCTTCCCAGCCCACATTCCTCATCATGGGCATCGTTACCGTCCTGGTTGTTCTAGGTGCTGTGGTCACTGCTGTGATGTGGAAGAATAAGACCCCAGGTAGGAAAGGGGTGAGTTCCAAGATTTCTTCTTCCATTCGTGGATTTCAAGCTCCAGATGGAAGTTGGCTCATTTCCTGCCTAGTTGTGAGACACCATCTCCACACACATTTACCCTGTTCAGATGCCCTGTCAACTCTCACTCTTTTGTAAAGCACCTGTGAAATTGAAGGACAAATTTATCACCTTGATTGTGATCATGGGAACCTGACTCCCAGCAGTCACAAGTCAGGAGAATGTTCCTGCTGAGGACAGATGTCAAAAGGACATTTGGTTCAGCTTCAACACATCCTCTTCCCTCGGGTTTTCTGATCCTGACCTGGGTCTGCAGTCACAGTTCTGGAAACTCCTCTAGGATCTCATGGCCCTGCCTCTTCCCTGGCCTCTCACAGTTTGTTTTCTTTCCTCATATGGAAAAGGAGTCAGCTATGCTCAGGCTTCAAGTAAGTGTGGTAGGGGTGGGAGAGTGATTCCTGAGATCCTTGGAACAGTGTAGACAGGAGCCCATGGGGGAGGTCACCACCCCACAATTCCTCCTTTAGTCACATCACCTGTGGGCTCTGACCAGACTTTGTTTTTGTTCCACCCCAAACAGGAACAGTACCCAGGGCTCTGATGTGTCTCTCAAGTCTTGTAAAAGTGACACCTTAGAGGGCCTGAAGTGAAGGAGGAGTTGGGGCAGATGGGACACAACTAGGCTCTAGAGAGTCTTTGATTTGGAATTTTTCAATGTGTGGTGGGCTGTTCAGTGTCACCACTTACCATGACTGACTTGAATTTGTTCACGACTATTTTCTTTCCAAGACTGCCTTGTGAGGGACTGAGATGCAAGATTTGTTCATGGCTCCACTTTGAGACTTCAAGGGCCTCTGTTTTCTCTTTCTGCCAAGGCATCTGAATGTGTCTATGTCCCTGGTAACATGTGAGAAGTGGAGAGACCAGCCCACCCTCATGTCCACCATGACCCCTGATATTGTTTGGATCTGTGTCCCCACCCAAATCTCATGCTCACTTGTAATCCCTAATGTTGGAGGTGGTGCTTGGTGGGACGTGATTGGCTCATGAGGATGGATGATTCATGAATGGTTTAGAATCATCTCTTTCATGCTGTTCTTGTGATAGTTCTTGGAGGCATTGTGCCACCTCCCTAGGGATCTGTGGAACTTTAAACTTGAGAGTGATGATTAAGGGTATCTGATGGAAGAAATTTCTCAGTAGCATAGAATTCAGGATTTGGTCTGGCTGCCTGTAATAGCCTATGTGCATATGTTTGAGCAAAGAAATGACCCGAAACTGGAACTGATATTTAAATGGGGAAATTTAATACCCAGGAAAATTCTTAGCGGAGCTGCAGCAACAGGACCCCTGCCAGGACTACTAAATGGTAGAGCCACTGGCTATGTGCAACCTCAGCCTGGAAAAGCCATAGGCATTCAATTTTCTCCCATGACAGCAGCTATATGGGTTATGTTCAGCAAAGCCATAAATGTGGAGCTGCAAATGGCATTAGGAGCCCAGCAGTTGCACCAGCCACTGTGCTCTGGATTCAAAATATAGAGTCAAAGGAGATTCTTTTAGACCTTTAAGTTTTAATGTCTGCCATGATGAGTTTCAATCTTATGAGGAAACTGCATTCATTTCTTTTGGCCCATTTATATACCTTTTGGAATGGAAATGTACAAGAAATGTCTCTTCCACTGTTTTATTAATATTTTAGATGCAAATAACATTTTTTTAAAAAATTTTACAGGCTCAAAGCTATAAGAATTTACCTTGAGTCTCAGATGAGACTCTAGAATTTTGAGTTGATGCTGGAACAACCTAACACATTTGGGACAATTGGGAGTAGATTATTATATTTTGCAATGTGAGAAGAACATGACCTTTGGCTGGCTAGGGAGGGGATGCAATGATATAAACATTTATCCCCTGATACCTCATGTTAAAATCTAACGCCCACTGTGGGACTTGGGGCCTAATGGCCACCATTTGGGTCATGGTGACCAATCTTTTATGAATCGAGAGATACTGCCCTCTCTCGGGAATGAATGAATTGTTGCTCTATTATTTTCCAAGAGAGCTAGTTGTAAAAAAGACCCTGGCAACTTCCTACTCTCTGTGTTCCTCTGTTACCATGTGATCTCTGCATATACCAGCTCCCCTTTTTGTCTTCTGCCATGAGTGGAAGCAGCCTGAGGCCCTCACTAAATGCGCAAACATTTCCAGACATCAGAATCTTGAGCCACATGAACCTCGTTTATATAAATTAGTCAGTCTCAGACATTTCTTTATAGCAACACAAAATGGAAAAAGATAACCCTCGCATCACAGGTATGTGTCTCTGGCAGCTAGCCACCGTTCTTAAGATATCCAGGATCCACTCAGCCAAGAGTCTTCTCATCAGTACTCTAAAGACGCTCTTATCACTCAAGAGAGTCTAAGGTTTTTAGGAGAAACCAGGGACAAAGACTAAATGTTTTTGTGATAACTCAGATTGCCCACTTTTCTTTGACCACATATCTTTTACAAGAAAAAGGATTGTAACAGTAAAGAGGTATTGGCATATTATCAGAGTCTCATCCATTCATTCAAAATTAGGCCAGTTTATCATCCTCTTGTATGAATATGTCTCCCAGAATGAAATCACTCAGCTTTGCTGACAACACTCAATCTTACCAGGTTCCAAAAACAAGGATGGTCTCAGGGACATACAGCTTCACTCTTTTAGGCATCCAGTATAATTGACCTAAGTGACAATATCTTCTCTTGCTCACACCACCTTTGAGGAGTTAAGCTAATATTGAATTTTTCTCATTATATAACCCTTTGATTTATTCACTTACCCTCAGCCACTATTCCTCCCTCTGTCCCTTTATATCAGTCGTTTCCAGGTTTGGGAGTGACATTAGGTTTGTCTGCTGGGCTGGCCTAGACTGCAGGCAGCAATAGTATTCTAGCATGTCTTCCCTCAGTCTAGTCTTGATCATAGAGGGTAGGTTATATAGGTAAGGAACTAGTGGGGGCTATCAGACCACCAGGCTATATAACTCTACTTACTGTTAATCCTAACTTTTCAGATGAAATGAATACTTGAGAATTCTTACATAAAGGTGTAAAAATATAGTTATGGTTTTTCGCTTAGGGATAATTCCTGTTTCTGGCACTTTTATTTACATCCCTATTCCTGGTACTATGGCATAACATATGAAAAAATAAATTTGAGGTGAAGTGTAGTCTTTATTCCAGCATCCTCTCCCCTTCAGAAGAATTGTATGTATCGTCGTAACAGCATCGTCCTGATCCATCAGGTAAAAGAGAGGATGCTACCTAGTGGAGTTATTCTTGCAGCCCCACTCATGTTGACAGCGAGCACATTCATGAAGATATAAAAGCCAGTCCTTCATGTTTATATTGCCCAACAATTAGATTGGCAGTTTTTAGACAAACAATGTTTCAATTGACCATTTCAATTTTCTATCAAATTTTCCCCTGAGGAGGACATGTCCCTCTGCATTGTTGGCCGTTTGAGGCTGTAAAGTGTGTTTTCTTGTGTAAAGAAGTGTGACTCGGCAGTCCAAATTGGTGCAACCTCTTCTTTTCTGGTTCTTGTATAGCCCTTGAAGCTTTGACATCTACCCCTGGTTGAGCATAGCCCAATCCAGAGTCAGTGATTTTCCTGTCAAGATCCATTGGCAGCTCCTTTGGGGTTGCTGGCATCATTCTGGCTTGCCAGGTATTATGATCAAAGCCTTCCCACTAGAGAATCTGTCACATCTCCATCTGCTGCCTCTGTCTGTTTTCTTGACCAACAGTGAAAAAAGAGATTATGAGAAATAAGATAAATTACCAAAATTGTGAACAAAAGAGATTATCACTAATGACCCTTAGGAAGTTAAAAAACACTATAAGTGAATACTCTGAAAAACCTGAAGCCAATAAGTTAGACCACTTAGATAAAAAGGACCAATTCGTGCAGAGATAGAAATTGCCAAAACTGACCCAAATTAACTGGAAAACCTGAAGAGAACTGTGAACTAAGTCAGAAATTGAAAAGCCTTCTCAAAAAGAAATGCCAAAGCCCAGATATCATCACTGGTGAATTCTATCAAATATTTTGAAAGCTCTTTCAGACAAGAAGAGAGGAGGGAAGACTTTCCAGCCCATTTACAGAACTGGCATTACCCTCATATCAAAGTCACAGCAAGACTCACAGGAAAAGAGTGCCATACACCAGTGTCACCAATAAACATAAATGAAAACATCCTTAACAAACATTGGCAGATAATACAAAGCCACATAAAAAAGGATTACACTCCATGACCAATGGGATTCATCCCAGGAACATATGGTTGGATTAACATTTGAAAATCAATTCATGGAATGCACTGTATTGATGGAAAAAAAGACATAATTATCTCAAAAGATGCAGAAGAAACAGTTGACAAAAATGTTAACATCACTCATGTTCATAAGTTTCAACAAAATAGGAATGGAGGAGACCTTCTTCACTCTGATAAAGGGCATCTATAAAAAACCCACAGCTAAAATCAAACTTAATGAAGAAAGACTGAAGACTGAATGCTTTTCTCCTAAGATGGGGATCAATGCAAGGATGTCCAATCCCACCACTTTTATTTAATATTATACTGGAGATTGTAGCCAGTGCAATAAGGCAGAAAATTAAAAATTAAAGGCATCCAGATAAAAAGGAAAACATACAATTCTATTCACAGATAACATGACCCTGTCTGTAGAATTCACAAGCAGATAAAAACTGGCTAGCACTAATAAATGAATCCAGAAGGGCCCATAGGATATCAAATCAATATAAAAATTAATTATTAACATATTTCTCTATAGAAGCAATGAAAATCTCAACTTTCCTATCACAGTAGTTACCAGAAGAGCGAAATAGGAATAAATTTAGGAAGACAGCAGTGTTTGTTCACTGAAAATAAAAAAACATTCCTCAGAGAAATTAAAGGTCTAAATAAATGGAGAGATGCGAGTTGGAAAGCTCGATAATACTGTTAAGATGGCAATTCTCCCCCAGCAGATCTATAGGTTCAACACAATCCCTATCAAAATCCCAGCAGGGATTTTATAGAAAATTGACAAAATAGGCCGGGCGCGGTGGCTTATGCTGGTAATCCCAGCACTTTGGGAGGCTGAGGCAGGCGGATCATGAGGTCAGGAGATCCAGACCATCCTGGCTAACACGGTGAAACCCCATCTCTACTAAAAATACAAAAAACTAGCCGGGCGTGGTGGCGGGCTCCTCGGGAGGCTGAGGCAGAAAAATGGCATGAACCCGGTAGGCGGAGGTTGCAGTGAGCGGAGATCATGCCACTGCACTCCAGCCTGGGTGACAGAGCGAGACTCCGTCTCAAAAAAAAAAAAAAAAAAAAGAAAAAAAGAAAAGAAAATTGACAAAATAATCCTAAAAATGTATATTAAAATGCAGAGGATGCAGAAGGGCCAACACAAATTTGAAAAAAAAAAAATGGAATGTCATATGAAACTACAATAATCCAGACAGTGTGAAACTGAGAGACATAGAGATCAATGAACAGAAGTGAGAATCTAGAAAGATATTCTTACTTTCTTTGTCAATTGATTTTCAATGAAGTTGCATAGGTAACACAATGTTACATTTAACACCATATAAAATATCAGCTCAAACAAATTAGAGACCTAAACAGCTAAAATTTATGAGTTAAAACTATAAAATTTCTAAAAGAAAACACAGGAGAAAAGTTTTATTACTTTGGGTAGTTAGGCAAAAGATTCTTAGATAAAATACCAAAAGCATGATCTACAAATAAAAAAAAAAGAGAGAGAGAAATTGGGCTTAGTTAAAATTTAAAACTTGAGTGCTCCAAAAGACATTGAGAGAATGAGAAGACAAGCCATAGACAGGGAGAAAATATTTCACAATTTATCACAAATTACATTTGTGTTGAAGAACATGTTTCCAGAATAATGTGGCAAGTTCTTAAACTCAATGTGTAAGAAGATGAGCAACTCAACTGAAAATGAGCAAAACACACAAATATGCTCAACTGACATTTACAAAAGCACAAACACAATTCAATGAAGGAAGGAGAGCTTTCCCAACAAACGGTGCTGGAGCAACTGGACAACCACAGTGGAAAAAAATAGGCTGAGCCCAAACCTCATGCTTTATACAAAAAAAAAAAAAAAAAAAACTCAAAATGAATCACAGGCTTTAATGTAAAACACACAGTTAAAATTACAAACATTGAGCCAGGTGTGGTGTCACAGGCCTGTACTCTCACCTACTCAGGAGACTGAGGTGGGAGGATCCCTTGAGCCCAGGAGTTCAAGGCCAGCCTAGGCAAGATTTTTTTTTAAATAAATAACAAATACATTAAAAAATTAAAATTACAAATCTTTTAACAAAAAGCCATCAGAACTAAGACTAGACAAAGAGTTCTTACACATAACACCAAAAGTATGATCTGTAAAAGAAAAAGTTACTAAACTGGATCTTATCAAAATTAAAACTGTTGCTCTGTGAGAGACCTATGAAGAGCATAAAAAGACAAGCTACAGAATGAGAGAAGATATTTGCAAACCACATATTCAATAAAGACTTGCATTCACAATATATGAAGAAATGTAAAAACTCAACAGTAAAAATGAAATCCAAATAAACAATAGGCAATGAGCAAGACATGAACAGACGTTTCACTGAAGAGGATAAACACCAGGCTAACAAGCAGATGAAAAGACACTCAACATCACTATCCAGTAGGAAAATACAAATTAAAACTGCAGTGATGAGAATGGCTGAAATACAAAATAAAGGTAGCAACAGATGCTGGCAAGGTTACAGAGAAACTGGATCATTCATATTGCTGGTAGGAATGGATTTTAAAATGGTACAGCCACTCTGGAAATGGATATTGCAGTTTTCTTCAAACTGAACATGCAATTTACCATATGACTAGCAATTGCCCTCCTAGGCACTTATTTCAAACAAGGGAAAACTTTATGTTCATGAAAAACCTGTATACAAATACTCTTGCAGCTTTATTCATAATACTCCTGGAAGTAATTATTCATAATTACTTCCATAAACTGGAAATAATGCAATTGTCTTTCAGTGGGTGAAGGAGATCTGCTGGTTGAACTCATAACTGAGTCTACACAAGTGCCCTTTCTCAAGACTACTATCCTGCTTCTCTTTGCATATCTCCCATTTTCTCACAAAGAATATTAAAGACATGTACTCAAGGATCAAAATTTAATGAACATAAATATTTTACTGCTCCATCAAAGGCATTCTTAAATGGGACTGCAGTTTGGAGCCACTGCCTTGGTTCTGCTAAGGTGCTGGGTGTGTTACCGACCTTGGCATTTGCAGCATTAATGGAAAAGTCAGCATAATGAAACAGGCAAATGGCATCTTGGTATTACTGTGAAAACAGGTTTCCCTCCAGGACTCTCTGAAGGCAGCTCAGGGGGCCATACTTTCAAAATGGCAGAGATCAATTATGGTTCCTAGTGAGACCCAACCCCTAGCCTATTCAGATTCAGCACTCTCTCTCGCTCTTTTTTTTCCCTCATTCTTCCAACTTATAATTGTACATATTTTCAAATGTGCAAAGAAGCTGAAAGAATAGTGCAGTAAAATTCAAGTTATCACTCTGATATATCTGATTAATATCTCTTTATATGCATGAAAGCAGCGTGTGGAATGATAGACAATAGAGACCCAGAAGGGTAAGAGTGGTTGGCAGTGGGTGTATCGTAGAGGAGTTTCTTGTTGGGGTCAATGTATCTGTCTCCAGTGCTGGATGCACTGAAGGCCCTGACTTTACTACAACTCAATATAGCAATGTAGCAAAACTGCACCTGTGCCCCATAAATATATACGAATTTAAAAATTTAAAAATAAAATAACATCTCTCTTTGTAGATACAGGTAGACATGTTTGCATAGCATGTGTGTGAATGTGTGTGTATGTGTGTGTAGAGAGGCAGCAGGAATGAAGAGATTAAGCTTTTGTGACTGAGCCATTCTAAAGTAACAAACATAAAACACGCATGGATAAATGTCTATGTGACAACAAACCTGAATATAAACATGAAAGAATATGTCTATAAACATATCTCTGGCTAGATAACCTATGAAAGAATTCCCTACCCCAGCTCCCTTACTGGTTACCCTGTGAACACAGGCAGGCAGGGAACAGGACCCAACTAGGTTCCCTCGTCCTCTTGCTTCCAGGCAGGTCCTGCATCCACTCCTGCTGCACAGAGGGCTCCCATCCCTGCCTTGGTCGGTTTCACAGGTGCTCCTCTAACTCTCTCTGCCACCACTGCCTTACCTGGGTGGAGCTGAGGCTGCCCTGACCAGGAACAGCACCACCCATCTGTGCCCCAAGACCAGGAAGTTAGGGGGAACCACGCAACAGAGTCAATAACTATCCCACCTCCCCAGTCAGTCTGAACTGATGGCGGGAGATGCTGATGCTTGCTTATCCTCATTCCCTGTTTATTTATTCTTCATTAATTCAATCCAAACTCCCCTCAGTCTGAACTGATGGTGGGAGATGCTGATGCTTGCTTATCCTCATTCCCCGTTTATTTATTCTTCATTAATTCAATCCAATCTCCCCAGCAGTCACTTCACCCAGGAAGCAGACTGACCTCTGCTCTTCATAATCAGGAAACCCCAAAGCACTCTCCATCACCTCCCTGATATCACCCTTCAGCTCTACGTCATCACATGTGGGCTCTAACTCTGAAGGCAGGTGTCCTCCCACAGGGTCAACCCCTGAACATTGGCCCCAGATGTCTCCCCATCTCTTCCCAGCCCTTTCAGTACTGCTGTGAATCTGTCCCTCACTGACAACTGGCGGGGCGATGTGGGGGAGGAGGGGAAATTTCTTGGTGCTGTGTCAAAGCATCAAGACAGACCTCTCCTTCTCTCCTGAACCTCACACTCTATCCCTTCCCAGACACTTGAAATAAAACACAGACCAGAAATGTTTATTTAAGAGTCAGCACAATTTCTTTTTCTAGACAAGTTTCTCTTATTCTCAGGGCTCAGCCATGACTGTGGGTGACCAAACAACTATTCACAAAGGACAGAGCTCACTTCAATGCCAGCTTATGAATCCACACCTTGCCACCTGCAGAGGTGGAAAAAGGCACCTAAATCCACGATCCAATAGTTCTTCCTGCCCTTAACTCCTCACACACATCTGGACACTTGGAGAGTGTGGAGGGCACCCAGGGTGCATGGTGGCAGTGGAGGCCTTGGGAAAACTGGCCAGGAAGCCAAGATATGCACCTCAGGTGACTACATTTTTTTACTGTTCTGCACTTGCTGGAGAATGACCCCAAAAGATAAGATCAATTTGTTGACTACCAACTTATTTGGCTGAGCCATGGACATGGAGCAGATGAGCATTGCCTTTACCTACGACATGCATGAGGATTCTGAGACCTACCTGCAGCAGTTAAGCCCCACACCCAGAGGGACACCCACTCTCCCACCTCCTTACTTTCTGTATCTTTTCACACTTTACATCCTCATCCTTCCCTCTGGGAGTCTTCCCTCTTTGGGTCTTCTAGTCCTATCCTACCCTCTATCCCCTTCCAGGTGGCACAGGGCTTGACCATCACATTTGTGTCAGGTGACAATAATGCCAGAATCCTTAGTATGGGCAGCATCGCTTTGAGGTGAGTGATAGTGAGCTGCCTGATGAGACAGACATCTCCTCCACAGTGAGTGCTGATGTCATGAAGCCCTTTAGGTCTTCCTAGTTCCTTAATATGTTTGTCTTCAATCCTGTCATGGGCACCTGATGCATAATGGACACTTGGCTGGTTCATGCACCCTGGTCTTTGATGCTGTGTTGGGATGTTTTTCTGACTGTTATGTGGGGTATCTGTTTTCTTTCATCATATTACATCTCTTTCCCCACTCCCAAGTCTGTCCTGTAAATCCACACAGTACACCAGCATCTGCATGTGTGCTGTGTGTTCCTGCCTCACTTTTTCCTTTTCATGCCTTATTCTCACCATGCCACATTTTCCCCTCAGTTGAACAGACACAGTAGGGGACTAGCCCATTCTGGCATGTGACCACGCTTCAGGAGGAGACTGCAGGTTGGGGGTGAAGGAGACTCTACTGACCCCACCCCTGACATCCTCTTCCCCCACCCCCTGGCTTCCGTCCTCTGCTTCAGCACCACTCCTGAATCCCCATTCCTGATTGTCAGAATTTTTAACATAACTAAAAATGAAACACAAGTGCCTCTGCATTATGTGTGGGTGCTCTCTCCCTTTATTTTATTTGGGGTGAGGTTATTTTAGGGCATGGCCCAGGGTAAATTCCTGCAAGGCCTTGGTGCCCTGCTGTGAGGTCAAAGAGGGATGGGACTAAGACTGCAGAGCCCTGGCTCCCCCACTACCTGCCAATTGCCAGCCCTTTGTGGGGTCTTTTCTGCTTTCTCTGGCCTGGGAGATGCTGGGGTGTTTCTGATCCTGGGGTTCCTGGGGGGTGGTGCACATTAGTTCCAGGCATGGAGGGTGCTGTGGGCACTGCTGGGAAGCTTGGCTGTCCCCTCCCAGGCTCTCTCCTCCCAGGCTCTCTCAGTGCCTCCTCATCTGTTTCTTTAGCTTTTGGATCTTGAGCACCAGGGCCCGGGCCCCCACCCACTCCTTCCCTTCCAGGAGGGCCTGGTCCAACTCCAGCTGCTGTGCAAGCAACTCCTCGGCTTGGGCCAGCTCAGCTGTGTGGGGGGCTCAGGGCCCTGGTCAGAGGGAGTAGAGGAGGGAGCATCAGCCAGGGTAGAGGGGTTGAGGCCCTTGGAACCTGTGTTGCAAGATCTCATGGTAAGTGAGGAATTCGACGTTGTTTTCTCTTTTTCCAGCCCATTAGCTTAAGTCCACCTGTACTGAGAATCCCAGGGAGCAACCTGTCTTGGGCATAGGCCTCTGGAGGGCAGATACAGATCCCTGGCTCAGGGGCTATATCTGGATGCCTTGAATGAGGATATGGGGTCACTGGAAAGAGACGACCAGGTGTCTGTCCCCACTAATAAATGATTAACTGTTAGATGAGGGGGAATTCCTGTTCAAGGACTCTGGACTGTGCTGCTCTGGGCAGAGGGAGGGCTGGAGAGAGGGAGCCCTGAGGGCTGGGTTGGGGTGGGGGTGGAAGGAGCTGAGAGTTGGAAATAGGCAAAAAGCTGCAGAGGTGAGGGTAGTGCAGGGTGGGATTGAGAGAATTTCCCCCGACTACTGTACTGATCCCTTCATCTCCTCCACCCGAGCACTTGGAGCCACATAGGGGGTGGCCTCATCTTCCCACTGTCCCAGAAGCTGTTCTGCCCTTCCATACTTGCCTTGGAGTTTTGGGAGCAGCATGTTTATGAGCCCTGGGGTGCCAGGGACCAGGAGGGCAGGAGGAGGTGAAGAAAACAGCACCGAGAGAGCCAGGGGAGTGGGAGGACTGTGGCAGGTGAGGCAAGGAGCTGTCTGAGCCGCTCAGCAGCCTCCAGGAGGCTCTCTCCAGGCCTGTCTTCACTCCAGTGCCTGGCCCTACCCAGGCCCCCACTCCTACTCTGCTCTCAACCTGGCCCCAGACAGGATCCCAAACAACTCCTGTTCCTAATGTGAAAAATGTTTCTGCCGCTTTAGGCAGAACTTGCTTTAGAGCACTGGCACAGCCTTCCGCAGGTCGTGTGTCTGATTCTCTTGGCACTGTGCCTTTTTTCACTTATTCTTCTGCAAGGAAGGAATTATATCACTGGTTGGGTGAGGCAACTGGCTCAGATGGGTTCATTGAGCACTCAACCGCTGGGCAAGTGTCTGTCGGGGCCAGCTATGGCCAAGATGTGTCCAAGGCTCTATAGCTAGTTGGTGGAAAGGCCTGGAGGGTTCATATTCAGGTCCACCTAACTTGAAAACTTATATTGACCTTACTTAAGTACTGATTCCCCCTTTATAATCCATGCCGCAAACTTCATTGTCTTATTTTAAGAAGTTGTCATAAGAGCCTTTAGCAACCACCCTCCTGATCAGCCAGCAGTCATCAACATTGAGGCAAGACCGTGCCCCAGCAAAAAGATTAAGATTAGCTGAAGCCTCAGATGATCCTTAGCATTTTTGAGCAATAGAGTAATTTTAAATTAAGGTATATACATAGTTCTTTTATACATAATGCTATCATACACTTAATAGGCTACAGTAGAGTGTGAATATAACTTTTCTATGCACTGGAAAAACAAAAATTTGTGTGACTTGTTTGTTGCCATGGTCTGAAACCAAATCTGCAGTGTCTCTGAGGTACGTCTGTAGTTTCCCTTTCTCTCTTCCTGCTGGCCCGGAATGACCTTGTTTCTTGCCCCTGTCTAGCCCTGCATGCTGCAGGGGTTTGCCTTCTCTGGTAGGTCTGGGAACTTTGCATCCTTGTAACCTTGGCTCCTGGCATACGACACTGGTACCAAGCTCTGTTGGACTAGTGAGCCTCCTCCCCACACACCTCCTGAACTAGAACCAAAGCTCTGTGCATGCACCGTGCATGTGTGAGCCAATGACAAGATGTTGTCTTCCTGCAGGTGTTCTGAAGGAATGTTCTGTTGTGACTGGAGGACACAGCCACGGGCCCCCCAGGCAGAGGTGGCTCAGAAGGGAGTGGATGGCCCTGGTTTTGATCATCTGGGGACAAGAAGGTCCTGAGATAAAAACCCATGTTTTGGAAAACAAAACTGCCTGAGACTGAAAAGTGGCTAACCAATTCGCTATCTGGGACATCACTGCACACTGGGATGGAAGATGGCTTCTGCCATGGTGTAGGGTCCCGGACCTAGACAAAGAGGCCTTCCTATGGCTCAGTGCTTCTGAAGCACCTTTAAATGAGGCCAAAGACCTCATGTTCATGATTAGCTGACTTGTTCCCACTCAGTGGAAAAAAAACCCAGAACTTTTGCAAAATTTTAGGAGAGAGGGATTTCCCTCTTGTCTCTTAGTGCTACGGTTATGCATGACTCATACTTGAATTGCAATGTGTACACAGCTTAAGGACTTAACTATTAGAATACAAGAGGCCCAAACTACTGTTGTTATAGATATGTAAAACTATATGGTATAAGGTTAAACAACCCACAACTAATTAACAGTGAAGATAAATTAACTACATTGCAAATTTAAAACAAGATTAGCAGCCTTTTAGAAAAAAAAACAAAACACATGGGAGGTTGCAAAGGCAATCTAAATGATACTCTAATAAAAATCCTTCATGAAAATGACATTTCAACCATCTGAGTTTCTGCTTTAAGTTATGAACTCCAAAATGGACTAACACCCAATAATTTACAGTAGGGAGGTCTAAGCCACAAAGAAAGGTGTCAGGGCAGACCTGAAACCTGGAATGAACACGCCCCCTCTCTCAGGGTAATGAGTAAATCCTCTAAGACCCGTTCTATCTCAGACAGACCATCCACTCATAAGGAGGTCAAAAACAAGTTCCACACAGCACTGAGACCCAACCACCTCATTGTCCTCACCTCCACGGACAGAGCCCAGGTGAAGCCACCCCTGCTCCTCCTCCCTCATCTCCCACAGCCTCAGCACCATTGTCTGCGCTGAGTCCACCAGGACTCAGCTCATCATGTCCTTTCCCTGTTTGTGTCAGTGACACTGGGTCCCCCACATACTCTGCACTCACATCCCCACAAGGCTCTGAACACCACTATTCTGTCTCCCCAACCTCCTGAACCACAGAAATCTTCCCAGTGCACCCCCTGGAATCTCAGTCAATGATCAGCAAAACCTCCACACCCTCTCTCAGGATGTTCCTGCACCTCACAGCTCCAGCAGCAACCTGGTCTCCCTGAGGACATGACCCCCTCCGAAGTCCTCCCACATAGGGGAGTTTCCCCCATGGACTTGTACCCCTGGGTTCAGAGGTGAGGTGGGGTCCTTGCTCCTCACTGTGGTTCTCAGAACTTTCTGCCTCCCTCCTCCCTAAAACCCCTAAGCTGTCATCAGATTAGACCCCCATTCCCCTCATTGTAGCCATTCCCTGTGGGCCCCTGGCCTTTCCTCTCAATCCTGACTCTTGTAGCTCTTGGTTCACTGTCACCCTCTCCAGCAGTCTCCTTGACTGTTGATGACTTCAACATGTGGTGGGCTGAGTAATGGTCCCGAAAGAGGTCCAGTCTTAGTCCTTGGAACCTGTGAACAGGTTGCATTACATGGTAAAAGGGACTTTACTCATGTAATGATGATTAAGGACCTTAAAATAGGGAGATTCTCCTGGACAATCTGTGTGGCCCCAATCAAATCAAATGAGCCACTAAAAGCAGAGAACCTGCCCTGGCTGGAGTCAGATTCTGCAGAGGAGGAAGGCAGAGGAGACATAGAAGAGGGGAGGTCAGACGTTCCAAGCAGGAGGATTGGATGTGACTTAGGCACCATGTGTGAGTAGCTGAAAGAAGATTCTAGTAGCTAAGGGTGGCTCTTAACAAGGAAGTGGAAACCTCTGTTCTATGTGCAAGAAAGTGAATTCAGACAAGAACCTGAATGAGCTTGGAAGTGGATTCTTCCCCAGAGTCTCCAGGAAGGAACACAGACCTGCCCATACCTTGACCTTAGCCCCATAAGACTGTGCGGACTTGCAACCTACAGGACTGTAACATGATAATTAGGTGCTGTTTAAAGCCACTTGGTTTGTGGTAATTTTTATGGCAGCAATAGACACCTATACAGCAGAGAAGATGCCCTTGCTCCCTGGACTCTCAGATCCTGGAACTCCTCTCCTCCATGACCTTCTCCTCTCTCTGCCTGAATCTCGTGCCCCTGTCATCCCCTAGGCCTCATCATGCCCAAGAACCCCAGCCCTTCCATACTCTCAATTTCACACTTCCCACTCTCTGGCCATCTTTCCACTCATCCCATGCAAGGTGGCCACAGGCTCTGAGGACACAGACTCTATCATTTTATCATATGCTGTGAGGTAATATCAGTGACTACTCATTGCATATGTGCCTGCATTCCAGGCTTGAAGTCCACCCTTTAGCACATCAATTCCAACAATCCTTCGACCCCCACCCTGGGAATACCAATCCAGTGATTCTGCCATCTACTCACTGTCCCTCATCGTTGGTGTCTTCTCTAACTTCATGACCCAAACCACATGGGGAGCCCCCACCAGGGCCAGCAATCACCCTCTCCCTGCATGGCTCACCCTCAGCCTCCTCCTGGCCTAGGTGACCCTTACACACCTTCTCTCTGTGCTCACACATCCAACCCTCCTTCCCCATTCTTATCTCAGCTGACAACCTTGGTTCCTACCTCACTGAGAAAACTGAACACATTAGAAGACAGATTCCATCACCATCTGCTCATGCATTTGCAGCTGCAACACATGTCAGGTGTTTTACCATGTCGGGGACTGTTGTGGGTAAACCATTCTGCTCCCAGCCAGAGCCAATCCCTCTTCTGGTGCCCCAAACGTCATCCCTTATCATCTACTTAAAGGTGTCAGTTCATCAATTAATACCTTTTTTTCTCTCTATCATCAACCTTTTTCCTCTCTCCCCACTGGATCATTGTGGCAGTCATGAGAATGCACATCCCAGCCCCTCAGCTAGAGTAAGCAGAATTGATAGTGGCCTCAACTTTTGAATCCTGAAACCTATTGCCACATTTGCTCTGAGACCACACCTGCCCCCTGTCTTTTCCTGCCAATGACTGAGGAAAGCAGGGCAGAAACTAAGGCAGGAACATTTCTTCTCTGAAGGCTGACTGAAGCTCTAGGGCTTCCTGCCACGCTTACTGAACTTCTGTTAGCCTGCACAGGGTCTAGGATGCTTCCAGCTGACCTTCCTGCACTGTTTACCTCACTGGGGCTCAGAGTTGCTTTGTGGTCTGATGACATTCCCAGCATTTTCCGTCTGTGTCCTGAATTTCTCTCATAACTATTTCCTCTAATAAATCCTTGCACATTGAATACTGTATTGGGGTCTGCTCCTCAGGGGACCCTAACTAACACAAGTAGTATGAAGGGTGATCCATGAAAACAGGCAAAAATGAGAATTTGAAAAAAGCTTGCCCACTGCCTGGCAGGCCAAGAGGATGCCACCAGGGTTGTGGGAGACACAGAAATTCCATAGCACAAGATGCAGCCGAGCTGCTATGGGTCTCACCCGTGCTGAGCTGAGAGGATGCCCTGGTTAGGGGAAGCTATGGCAGGTGGGGTGATAGAATGCCCTGCACAATAATGACGGGGTTAGGGGGAAACCTACAAAGACAGTGGAGTTGGCTGGTTGCTGCTCAGCTGCAATGATGCCCTGTGAAAGTATCATGAGAATCTGCAGATTGTTAACAGCTGTCACTGGCTACATGTGACAGCCTCTGCAGTGTCTCATGCAGAGGTCTTTATCTCTTGTAGCGAAAGGGCAGATACCGTGGAATGGTAGCTGAAGACATCACTATGAGGGCCACAGTGCTCCAGAGAGGTTTGCCACTCAGCCAAGGCAGGCCTGTTAGAGGAAAGTCAGGACCCTGGTGGGGAAACCTGAGATTCTGCAAACAGGAACAGGGTTATCCGATGGGTGCCCTCCAGGATCCTCTGGGCATGCATAGGAGGCTCACCCTTCTCTAGTAATGGTTCCCACTTCCTATGCTGGAAGATGCTACAGAAGTCTCACCCCCATGATACAGCAGGAATCCCACTGAAGAGCTTTGCAGGAACTAGCTGGCACGTCCCCATAGGAGGCCGAGGAGCACTTCTGGGATTGGAATTTGAGGGTGTTTGATCAAGGAACCAGAATTTCAAGCTGGAAGAATAAAAATCCTTTGGCTTGGAGGCACTTTCTCAAGGCATGGGTTTATCAAACACCCCAGGACTTTGATAAGGGGGGGGGCCAAACCCACTGCTGGGGTGAATCCATATAGACTAGAAAAAATGATGCCCAACTCTCAACAAGGTAGACATAACTTAGTTGCCCTGGAACTTGCACAGGATGGAATAACAAGGCTGAGGGAAGTGGGCATGGTGAAGGCCCACCAGTACCATGCTCCACAAGAGGGTCCAAAGGAAACACCTTCCACCAGAGCCTCAGAAACGTGATGGTGAGAGGGACCTGCATCACTAAGAAGTGTCGGGGTGTTGTCCTCTGCAGGCTGGGGGTGATGGTAGTAAAGATGACCCAGAGTTGCATTTATTAATATCCCTGGGGAGAGTGTGGCCCTGAAGAGACAAAGACCAAATGGTGGCAGTGACCTGAAAAAGCCAGAGGGCAGAGTTACTATGGCAAACTAAAAGGAGTAGCCAATAGGACTCAAGCTGCAGGGAATGTGGGGAAGGATAGTAGAGGGTGGTGTCCCAGGATTAGGACAGGAAGCCAACAAGGGCGCTGCTTGATATCTATGATAAGAAAGCAAGAATTGAGAAGCAGGAGGGTGAAGGTGTTTGACCCAATACAAAGTCATGATCCCATCCTCAATGCCTAGACCTCAGCCAAAGTTCAGATTCAGATCCCAGTGACAGAGGAGGAGTCCATATCCCTAGGAGGAATACCCTGCAACCCCGTGGAAGTAAATGCTGGCACAATTCCCTCAGTCCTTCAGCAAAGGTACCTATAGCCATTTACTCAGGAGATTGTACACTGGCGAAAGGAAAGATGCAGAACTGATCAGATTATTGACACTGAGTGAGAGCTGACATTGATGCCCAGATGCCCACAGCACTATCATGTCTCCCATCACAGTGGGGCTTACGGAGGTCAGGGAGTAAACCTGGACACATTACGGCCCACAATGGAACTACTGGATCCATAGACCCAGCCCTGGTTATCTTCCAATTCCCTGAGTGCATAATTGACACTGATGCACTGTTAAGTGGAGTCACCCCCACACTGGGTCCCTAGTCTGTGGAGTCAGGAATCTCATTGTGCTGAAAGCCAAAGGGAAACCTCTGACGCTGCCCACATTCTGGCAAAAAAAAAAAAAAAATCATAGTGTGTCCCAGGGTGTGTCTTGAGGAAGACACTGAAAGTAATGTGGGGGTCACACCACCATTAGAGAGCTGAAGGATGTGGGATGGTGTTGGGGTTGTCTATTGTCTCTACATAATCCAGCAACCTGTCCCTGAGGAAGCCTGATGAGGACTAAAGAATGAATGAGATTACTCCAGGTCTGGCCAAGCAGGAATTATAATTGCAGCTTTTATGTTGTCTGGATATCACTGCAGAGCAGAATAATAAAGCCTCGGGCACACAGCGTGCAGCTATGGATTTGGTGAGTGCATTTCTCTCCACTCCAATTAGAAAGGGGATATGGAGTGATTCACATCCATGTGGGATCCACAACACATTTATTTATAGTTTTTTCTCAGGGCTATTGTAACTCCCCTACCCTATATAGTATGGTCTAAAGACAATACTAGACATACTGGATATTCTATAGGATATTAAATCAGCTCATTTCACTGACAACTTCATGTTGACTGCGGTGAATGAGCAGCAGGTAGAAAGTGCACTGGAGTCATTGGCAAAACACATGCACTCCAGTATGTGAAGATAAACCTTACAGAGCTTCAAGAGTGGCCACTGAAGTGAAGTTTTATGGGTTAACAAGTGCCAAGTGTTTAGGGGAATGCAGGTGTGTTCCCTCCAAGGTAAAAGACAAACTGTTTCATCTTGCATCCTCACCAGAAGGAAGGAAGCACACTGCCTGATGAGCCTCTGTGAGTTCTGACAACACCACATTCCACATCTAGGTACGTGCTTTGGCAAACACTCTAGGTGACATAGGAGGAGGCCAGCTTCAAGTAGGGCCTACACAGGAAAGGACCCTGCAGCAGATCCAGGCCATGGTGCGAGCAGCCAGCGTCCCTCAGACCCCCTGGGGCTGGTGGTGCCAGTTGTGGGGAAAGATGCAGGATGGAGCTGAACCAAGCACCAGTGGGAGAGTCACAGTGAAGGGCCTGGGATTCTGGAGTAAGATCATATCATCCACAGCAGAGACATATGCCCCCTGTTAGAAGCAACTTTTAGTGTTCCTTGTCCTGATTTGATAGAAAGCTTGACCACAGGACACCAGGCAACTATGTGGTTCCAAGTGCCTTTGTGACCCACAACATCATAAATTGCACAGGCCCAACAGCATTCATCATGAAGTGAAAATGGTCCACCTGGGTTGAGCTTGAATCCCACGTTTACACCCACAGAAAACACCCAAGTCTGATGTGGCACTGAACAACCAAACAGACAAATGGAAGTTAGCCAGCCTTCACCATGGGTCAGCCCAGGCCTGGTAGGATGAGTGCATGAATGGAGCAACCACAGTGGCAGGCATGAGTGCCAGCAGCACTGACTTCCCCCTACCAAGGCAGATCCAGCTGCTGCCACCTCTGAATGTCCAACTCATCAGCATTTTAGGCCCATGATGTGCCCTAGTGGGGCACTATTTCTTTAGGTGACTAGCCATTAACTAAGAAGTTGACTACATTTACCTACTTCCATCCTGGAAGGACCAGAGGTTCATCTTCACAGGGTTAGGTACCTATTCTAGGGGGGTTTTTCTGTCCTGCTCTCAGACATAGCCAGTACCACTCTCTGGGTGCTGTTGACATTCCTGGTCTGCAGGCTAGGTTGTGCTCCTAGCCCATTATCTGCCTGAAGGACCCACTTGGCAAGGGAAAGATTCAGTGTTTCCATGGCTGTTCCTTCCACTAACCCTATCACCAGCTACTCTCCCCAGGGGCTGCCAGCCACAAGGAATGCCCCATATGTAGCCTCACACCTGCCACTGTGGTTGTTCCATTCATGTGCCCATCCTATCATGCATGGGCTGACCCATAGTGAAGGCTGGCTAACTTCCATTTGTCTGTTTCGTTGTTTAATGACACTTCAGACTTGGCTGTTTTCTGTGGGTGTCAACATGGGATTCAAGCTCAACCCAGGTGGACCATTTTCACCTCATGATGAATGCTGTTTGGCCTGTGCAATCTATGACTTTCTGGGTCACACAGGCACTTGGAACCACATAGTTGCTTGGAGTCCCGTGATCTTCCACAGGCACAACTAAGTGCCAGCCTGGAGGAAACACTCTGAGGGTTGCATGCCATCTTTCAGGACATGGTGCGTTGTTTAAATCAGAGACGTCTCTACAGTTCTGTGTTCGCAAGAGGAAGAACATGTGGGTCCAGAAATCAAACGGTGGAAGCAAGTATGGCTCCATGTCTAATCTTTTAGATTCACGTAATGGGGTATTTGACATGTTTTATCTCAGAACACTGGGCTGTGCAGGGTGTGAGGTCCTGGTTTGCAAAGGAGGGTACCCTTAAAAGGAGACAAAAGACAGCCCACTGAACTACACATTAAGTTTGTCACCAGAGAAGTGTGGACAGTATATGCCCAGAGACCACCTGGTGAGAAGAGGCGTCTCCTCCTCTCCAGGCCCAGGTAATAGATCCTCATCCCCAGGAAGAGGCATGGCTACTTTCACACAATAAAGGCAGAAGTGTGGAAACCAGAGATCCACCTGGGGGCCTTCTGTTTTCCCTCACCCCATTGCAAGTGTGAGTAGAATTATCCAGCAATTCAGCCTGAGAGGATTTGATTTTCAAGGGCCCAGACCCATCAGGGCAGAAGGTTTGAGTCACACTCCTGGGTAATCCTCCAAAGCTGTGCTCCTGTGCTCTGACATCCTCAGTGGCATTGGTGCTGAGGCCCTGCTTCCCATGGACTATTCCCAACCAGTGATGGGTCACACCAGTGACACTAAGGCAGGACATTCCTGGAAGACAGGGACTCCTCTGATGGCCAGCTGTGGCTGGAGGACTCCTCCATAGCCTTGCTCAACTCTCCTTAGATTGCCTGTGGTCTAGGACATGTTAAGTAATCCTTCCTTCCTTCTTTCCATCACTGGGGGTCACACTTGCATCTTATTCTATTGCCTTTCCCAGGGTAACCTACCTCCCTCGCCATATCGTCTGACAGGTGTGTCCCCTAATAAAATGCTGTAACTTTAATCTCATGATGGTACTTGCTTTTTGAAGCATTTGGACTACAAAATCATTTTCGTCTGCACACCAGTGACCTCTTACTTATTCCAACGTGTAAAATCTTTTTGTTTATTCAACTTCTTCTACATGCATTGGCTCCATTTTGCTGGTATTTGTATTATGTTTTTGAGTTCACCAATGTTTGTTGCTGTAAGTCACTAAATTTGGGGGTAGTTTTTTACACAGCAACAGATAACTAATGAAGCCTTCTTACATTTCCATTATTCTATAGAGGTTAACTACATCTATTTTATTTCCTCCTATTTTGATAATATTAGCCATACAGAGGGTTTCCAGTTCCCAACGCCTATTCTTTTCTTTATTTTAGTTTCTTTTCTCCTTTGTTCCTTCTTTTTCTCTTTCCTTCTGTCCCTCCTTCCCTCTTTACTTCCATTCTATCTCTCGCCCTCCTTCTCCCTTCCTCCTTTCCGTCCTTTTTCTTCCCCTTCCCCTTCCTTCTTTTCTTCTTTCACTCCTTCCTCAATTCCTCCTTCTTTCTCTCCCTTCCTCCATTTTTTCCTTTTTATTATGAAATTTTCCTAACATATAAAATAACCCCTACATGATTGTGCTATCAGTAAGAATTTTCTGAATCTATATGTCAAAAGTATAATACCATGGTATATGAGAAACAAGTAAACAACAGGAAGTTATTAATAGAGTCTGAATAAAAATGCCTGCTATAATTCTGCAGCCAAGACAGTGGCTTTTAACTCAATTCGTTCAACTAGGTGTTTTCAGAACACATGAGTTTAAGTTGACACAATCACCTTGGAAATCATATTATCATTATCTAGTATGGTTAAAGTCCATACAACATATCATCCAACCCTCCCACTCCTAACCACACACTCTAGGGGGCTTTCTTGCCTATGTGCCCAGGAGACAGGCACACTAATGTTTATGGCAAAAACTGGAATCAGCCACATATACATCAATAGGAAATATATATCAATAGGAAATTGTGGCATAAAATGTAAACCTTCAGCAGTGAAAATGAATGAATGACAGCCTCCCACACCACAGATAACTCCTGTACGTAATGTGCATCATGGGAAAATAAATGCAGTAGGAATTTGCTGTACAGGAAGCTTAAAAACCAGCAGAAGTAAATAATTTTTTTTGGATATATATGTGTGTATATATATATATATATACACACACACACACACACACACACACACACACACACACACACATATATATATATATATATATATATATATATATATATATACTCATTGTGCAAATCTTTAAAGAAATACAAAGGAATAAGGATCACAAGACTCAGGATGGAGTCTCTCTCTGGGGGATGTGACTGGGCAGCAGCCCAGGGGAGCTTTACAGGTTTGTGTTTTACACCAGTGCTGGGCATCTTTTTAGTTACATGATTATAATTTGTTAAACAGAGTTTTCAAATTAAAATATACCTGGTATTTATAAAAATGAAACAGAAAAGAATACCAAAGTTCATTGCAAGGATCCTTAACAAGAACTACTTACATTGAAAGAAAACCACAGAGAAATGTAAGCAGCCATGTGACAGAGAGGACCAGGATGCCATGAAAATGGCCTTGGTTAATAATAGGTCATTTGATCCTTGGCTCACTGGCGTCTTTCTGGATTTTCAAGTATACAGTGTTCAATCTGATGTGTAAGGTAATTCCTTCTTGCAAAGGATTTGGTGTTACATTTTACCACACATACAACTGAATTAAACTTTCACAGAATTGGAAATACACATCACTGATCAAAATAAATGAAACAAGAAAAGAGTAGAAAGGAACAACCAGTGATGGAATAGCAAATATGAATGGAAAGCAAAATAAGACAGCTAAAAAAAAAAAAAAAACTTCAGAAGCACATAACAGCAGTGCTATTTAGAACTGTAGTAGTGTCCAAATCACTTCTATCACATCTCATGCAATACCACACCAAAAAATGTTAAGTTTACAATAGAATGCCCCTGAATAGCCGTTTTTGGAAAAAATTTGATTCTCAATTCGAGTTAAGCATTTTGGGCTACTGCATCAAACCAAAGTTACTGGCATTATGCTAAGCTAGATGTGTTGACTGAAGTATGAGATTCCCATTTTTATAAATGAGAAGCAATCTGATTATGCAATTTTTTCTAAGTGAAAGCAAGTTTATTAGAGAAGTAAAGAAAGAAAAGAATGGCTACTCCATAGACAGAGCAGTGTGTGTGTATTTTTTTTTAAGTGTAGGCAAATGTTTTCTGAAGATGATATGTCAATAAGAAAATTGGCGCTTGGGGCATACTTCCACTAAATTTGAGACATCTTAGACAAAACAAAGACTTATTTTCAAGGCATGATTTTTATGGCACTGAAGTCTTGGAACTATTTGATCTAGTTACTCTATGTTCTCAACTGTGTTAACTTATTGAAGAACATTGTTATTAAAGGTATTTACAAGAAAAACTCAGAGATACTGTTGTTTCTCCTTTCTCTGTCTCAAACTGTTTTCCCTGCAGCACCCAAGGCTCTGTCATGTCTCAAACATTTAATCATTAATTTAAAAAGAGAAGCTTATCACAGAATTAGAAAAAAAATTTGAAAATTCATATGGGTCCAAAAAAGAGGTCGTATAGCCAGGAGAATGCTAAGCAAAAAGAATAAAGCTGGAAGCATCAGGCTATCCTACTTAAAACTATACTATAAGGCTAAAGTAACCAAAACGGCATGGTACTGATAGAAAAACAAGCATATAGACCAACAGAACAGAATAGAAAACTCAGAAATAAGACCTCACATCTACAACCATGTGATCTTCAACAAACCTGACAAAAACAAGCAATGGGGAAAGGAAACGCTATTTAATAAATGGTGCTGGGAAAACTGGCTAGCCATGCAGGAAATTGAAACTGGACCCCTTCTTTACACCTTACACAAAAATTAACTCAAGATGGATTAAAGACTTAAATGTAAAACCCAAAACTAGAAAAACCCTGAAAGAAAATCTAGGCAATACCATTCAGGACATAGGCATGGGCAAAGATTTTATGATGAAATTGCCAAAAGCAACTGCCACAGAAGCAAAAATTGACAAATGGGATCTAATTAAACAAAAGAGCTTCTGCACAGGAAAAGAAACTATCATCAGAGCGAAAAGGAGACAACCTACAGAATGGGAGAAAATTTATGCAATCTATCGATCTGACAAAGGTCTAATATTCATAACCTAAAAAGAACTTAAGCAAATTTACATGAAAAAAACAACTTCATTAAGAAGTGGACAAAGCACATGAACAGACACTTCTCAAAAGAAGACATACAGGTGGCCAAAAAAATATTTTAAAAAGCTCAATATCACTGATCGTTAGAGAAATGCAAATCAAAACCACAATAAGATACCATCTCATGCCAGTCAGAATGGCAATTATTAAAAAGTTAAGAAACAACAGATTCTGGCGAGGTTGTAAAGAAATAGGAATGCTTTTACACTGTTGGTGGAAATGTAAATTGGTTCAACCAATGAGGAAGGCAGTGTGGTGATTCCTCAAAGATTTAGAACCAGAAATACCATTTGACCCAGCAATCCCATTGCAGGGTATATACCCAAAGGAATATAAATCATTCTATTACAAAGATATGTGCATATGTTTGTTCATTGCAGCACAATTCACAACAGCAAAGACATGGAATCAACCCAAATGCCCACCAATGAGGGACTAGATAAAGAAAATATGATACATATATGCCATGGAATATTATGCAGCCATAAAAAGGAATGAGATCAAATCCTTTGCAGGGATATGGATGAAGCTGGAAGCCATTATCCTCAGCAAACTAACACAGGAACAGAAAACCAAACACCGCATGTTCTCACTTATAATTGTGAGCTGAACAATGAGAACACATGGACACAGGGAGAGGAACAACACACACTGGGGCCTGTTGGGGGAGGGCGGTGGTGGAGGGAGCATTAGGAAAAATGGCTAATGCATGCAGGGGTTAATACCTAGGTTATGGGTTGATTGGTGCAGCAAACTGCCGTGGAACCCGTTTACCTGTGTAACAAACCTGCACATCCTGCATATGTACCCTGGAACTTAACATTAAACTAAATTAAATTAAAGGACAAGATTAAAATGTTAAGGAAAAATAGTTAGATTAAAAGCCTTTAACTTAAAAATCCTGAAATAATAGTTTGAATTTTGCTTTTAACATATATGCAAATCCTTTAATACTGCTCCCTTCCAGAGGTGCAGCTTAATTCCCTCTCTTGAGTGTGGCTTGGACTTAATGATGCACTTCTGATATGGCCTGGTTCTGTGTTCCCACCCAAATCTCATCTTCAATTGTCATGCGAATTGTAATCCCCAGTATTGAAGGAGGAACCTCATGGGAGGTGATTGGATCATGCTGTTCTAATGATAGTGAGTGAATTCTCATGAGATCTGATGGTTTTATAAGGGGCTTTTCCCCGCTTCCCTCTGCATTTCTCTCTCCTGCCACCATGTGAAGAAGGACAGGTTTTCTTCCACTTCTGCCATGATTGTAAGTTTCCTGGGGCGGCCTCCTCAGCCATGCAGAACTGGGAGTCAGTTAAACCTCTTTCCTTTATAAATTACCCAGTCTCAGGTATTTCTTTATAGCAGTGTGAGAACAGACTAATACAACTTCTAACTGATAGAGCAATGCCGACGTAACAGCTTGTGACTCTGGGTGTAGAACCTAAAACTCCCTGTGGCTTCCACCTTCTCTCTCTCTGTCTCTGGGATCATGAGCTCTGGGGAAAGTCAGCTGCTGTGCCATGAGCAGCCCTGCAGGAAGGTCCATCTGGCTAAGAACTGAGGCCTTCTGGGACTCAATTACAACGAACTAGGCCTTTTCCAACAGCCATGTGACTGATCCATGTTTCATGTGAATCCTCAGCCCCAGTGAAGCCCTCAGATGATGCAGGCCTAGACTGACAACTGGACTGCAACCTTGTGAGAGGCCCTTAGCAAGAAGCACTCAGGGAAACTTCTCCTGGATTCCTGACAATTGGAAACTGTGGGAGATGATCAATATTTGTTGTTTTGAAATGGTACATTTTACATAATTTGTTATGCAATAGTAAATAACTAATACATTTTCACAAGACAGGATGTATTATTACATGTTAATTTGCATTTGCTCTAAATTTATCATCATCATTATTATTATTTTTGAGACAGGGTCTCACTCTGTCACCCAGGCTGGAGTGCAGTGGCATGATCACCATGCACTGCAGTGTAGACCTCCTGGGCTCAAGGGACCCTCTGACCTCAGCCTCTTGAGTAGCTGGGAGTACAATCATGAACCACCATGCCTGGCTAATTTTCTAGTTTTTTGTAGAGATGGGGGTTTCACCATGTTGCCCAGGCTGATCTTGAACTTCTGGAGTCAACAAATCTGCCTTCCTCTGCCTTCCACAATGCTAGGATTGCAGGTGCGAGCCACCAAATCTGGCCTAAATTAATTAAAAGATATAAATATGTAACTTAGTTTTAAAAGGTAAGGAGAATTTCCGTGGCTGAAAAGGATGTATTTTATTACCGTTCACAATGATTACTTTACTTGAACTTCAATTTGCAACTGTGTCCCAAGTGAACACAAAAAGAAGATCCAGCCCTTGCTAGGCTGATTCTATGATGGCCTCAACAACAAGCTCCTGGTCATTCACCTTCCCCCAGTTATTCAACCAACTCTAATGTAGGTGCTGCTGTGAAGGGATTTAGCAGATATAATTAAGGGCCTCAATTAGTTGACTTTAGGCTGGGTTTATGCTGCTTGGACTGTCCTAATCAGGTGAGTCCTTGAAAGGACTGGGTTCTTCCTGAGCATAGAGATTCACAGTGTGAGAGGGATTCAGCATGAGGGGTTTCCTCCACTGTGGGCTTTGAAAATGAAGGGGCTGTACAGGGAAGAACGCTGGTGGGCATCAGGAATTGAGCGCAGCCCTCCCTGTTCTCTACATTGACAGCCAGCAAGGAACGCGGACCTCAGTCTTACAACTGCAAGAAACTGCATTCTGCCACCTCTGTATAAGCCTGAAGGAGGATTCAAAATGAAAACACAGCTTTGGGAATCCCGGAACAGAGATTCCATCCACATCATGCCCAGATTTCTGACTAAGGTACTATAAACAGATAAATGGGTGTTGTTTGGCCAGGCGTGGTAATGCACACCTGCAATCCTAACATCTGAGGAGTTGACACAGGAGGATCACTTGCATCCAGGAGTTTGAGACCAGCCAAGATCAAACAGTGAGACACTCATCTCTACAATTTCTTTTTAATTAGCTGGGAGTGGTGGCACTTGCCTGCAGTCCTAGCTACTCTGAAGACTGAGGCAGGAAGATCCCTTGAGCCCAGGAGTTTGAGGCTGCAGTGAGCCATGATCATGTGACTGCACTTCACCCTGGATGACAGAGGGAGACTCTGTCTCTAAAAACAAATAAATCAACAATAATTGGGTGTTGTTTAAAGTCAATGTTTGTGATAATTTGTTATGCAATCTTATAAAATTCATACACAGGCTCAACAGACTCGGATGAATTGATATGCACACTAGTTACATAAAATAAAATATTTCTTAATTTTTCAGTGTTTTACATTTTATAACTTTCTGTGATGCAATTTAATACATTCATATTTCATTCATTCAGTCAACAAAAATTAATTTAGTGCCTAAGATGAACCAGGTATGCCCTCATATGCTCACGTGCCTGACATTCTAGAAGCTTCACAAGACCGAGGTGGAGCCACTGGAGTGTTTTAGGTGAGGAAATGACACACTCTGACTCACAGGAGCAGGACCACTGTGGAGAGAACAGTCACATAGCAGGTAATGGGACAATGCTAGAGCCACAATTTAGAAGTGACAGGGTGGTGGGGACTAAGGGGAGAGGAGGGCCTGAGGGATGAAAGGGACAGAGGGAAGGGCTGGAGAAGCAGGAGGTTAGGAAAAGGAGCAGAGGGAAGGAATTGGAAAGCAGTAGAATTCTTAGGTTTAAACACATTGTTTTATAGATTTTTATTACACAGAGCCTCGCTCAGTGTTCTTTGCAGTTGGCCTTTAATACCTAATGTAGGACTGCCTAAAAACTAATGTTTTTTTATGTTAATAAGGTTTAAAAAATACTTAGTGTTCCTTCTTTGCAGTTGGCCTTTAATACTATATTTGGGACTGCCTAGAAACTAATTTTTTTTAATTAATCAGGTTTTAAAAATACTAAGTATTCCTATAAGATATACACACCACTTAGACGTGAATACTTCCTAAAAACAGGCAGCACATGAGCACTGCTGAGGGGCATTGTGACTGCATTGAACACTTGCAACTGTGAGGTGAATAAAGTCTGTACTGGCTCCCGGTTGCAACATATAGTAACGCAGTGTGCTACTTTATATTGAGGAGATGTCTTGGACTCACCCAGTAACTCAGGGCTGTGGAATGAAGGTAAATGTAAAAAACAAGCGGGAGTCACAGATACATTGTCTGCGAAAGTCAAACTTAGTAGCTTTGTGAGTCCTGTTGTAATGCTTTCAGACACATTTATAGATCAAGGGGCCAAAGTTACATTTTTTACCGATTAGATTCCTGATCATTTAGGGGTTGCCAAGATTCTGCTACCCACTGTAGTTAATAAAGAGAAAACTTGTCTCTATGCTGTCTCATGTACTCAGGCACAACTTTTCCGGATTTAAAGAAAAAAAAAACAAAAACCTGTCTCTACGCCTCCATTCCCAGGGCGAGCTCCCTCTCTGGCGGCGAGCTCCCTCTCTGTCACCAAGCTCCCTGGGGTGAGTTTTTTTCTAGAAGAGTTCAGGGAAATAGGTAAGGAGTGGGAGGCAGGGAGTCCAGTTCTGGGACGGGGATTCCGGGATGAAAAATGAAGAGGGACGGGGCCCATGACGAGGGTTTCTCCCTGGTTTCTCAGACAGCTCTTGGGCCAAGACTCAGGGAGACATTGAGACTGAGCGCTTGGCACAGGAGGAGCGGGGTCAGGGCGAAGCCCTATGGCCCCAGGCGTGGCTTTCAGGGTTTCAGGCCCCGAAGGCGTTGTATTGATTGGGGAGGCCCAGGGTTGGGGATTCCCCATCTCCGCAGTTTCTCTTCTCCCTCTCCCAACTTATGTAGGGTCCTTCTTCCTGGACACTCAGGATGTGGACTCAGTTCTCACTCCCATTTGGTGTCGGGTTTCTAGCGAAGCCAATCGGCGTCGCTGGGGTCCCTGTTCCAGAAGTCCCCGCGAACCCATTGGGATTCAGATTCTCCCCAGACGCCGAGGATGGGGTCATGGCGTCCCAAACCCTCCTCCTGCTGCTCTTGGGGGCCCTGGCCCTGACCGAGACCTGGGCGGGTGAGTGCGGGATCCGGAGGGAAATGGCCTCTGCGGGGAGGAGCTAGGGGCCCGCGCACTGGGGCGCAGGACCCGGGGAGCCGCTCAAGGAGGAGGGTCGGACGGGTCTCAGCCCCTCCTCGCCCCCAGGTACCCACTCCATAAGGTATTTCAGCACCGCCGTGTCCCGGCCGGGTCGCGGGGAGCCCCGGTACATCGCAGTGGGCTACGTGGACGACACGCAGTTCGTGCGGTTCGACAGCGACGCGGCGACTCCGAGGATGTAGCCGCAGGCGCCGTGGTTGGAGCAGGAGGGACCGGAGTATTGGGACCGGAGCACACCGAACATCAGGCCCGCGCACAGACTGACAAGAGTGAACCTGCCCATGCCGCGCCGCTACTACCACCAGAGCTAGGCCGGTGAATGACCCCGGCCTGGGGCGAAGGTCACGACCCCTCCTCATCCCCCACGGACGCCCCGGGTCCCCCCCGCGAGTCTCCGGCTCCGAGATCCACCCCGAGGCTGCGGGACCCGCCAGATCCTCGACCCGGGAGAGGCCCAGGAGCCTTTACCAGGTTTCATTTTCCGTTTAGGCCAAAATCCCCGCGGGTTGGTCGGGGCGGGGGCGGGGCTCGGTGGGCGGGGCTGACAGCGGGGGCGGGGCCAGGGTCTAACACCCTCCAGATAATGTATGGCTGCGACTTGGGGCTGGAAGGGCGCCTCCTCCGCGGGTATGAACAGCACGCCAACGATGGCAAGGATTACATAGCCCGGAACTAGGACCTGCGCTCCTGGACCGCGGCGGACATGGCGGCTCAGATCACCAAGCGCAAGTGGGAGGCAGAAGAATTTGCAGAGCAGATCAGGGCCTACCTGGAGGGCACGTGCGTGGAGAGGCTCGCAGACACCTGGAGAACGGGAAGGAGACGCTGCAGCTCACGGGTACCAGGGAACACAAGACGTCTCCCTGATCGCCTGTAGATCTCCTGGGCTGGCTTCCCACAAAGAGAGAAGGAAAATGGGACCAACACTAGAATGTCGTCCTCTCTCTGGTCCTGAGGGAGAGGAATCCTCCTGGGTTTCCAGATCCTGTACAAGAGAGTGACTCTGAGGGTCTGCCCTGCTCTCTGATACAATTAAGGGATGAAATCTCTGAGGAAATGAAGGGAAGACAATCCCTGGAATACTGATGAGGGGTTCCCTTTGACACTGGCAGCAGCCTTGGGCCCCGTTACTTTTCCTCTCAGGCCTTGCTCTCTGCTTTACACTCAATGTGTGTGGGGGTCTGAGTCCAGCTCTTCTGAGTCCCTCAGCCTCCACTCAGGTCAGGACCAGAAGTCACTGTTCCCTCCTCAGGGACTAGAATTTTCCACGGATAGGAGATTATCCCAGGTACCTGTGTCCAGGTTGGCGTCTGGGTTCTGTGCTCCCTTCCCCACCCCAGGTGTCCTGTCCATTCTCAGGATGGCCACATGCGTGCTGCTGGAGTGTCTCATGAGAGATGCAAAGTGCCTGAATTTTCTGACTCTTCCTGTTAGACCCCCCCCCCCAAGACACATATGATCCACCATTCCGTCTCTGACTATAAGGCCACCCTGAGATGCTGGGCCCTGGGCTTCTACCCTGTGGAGATCACACTGACCTGGCAGCAGGATGGAGAGGACCAGACTCAGGACATGGAGCTTGTAGAGACCAGGCCTGCAGGGGATGGAAACTTCCAGAAGTGGGCAGCTGTGGTGGTGCCTTCTGGAGAGGAACAGAGATACATGTGCCATGTGCAGCATGAGGGGTTGCCCAAGCCCCTCACCCTGAGATGGAGTAAGGCAGGAGATGAGTGGAGGGGGGGTCATGTCTCTTAGGGAAAGCAGGAGCCTCTCTGGAGAACTTCAGCAGGGTCGGTGCTGGGGGCTGAGGGTCAGGGACGCTCACCTTCCCCTTTTTTCCCAGAGCAGTCTTCTCAGCCCACCATCCCCATCGTGGGTATCGTTGCTGGCCTGGTTCTCCTTGGAGCTGTAGTCACTGGAGCTGTGGTTTCTGCTGTGATGTGCAGGAAGAACTCAGGTAAGGAATGGATGAGGAGTGGGGTCTGAGATTTCTTGTCCCACTGAGGGTTTCAAGCCCCAGTTAGAAGTGTGTCCTGCCTGGTTACTGGGAAGCACCATCCACACTCATGGGCCTACCCAGCCTGCGCCCTGTGTGCCAGCACTTACTCTTTTGTAAAGCACCTGTGACAATGAAGGACAGATTTATCACCTTGATGATTATGATGATGGGGACCTGATCCCAGCAGTCACAAGTCACAGGGGAAGGTCCCTGCTGAGGACAGACCTCAGGAGGGCAGTTGGTTCAGGACCCACACCTGCTTTCCTCATGTTTCCTGATCCTGTCCTAGATCAGCAGTTACACTTTCAGGAAACTTCTCTAGGATCAAAGGCTAGGGGGTTTGTTTAGGGCCGTATGGCCCTGACTCCTTTCTGGCCTCTTATAGGACATTTTCTTCCCACAGATAGAGTGAGCTACTCTGAAGCTGCAAGTAAGTATGAAGTGGGCTGATCCCTGAGATCTTTGGGATATTGTGGTCGGGAGCCCATGGGGGAGCTCACCCAACCCCAGATTCCTCCTCTAGCCGCATCTTCTGTGGGCTCTGACCAAGTCCTGTTTTTGTTCTACCCCAGGCAGCAACCATGCGCAGGGTTCTGATGTGTCTCTCACGGCTTGTAAAGGTGAGACGCTGGGGGACCTGATGTGTGGGGGGTGTTGGGGGCAATAGTGGATGCAGCTGTGCTATGGGGTTTCTTTGAATTGGATGTATTGAACATGTGATGGGCTGTTTAAAGTGTCACCCCTCACTGTGACGGATATGAATTTGTTCATGAATATTTTATTTTATAGTGTGAGACAGCTGCCTTCTGTGGGACTGAGAGGCAAGATTTGTTCACGCCTTCCCTTTGTGACTTCAAAAACCCTGACTCTCTTTCTGCAAAGGCACCTGAATGTGCCTGTGTTCCTGTAGGCATAATATGAGGAGGTGGGGAGACCAACCCACCCCCATGTCCACCATGACCCTCTTCCCTCATGCTGACCTGTGTTCCGTCTCCAATAATTAATCATTCCTGCTCCATAGACGTGAGGCTGAGATGTCTCCATCTCTGTCTCAACTTTATGTGCACTGAGCTGTAACTTCTTACTTCCTTATTAAAATTAGAATCTGAGTATAAATTTACTTTTTCAAATTCTTGCCATGAGAGGTTGATGGGCTAATTAAAGGAGAAGATTCCTAAAATTTGAGAGACAAAATAAATGGAAGACATGAGAACCTTCCAGAGTCCACAAGTTTCTTATGCTGATTTGTTGCATGAGAGGAGAGTAGATGGGGCTGTGCCCAGTGGGTGCTCAGGCCACCGTGCGCTTTATGTGGTCACTGCTCAGCTGGGTCATCTTTGCTGCTCCGTTGTCCTTGGCTGTATGATCCAGCCCTACGGGACTTAGCGGGTTTTCTCCCCGTGTGCGGAGATGAGAGATTGTAATAAATAAAAGCACAAGACAAAGAGATAAAGAGAAAACAGCTGGGCCCGGGGGACCACTACCATCAAGATGCGGAGACCGGTAGTGGCCCCGAACAGCTGGGCTCGCTGATATTTATTGCATACAAGACAAGGGGCAGGGTAAGGAAGGTGAATCTTCTAACTGATTGACAAGGTGAAGCAAGTCACGTGATTACAGGATAGGGGGCCCTTCCCTTTTAGGTAGCATATGTCACCATTTTCTTTTCTGCACTTAAGATCAAAGACTTTAAGACTTTCACTATTTCTTCTACCATTATCTACTACGAAATTCAAAGAGGAACCAGGAGTACAGGAGGAGCATGAAAGTGGGCAAGGAGCATGACCACTGAAGCACAGCACCACAGGGAGGGGTTTAGGCCTCTGGATGACTGCGGGTAGCTCTGGATAATATCCAGCCTTCTACAAGAAGCTGGTGGAGCAGAGTGTTCCCCGACTCCTCCAAGAAAGGGAGACTCCCTTTCGTGGTCTGCTAAGTAACAGGTGCCTTCCCAGACATTGGCATTGCCACTTGACCAAGGATCCCTCAAGCAGCCCTTATGCGGGCGTGACAGAAGGCTCATCTCTTGCCTTCTAGGTCACTTCTCACAATGTCCCTTCAGCACCTGACCCTATGCCCGCCAGTTATTCCTAGGTTATCTTAGTAATGCAACAAAGAGTAATATTAAAAGCTAATGATTAATAATGTTTATAATAATGATTGATAATTTTTCATGATCATCTCTATATCTAATTTGTATTATGACTATTCTTATTCTAACTATTTTCTTTATTATACTAAAACAGTTTGTGCCTTCAGTCTCTTGCCTCGGCACCTGAGTAATCCTCCGCCCACACTTGGCCCTTCAGTAGAACCTTGTCCCACCATGACCTGTGATCACAGGGACTTGGATGTCACCTATGGCAGTCCCTGCATACCAGGGTCCTTGTGGTATCAAGAGACAAATTTTCAGATCTTTCAAGCTCTTGCCCTCTTCCCAGGGCTCTTTCCTCATTGTATTTTCCATCTTTTCTGCAATCTTTTTAAAGGAACCAGATTCTGAAATTTGCCAAGAGGCAGGGTCCCATAGTTTCTCATCATAGGTAACTTTCTGTTGGAACTCCTCTTCTGCACTCCTACTCTTCTTCCTGCCCTGAGTTGTAGTAATCCTAGTGCTGGCTCCAATAGAAACTCATCAATTTATAAAGCAGAGTCTAGTTTAGATTCATATGTGGTTGGAAAATTGGACCCATAAGCCTAGGGTTATCTTTCCTGAAGAGAAAAATATGGTTGTGTGCTGCAGTGTGCAGGAGAGTTGGTGTGGGGGGAGGGAGGGAGGGAGGGAGGACACACAAGCAGCCCTGGTGAGAAAAGCTCCAGTGGCACTGATGTCAGTGTGAGATGATGTTGTTCTGTAGCTGCCACAAAAATAAAGCATTTGTCCTGAGGCTACATTAATAAAGATATTGCCTCTAGAATAGAGTGGTTCTCTATGATCATTCCTTCAACTGACATTTGTTTCTGCTAGGTATATAACTGTTTTTGCATTTAGAAAGCATCATTAAAGTAAAAACAGAAAAATTTCGGGCCTTGTGGTGCATATGTTCTAGATGCAAGCTTATCCAACCCGCGGCTCGTGGGCTGCATGTGGCCCAGGACAATTTTGAATGTGAGGACTTTTTTGCTTATCTGTGGTGCACCTGAGTCCCGGAGTGAGTGCACCCACCTCCCTCAGGGTCAGGAGTGAATGCTTTAGGAACCCTCCTTTTCAGTGACCTGAAAAAGATAGAGGGCACACTTACTGTGATAACCCAGAGTATCAGTCAAGGGGGCTTGACCTTCAAGGAGTTATGGGAAAGCTTAATAAAGGGTGGTGTCCCAGGGTCAGAAAAGATGGGCAGACAGCAAGAGCACTGCTTGATATCTATGATAAGCATGTAAGAATTGAGGAGCAAGCTTCATATTCAGAATCCAGTGGCTGAGGAAGTATCCATATCCCTAAGAGAAAGAACCTTGGGACACCATGACTGTTACATGCTGGGACAATTCCATCAGCCCTTCTGCAAAGGAGCCTATAGCCATTTAATCAGGAGATGGGATAAGTGTTAACATTGGGTGTGAGCTAACATTGCTGCCCAGATTCCCACAGCACCATTATGTCCCTATCACAGTGGGGCTTACAGAGGCCAGGGAATAAACCTGGACAAATTATGCCCCACGGTGGAATCACTGGGTCCATAAATCCTGTCCTGGTTATCTCCCCATTCTCTGTAAAAACGATTCTCTGTAAAAAGATTACATCGCCCTAAACGAGGACCTGAGCTCTTGGACCGCGGCGGCCATGGCGGCTCAGATTACCCAGCGCAAGTGGGAGGCGGCCCATGAGGCGGAGCAGCAGAGAGCCTACCTGGAGGGCACGTGCGTGGAGTGGCTCCGCAGATACCTGGAGAACGGGAAGGAGACGCTGCAGCGCACTGGTACCAGGGGCCACGGGGCGCCTCCCTGATCGCCTGTAGATCTCCCAGGCTGGCCTCCCACAAGGAGAGGAGACAGATGGGACCAACACTAGAATATCACCCTCCCTCTGGTCCTGAGGGAGAAGAATCCTCCTGGGTTTCCAGATCCTGTACCAGAGAGTGACTCTGAGGTTCCACCCTGCTCTCTGACACAATTAAGGGATAAAATCTCTGAGGCAATGACGGGAAGACGCAATTAAGGGATAAAATCTCTGAGGGAATGACGGGAAGAAGATCCCTCATTTAGTGATCCCAAGTCACTAAATTTGGGGGTAGTTTGTTACACAGCAATGGATAACTAATGAAGCCCTCTTACATTTCCATTATTCTCTAGAGGTTAACTACATCTGTTTTATTTTCTCCTATTTTGATAATATTAGCCACACATAGGGTTTCTAGTTTCTCAACACCTATTCTTTTCTTTATTTTAGTTTCTTTTCTCCTTTGTTCCATCCTTTTTTTTTCTTTTTTCTTTTTCTTTTTTTTTTTTTTTTTTAGACAAAGTCTCGTTCTGTCGCCCAGGCTGGAGTGCAGTGGCTCGATCTCGGCTCACTGCAAGCTCCGCCTCCCAGGTTCATGCCATTCTCCTGCCTCAGCTTTCCAAGTAGCTGGGACTACAGGCACCTGCCACCATGCCCGGCTAATTTTTTGTGTTTTTAGTAGAGACAGGGTTTCACCATGTTAGCCAGGATGGTCTCTATCTCCTGACCTCATGATCTGCCTGCCTCGGCCTCCCAAAGACTGGGATTACAAGCATGAGCCACTGCGCCTGGCCTCTTCCTTCCCTTTCTCCTTCCTTCTAGCCCTCCCTCCATCTCTTTCTTCTCTATTTCCATTCAACCTATCGCCTTCCCTCCTTCTTTCTCCCTTTCCTTCCCCTCCCCTTCCTTCTTTTCTTCTTTTGCTTTTTCCTCCATTCCTCCTTCTTTCTCTCTCTTCCTCCATTTTTTCCTTTTTATTATGAAATTTTCCTAATATATACAATAACTCTATGTGATTGGGCTGTAAGTAAGCATTTTCTGAATCTATATGTCAAAAATATAATGTCATGTATATGAGAAACAAGTAAACAACAGGAAGTTATTAACAGAGTCTGAATAAAAATGCCCGCTATAATTCTACAGCCAAGACAGTGGCTTTTAACTCAATTCCTTCAACGCAGTGTTTTCAGAACACATCATCAACATCAAGTATTACACATTTATTGTAAAAGTTTAGCCACAATCACTTTGCAAATCATATTATCATTATCTACTATGGTTAAAGTCCATACAACCTATCATCCAACCAACCCATTCCTAATCATCCACTCTGGGGGGCTTTCTTGCCTATGTGCACAGGAGACATGCACACTAATATTTATGGCAAAAACTGGAATCAGCCACATATACATCAATAGGAAACTAGTGAAATTGTGGTATAACCATATGTAAGCCTTCAGCAGTAAAAATGAAAGAATGACAGCCTCCCACACCACAGATAACTCCTACACATAATGTGCATCATGGGAAAATAAATGCAGTAGGAACTTGCTGTACAGGAAGCTTAAAAACCAGCAAAACCAACTGATATTTGTTTTGGGGATACATATATATACATACATACATATATATATGTGTGTGTGTATATATACACATACATATACACATATATATACATATATGTGTATATATACACAAATATGTATATATATATATATATATATACTTATTGCACAAATCTTTGAAGAAATACAAAGGAATAAGTATCACAAGATTCAGCATGGAGTCTTCTGCTGAGACCAGCTCGGTCAGGGAGATCCTAACCCAGTGGTGCTAGAGGAATTAAAGACACACACACAGAAATACAGAGGTGTGAAGTGGGAAATCAGGGGTCTCACAGCCTTCAGAGCTGAGAGCCCTGAACAGAGATTTACCCATATATTTATTACAGTCATTAGCATTGTTTCTATAGATATTAAATTAGTTAAAATATCCCTTATGGGAAACGAAGTGATGGGCCAAATTAAAGGAATAGGTTGGGCTAGTTAACTGCAGCAGGAACATGCCCTTAAGACACAGATCACTCATGCTATTGTTTGTGGCTTAAGAATGCCTTTAAGTGGTTTTCCACCCTGGGCGGGCCAGGTGTTCCTTGCCCTCATTCCTGTAAACCCACAACATTCCAGCTTGGGTGCTAAGGCCATTATGAACATGTTATGGTGCTGCAGAGATTTTGTTTATGGCCAGTCTCGGGGCCAGTTTATGACCAGATTTTGGGGGACTTGCTCCCAACAGTCTCCTTCTGGAGGATGACTGGGTAGCAGCCCAGGGTAGTTTTACAGTTTCGTGTTTTACACCAGTGCTGGGCACCCTGGTAGTTACTTGATTATAATTCCTTAAACAGAGTTTTCCAAATTAAAATATACCTGTTTTTTATAGAAATGAAAAAGAAAAGAATTTCAAAGTTCATTGCAAAGATTCTTAACAAGAACTACTTACATTGGAAGAAAACCACAGAGAATTGTAAGGAGCTATGTGACAGAGAGGACCAGGATGCCATGAAAACGGCCTTGGCTACATATAGGTCATTCGATCCTTGGCTCACTGGCGTCTCTCTAGATTTTCAATAATACAATGTTCAATATGCTGTGCAAGGTAATTTCATCTTGCAAAGATTTGATGTTACATTTTACCACACATACAACGGAATTAAACTTTTACAGAATTGGAAATGCACATCATTGATCAAAATAAATGAAACATGAAAAGAGTAGGAAGGAATACCCAGTGATGGAATAGCAAATATGAATGGAAACAGAATAGGACTGCTAAAAAGAAAAAAAAATTCAGAAGCACGTAATAGCAGTGCTGTTTAGAATCATAGTGGTGTCCAAATCACTTCTATCACATCTCATTCAATACCACAACAAAAGATGTTAAGTTTGTTATAGAATGCCCATCGAATAGCCAGTTTTTGAAAATAACTTGTCTCTCAATTCGAGCTAACCATTTCGGGCTACAGCATCAAGCCAAAATTATTGGCATCATGCTAAACTAGATGTGTTGACTGAAGTATGAGATTCACATTTTTGTAAATGAAAAGCAATCAGATTAGGCAATTTTTTTTCTGCACAGCAAAAGAAACTATCATCAATCAGAGTGAACAGACATGCTACAGAATGGGAGAAAAATTTTGCCATCTACCCATCTGACAAAAGTCTAGTATTCAGAATCCACAAAGAACTTAAGCAAATTTACATGAAAAAAAAACTTCATTAAAAAAGTGGACAAAGAACATGAACAGACACTTCTAAAGAAGACATACGTGTGGCCAAAAAAATATGAAAAAAAAAGCTCACCATCACTGATCATTAGAGAAATGCAAATCAAAACGACAAATGAGATACCATCTTATGCCAGTCAGAATGGCAATTATTAAATAGTCAAGAAACAACAGATGCTGGCGAGGTTGCGGAGAAATAGGAATGCTTTTACACTGTTGGTGGAAAAGTAAATGGTTAATCCATTGTGGAAGACAGTGACAGTGTGGCAATTCCTCAAAGATTTAGAACCAGAAATACCATTTGACCCAGCAATCCCATTACAGAGTATATACCCAAAGGAATATAAATCATTCTATTATAAAGATATATGCATGTTTACATTCATGGCAGCACTATTCACAATAGCAAAGACAAGGAATCAACCCAAATGCCCATCAATGATGGTCTGGATAAAGAAAATATGGTACATATACACCATGGAATATTATGCAGCCATAAAAAGGAATGAGATCAAGTCCTTTGCAGGGATATGGATGAAGCTGGAAGCCATTATCCTCAGCAAACTCACACAGGAACAGAAAACCAAACACCACATGTTCTCATATATAATTGGGAACTGAGCAATGAGAACACATGGACACAGGGAGAGGAAAAACACACACTGGGGCCTGTTGGGGGAGGGTGGTGATGGGAGGATCATTAGCAAAAATAGCTAATGCATGCCAGGGTTAATACCTAGGTGATGAGTTTACAGGTGCAGCAAACCAACATGGCACACATTTATGTAACAAACCTGCACATCCTACACACATGTACCCTGGAACTTAAAAAAAATTAAATTAAAAGACAAGCTTAAAGAGTTAATGAAAACTAATTAGATACAAGAAGATTTTGATTTTCAGAAACCTGAAACAATAGTTATAATTTTGCTTTTAACATATATTCAAATCCTTTGATACTGTTCCTTTCTAGAGGTGCAGCTTAATTCCCTCTCTTGAGTGTGGCTTGGACTTAATGAGGCACTTCTGAAATGGCCTGGTTCTGTGTTCCCACCCAAATCTCATCTTGAATTGTTATGCAAATTGTAATCCCTACCTATTGGGGGAGGGACCTCATGGGAGGTGATTGGATAATGGGGGCGGTGCCCCCATGCTGTTCTCCTGATGCTGAGGGAATTCTCATGAGATCTGATGGTTTTATAAGGGGCTTTTCCCTGCTTCATTGTGCATTTCTCTCTCCTGTCACCACGTGAAGAAGGACGGGTTTGCTTCCACTTCTGCCATGACTGTAAGTTTCCTGGGGCAGCCGCCTCAGTCATGCAGAACTGTGAGTCAATTAAACCTCTTTCCTTTATAAATTACCCAGTCTCAGGTATTTCTTTATGGCAGTGTGAGAATGGACTAATACTTCTAACTTATAGAATAGTGCCAACATAACAGTTTGTGACTCTGGGTGTAGAACATAAAACTAACTGCGGCTTCCACCTTCTCTCTCTCTCTGAATCTGGGATCATGAGCTCTGGGGGAAGCCAGCCACTGTGCCATAAGCAGCCCTGCAGGAAGGTCCACATGACTGAGAACTGAGGCCTTCTGGGAACAGACAACAAGGAACCAGGCCTTTTCCAACAGCCATGTGACTGATCCATGTTTCTTGTGAATTCCCAGCCCCAGAGAAGCCCTCAGATGCTGCAGCCCCTGGCTGACAACTGGAGTGCAACCTTGTGAGCGGCCCTGAGCAGGAAGCACTCAGGGAAACCTCTCCTGGATTCCTGACGATTGGAAACTGTGGGAGATGAGAAATATTTGTTGTTTCAAGCTAAGTTTTACATAATTTGTTATGCAATAGTAAATAATACATTTTCACAAGAGAGGATGTATTATTACACATCAAATTGCATTTGCTCTAAATGTGTCATCATCATCATTATTATTTTTGAGACAGGGTCTTGCTCTGTCACCCAGGCTGGAATGCAGTGGCATGATCACCATGCACTGCAGTGTCAAATTCCTGGGGTCAAGGGACTCTCTGACCTCAGCCTCCTGAGTAGCTGGGACTACCATCATGAACTACCATGCCTGGCTAATTTTCTAATTTTTTGTAGAGATGGAGGTTTTGCCCAGGCTGATCTTGAACTTCTGGAGTCAACAAATCTCCCTTCCTCTGCTTTCCACAGTGCTAGGATGACAGCCGTGAGCCACCACACCTGGCCTAAATTAATTATAAGATATTAAACATGTAACTTAGTTTTAAAAGGTAAGGACAATTTCCATGGCTGAAGAGGATGTATTTTATGACCATTCACAATGATCACTTTACTTGAACTTCACTTTCCAACTGTGTCCCAATTAAACACAAAAGGAAGATCCAACCCTTGCTAGGCTGATTCTATGATGGCCTCAACAAGCAGCTCCTGGTCAGTCACCTTCCTCCAGTTATTCAACCAACTCTAATGTAGGTGCTGCTGTGAAGGGATTTAGCAGATATAATTAAGGGTCTCAATTAGTTGACTTTATGCTGGGTTTATCCTGCTTGGACTGTCCTAATCAGGTGAGCCCTTGAAAGGACTGGGTTCTTCATGAGCACAGAGACTTACAGTGTGAGAGGGACTCAGCATGAGGGGTTTCCTCCACCAGGGGCTTTGAAAAGGAAGGGGCTATGGGCCGGGCGTGGTGGCTCACGCCTGTAATCCCGACACTTTGGGAGGCCGAGGCGGGCGGATCATGAGGTCAGGAGGTCGAGACAATCCTGGCTAACAAGGTGAAACCCTGTGTCTACTAAGAAAAAAAAAAAAAAATTGGCAGAGCGTAGTGGTGGGCGCCTGTAGTCCCAGCTACTTGGGACTGAGACAGGAGAATGGTGTGAACCCAGGAGGCAGAGCTTCTAGTGAGCAGAGATCATTGGGCCACTGTACCCCAGCCTGGGCTACAGAGCCAGACTCGGTCTCAAAAAAAAAAAAAAAAAAAAAAAAAATTAAGGGGCTGTGTAGGAAAGAACGCTGGTGAGCACCAGGAATTGAGCCCCTCCCAGTTCTCTACATTGACAGCTAGCCAGAAACAGGAACCTCAGTCTTACAACTGCAAGAAACTGCGTTCTGCCACCTCTGTATAAACCTGAAGGAGGATTCAAAATGAAAACACAGCTTTTGGAAGCCCAGAACAGAGATTCTATCCACATCTTGCCCAGATTTCTGACCAAGGAATTATAAGCAGATAAATGGGTGTTGTTTTGCCAGGCGTGGTAGTGTGCAAATGAACTGATGAATTGATATACACACTAGTTGCATAAAATAAAATCTTTCTGAACTTTTTCCGTGTTTTACAGTTTATAATTATCTGTGATGCAATTTAATACACTCATATTTCATTCATTAAGTCAACAAAAATTAACTTAGTCCCTACAATGAACCAGGTATCCCCTCATATGCTCAAGTGCCTGAAACTCCAGAAGCTTCACAAGACCGAGGTGGAGACACTGGAGTGTTTTAAGTGGAGAAATGACACTCTGACTCACAGGAGCAGGACCACTGTGAAAAGAACAGTTACGTAGCAGGTCATGGGACAGTGCTAGTGTCACAATTCACGAGTGACAGTGTGGTGGGGACTAAGGGGAGAGGAGGGCCTGAAGGATGAGAAGGATGGAGGGAAGGGCTGGAGAAGCAGGAGGTGAGGAAAAGGAGCAGAGGAAAGAATTTGAAAGCAGCAGAATTCTTAGGTTTAAATACATTGTTTTATGGATTTTAATACATCCATCTACAGAGCCTAGCAGGGTGTCCTTGGCAGTTGTCTTTTAATACCTCATGTGGGTCTGCCTAAAACCTAATTTTTTATGTTAATCAGGTTTAAAAATTACTAAGTGTTCCTATAAAATATACACAACACTTAGAAGTGGATACTTCCTAAAAACAGGCAGTGCATGAGCAGTAGTGAAGGGCATTGTGACTGCATTGAACAGTTGCAAATTTGAGGTGAATAAAGCTTGTAATGGCTTCTGGTCGCAACATATAGGAACACAGTGGCTACTTTGTATTGAGGAGATGTCCTGGACTCACACAGAAACTCAGAGCTATGGAATGATGGTAAATTTAAAATACTACAAGCAGGAGTCACAGGTACATTGTCTGGGAAAGTGAAACTTAGTAGCTTTGTGAGTCCTGTTGTAAGGCTTTTGGACACATTTATACATCAAGGGGCCAAAGTCACATTTTTTACCTATTAGATTCCTGATCATTCAGGGGTTACCAAGATTCTGCTACCCACTGTAGTTAATAAACAAAGAGCAAATTGGTCTCTATTCTGTCTCATGCACTCAGGCGCAACTTTTCCCGATTAAAAACAAAAACAACAACAACAAAAATCTACACCTCCATTCCCAGAGCAAGCTTACTCTCTGGCACCAAACTCCATGGGGTGATTTTTCTTCTAGAAGAGTCCAGGTGGACAGGTAAGGAGTGGGAGTCAGGGAGTCCAGTTCAGGGACAGAGATTACGGGATGAAAAGTGAAAGGAGAGGGACGGGGCCCATGCCGAGGGTTTCTCCCTTGTTTCTCAGACAGCTCTTGGGCCAAGACTCAGGGAGACATTGAGACAGAGAGCTTGGCACAGGAGCAGAGGGGTCAGGGCGAAGTCCCAGGGCCCCAGGCGTGGCTCTCAGGGTCTCAGGCCCCGAAGGCGGTGTATGGATTGGGGAGTCCCAGCCTTGGGGATTCCCCAACTCCGCAGTTTCTTTTCTCCCTCTGCCAACCTATGTAGGGTCCTTCTTCCTGGATACTCACGACGCGGACCCAGTTCTCACTCCCATTGGGTGTCGGGTTTCCAGAGAAGCCAATCAGTGTCGTCGCGGTCGCGGTTCTAAAGTCCGCACGCACCCACCGGGACTCAGATTCTCCCCAGACGCCGAGGATGGCCGTCATGGCGCCCCGAACCCTCCTCCTGCTACTCTTGGGGGCCCTGGCCCTGACCCAGACCTGGGCGGGTGAGTGCGGGGTCGTGGGGAAACCGCCTCTGCGGGGAGAAGCAAGGGGCCCGCCCGGCGGGGACGCAGGACCCGGGTAGCCGCGCCGGGAGGAGGGTCGGGTGGGTCTCAGCCACTCCTCGCCCCCAGGCTCCCACTCCATGAGGTATTTCACCACATCCGTGTCCCGGCCCGGCCGCGGGGAGCCCCGCTTCATCGCCGTGGGCTACGTGGACGACACGCAGTTCGTGCGGTTTGACAGCGACGCCGCGAGCCAGAGGATGGAGCCGCGGGCACCGTGGATAGAGCAGGAGGGGCCGGAGTATTGGGACCTGCAGACACGGAATGTGAAGGCCCAGTCACAGACTGACCGAGCGAACCTGGGGACCCTGCGCGGCTACTACAACCAGAGCGAGGCCGGTGAGTGACCCCGGCCCGGGGCGCAGGTCACGACCTCTCATCCCCCACGGACGGGCCGGGTCGCCCACAGTCTCCGGGTCCGAGATCCACCCCGAAGCCGCGGGACCCCGAGACCCTTGCCCCGGGAGAGGCCCAGGCGCCTTTACCCGGTTTCATTTTCAGTTTAGGCCAAAAATCCCCCCGGGTTGGTCGGGGCCGGACGGGGCTCGGGGGACTGGGCTGACCGTGGGGTCGGGGCCAGGTTCTCACACCATCCAGATGATGTATGGCTGCGACGTGGGGTCGGACGGGCGCTTCCTCCGCGGGTACCGGCAGGACGCCTACGACGGCAAGGATTACATCGCCTTGAACGAGGACCTGCGCTCTTGGACCGCGGCGGACATGGCGGCTCAGATCACCCAGCGCAAGTGGGAGGCGGCCCGTGTGGCGGAGCAGTTGAGAGCCTACCTGGAGGGCACGTGCGTGGAGTGGCTCCGCAGATACCTGGAGAACGGGAAGGAGACGCTGCAGCGCACGGGTACCGGGGGCCACGGGGCGCCTCCCTGATCGCCTGTAGATCTCCCGGGCTGGCCTCCCACAAGGAGGGGAGACAATTGGGACCAACACTAGAATATCGCCCTCCCTCTGGTCCTGAGGGAGAGGAATCCTCCTGGGTTTCCAGATCCTGTACCAGAGAGTGACTCTGAGGTTCCGCCCTGCTCTCTGACACAATTAAGGGATAAAATCTCTGAAGGAATGACGGGAAGACGATCCCTCGAATACTGATGAGTGGTTCCCTTTGACACACACCGGCAGCAGCCTTGGGCCCGTGACTTTTCCTCTCAGGCCTTGTTCTCTGCTTCACACTCAATGTGTGTGGGGGTCTGAGTCCAGCACTTCTGAGTCCCTCAGCCTCCACTCAGGTCAGGACCAGAAGTCGCTGTTCCCTCTTCAGGGACTAGAATTTTCCACGGAATAGGAGATTATCCCAGGTGCCTGTGTCCAGGCTGGTGTCTGGGTTCTGTGCTCCCTTCCCCATCCCAGGTGTCCTGTCCATTCTCAAGATAGCCACATGTGTGCTGGAGGAGTGTCCCATGACAGATGCAAAATGCCTGAATGTTCTGACTCTTCCTGACAGACGCCCCCAAGACGCATATGACTCACCACGCTGTCTCTGACCATGAGGCCACCCTGAGGTGCTGGGCCCTGAGCTTCTACCCTGCGGAGATCACACTGACCTGGCAGCGGGATGGGGAGGACCAGACCCAGGACACGGAGCTTGTGGAGACCAGGCCTGCAGGGGATGGAACCTTCCAGAAGTGGGCGTCTGTGGTGGTGCCTTCTGGACAGGAGCAGAGATACACCTGCCATGTGCAGCATGAGGGTCTGCCCAAGCCCCTCACCCTGAGATGGGGTAAGGAGGGAGATGGGGGTGTCATGTCTTTTAGGGAAAGCAGGAGCCTCTCTGACCTTTAGCAGGGTCAGGGCCCCTCACCTTCCCCTCTTTTCCCAGAGCCGTCTTCCCAGCCCACCATCCCCATCGTGGGCATCATTGCTGGCCTAGTTCTCTTTGGAGCTGTGTTCGCTGGAGCTGTGGTCGCTGCTGTGAGGTGGAGGAGGAAGAGCTCAGGTGGGGTGAAGGGATGAAGGGTGGGTCTGAGATTTCTTGTCTCACTGAGGGTTCCAAGACCCAGGTAGAAGTGTGCCCTGCCTCGTTACTGGGAAGCACCATCCACAATTATGGGCCTACCCAGCCTGGGCCCTGTGTGCCAGCACTTACTCTTTTGTAAAGCACCTGTTAAAATGAAGGACAGATTTATCACCTTGATTACGGCGGTGATGGGACCTGATCCCAGCAGTCACAAGTCACAGGGGAAGGTCCCTGAGGACCTTCAGGAGGGCGGTTGGTCCAGGACCCACACCTGCTTTCTTCATGTTTCCTGATCCCGCCCTGGGTCTGCAGTCACACATTTCTGGAAACTTCTCTGAGGTCCAAGACTTGGAGGTTCCTCTAGGACCTTAAGGCCCTGGCTCCTTTCTGGTATCTCACAGGACATTTTCTTCCCACAGATAGAAAAGGAGGGAGCTACTCTCAGGCTGCAAGTAAGTATGAAGGAGGCTGATGCCTGAGGTCCTTGGGATATTGTGTTTGGGAGCCCGTGGGGGAGCTCACCCACCCCACAATTCCTCCTCTAGCCACATCTTCTGTGGGATCTGACCAGGTTCTGTTTTTGTCCTACCCCAGGCAGTGACAGTGCCCAGGGCTCTGATATGTCTCTCACAGCTTGTAAAGGTGAGAGCCTGGAGGGCCTGATGTGTGTTGGGTGTTGGGCGGAACAGTGGACGCAGCTGTGCTATGGGGTTTCTTTGCATTGGATGTATTGAGCATGCGATGGGCTGTTTAAAGTGTGACTCCTCACTGTGACAGATACGAATTTGTTCATGAATATTTTTTTCTATAGTGTGAGACAGCTGCCTTGTGTGGGACTGAGAGGCAAGATTTGTTCCTGCCCTTCCCTTTGTGACTTGAAGAACCCTGACTTTGTTTCTGCAAAGGCACCTGCATGTGTCTGTGTTCTTGTAGGCATAATGTGAGGAGGTGGGGAGACCACCCCACCCCCATGTCCACCATGACCCTCTTCCCACGCTGACCTGTGCTCCCTCCCCAATCATCTTTCCTGTTCCAGAGAGGTGGGGCTGAGGTGTCTCCATCTCTGCCTCAACTTCATGGTGCACTGAGCTGTAACTTCTTCCTTCCCTATTAAAATTAGAACCTGAGTATAAATTTACTTTCTCAAATTCTTGCCATGAGAGGTTGATGAGTTAATTAAAGGAGAAGATTCCTAAAATTTGAGAGACAAAATAAATGGAACACATGAGAACCTTCCAGAGTCCACGTGTTGCTTATGCTGATTTGTTGCAGGGGAGGAGAGTAGATGGGGCTGTGCCCAGTTTCTGTTCCGGCCACCATGGGCTTTATGTGGTCACTGCTTGGCTGGGTCATCTTTGCTGCTCCATTGTCCTTGGCCCTTCAGTAGAAACTTGTCCCACCAAGACCTGTGATCACAGGGAGTTGGATGTCACCTACGGTGGTCCCTGCATACAAATCTCCTTGTGGTATCAAGAGACAAATTTTCAGACCTGTCCAGGTCTTGCCTTCCTCCCAGGGCTTTTTCCTCAATTGTATTTTTGATTTTTCTCCAATCTTTTTAAAGGAACCAGATTGTGACATTTGCAGAGAGGAGGGGTCCCATAGTTTCTCATCATGATTAACTTTCTGTTGGAACTCCTCTTCTGCCCTCCTACTCTTCTTCCTGCTCTGAGTTGTAGTAATCCTAATGCTGGCTCCAATCCAAACTCATAGATTTATAAAGCAGAGTCTAATTTAGATTCATATGTGGTTGGAAAATTGTACCCATAAGGCTAGGGTTATTGTTCCTGAAGAGAAATATATGGTTTTGTGCTGAAGTGTGCAGGAGGGTTGGTGTGGGAGGAGGGAGGACACACAAGCAGCCCTGGTGAGAAAAGCACTGGCGGCATGGATGTCCATGTGAACTTATGTTCTTTAGCTGCCACAAAACAGCATTTGCCCTGTGGCTACATTAATAAAGGTATGGGCTTTAGAATAGGGAGGTGCTCTACAGTGATCATTCATTCAACTGACATTTGTTGTCTGCTAGGGATATGACTGCTTTTGCATTTAGAAAGCATCCTTAAAGTAAAAACAGAAAAATTTCTGGGATTATGGTGCATACGTTCTAGATGCAGGCTTGTCCAACCCGTGGCTCGTGGGCTGCATGTGGCCCAGGACAATTTTGAATGTGAGGACTTTTTTGCTTATCTGTGGTGCACCTGAGTCCTGGAGTGAGTGCACCCACCTCCCTCAGGGTCAGGAGTGAATGCTTTAGGAACCCTCCTTTTCAGTGACCTGCAAAAGATAAAGGGCACATTTACTGTGATAACCCAGAGTATCAGCCAAGGGGGCTTGACCTTCAAGGAGTTGTGGGGAAGGTTAATAAAGGGTGGTGTCCCAGGGTCAGAAAAGATGGGCAGACAGCAAGGGCACTTCTTGATATCTATGATAAGCATGTGGAATTGAGGAGCAAGCTTCAGATTCAGAATCCAGTGACTAAGGACATATCTATATCCCTAAGAGAAAGAACCTTGGGACACGATGATGGTTACATGCTGGGACAATTCCATCAGCCCTTCTGCAAAGGAGCCTATAGCCATTTAATCAGGAGATGGGATAAGTATTAACATTGGGTGTGAGCTGACATTGCTGCCCAGATTCCCACAGCACCATTATGTCCCTATCACAGTGGGGCTTACAGAGGCCAGGGAATAAACCTAGACACATTATGCCCCATGGTGGAATCACCGGTTCCATAAATCCTGTCCTGGTTATCTCCCCATTCTCTGAGTACATAATTGGCCTTGATGCACTGGCAACTGGAGTCACCCCACACTGTGTCCCTAGTCTGGAGAGTAAGGCATCTCATTGTGCTGAAGCCCAAAGGGAAACATCCCTCATCCAAGCTGAACCAGAAGCAATATTGTGCCCCAGGGTGGGTCTTGTGGAGGGTACTGCAGGTAGTATAGGGGTGGCACTGCCATTACATGCCTGAACGATGCAGGGTGGTGTTGGGATTGCCTCTTATCTCCATATAACTCAGCAATCTGTACCTGCAGAAGCCTGATATGGCTAAAGAATGAATGGAATTACACCAGACTTGACCAAGTAGGAGTCCTGATTGCAGCTGCCATGCTGACTGGATATCACTGCTTGGGGAGATTAATAAGGACTCAGGCACATGGCATGCAGCTGTGGATTTGGTGAGTGCATTCCCTCCCATTTCATTTAAAAGATGGATATGGAATGATTCACATTCACATGGGATTTATAACACATTTATTGATAGCTTGCATCAGGGCTACCTTAACTCCTCAACCTTCTATAAATATCACCTTAAGAGACCTGGACAAATCAGACATCTCACAGAACACTAAATCTCTTCATTTCATTGGGAATATCACATAAATTGGGAAGGATGAACAAGAGCAGGAAAGTACGCTGAATTCCTTGGCAAAACATGTGCACTAGAGAAGGTGAAGATAAACTTTACAGAGCTTCAAGAGTGGCCACTGCAGTGAAGTGTTATGGGTCCAGTGGTTAGGGGCATGCAGGGCTGTCCCCTCCAAAGTAAAAGACAAACTTGCATCTTGCATCCTCACCAGAAGGAAGGAAGCACACTACCTTCTGAGCCTCTCTGTGTTCTGGCAATGCCACCTTCCATATCTAAGTATATTGCTTTGGCCGACACTCTGGGTGATATAGGAGGAGGCCAGCTTTGAGTGGGGCCTGATGGGAAAGGACATTGCAGCAGACCCAGACTGTGGTGCAGTCAGTCACCATCCCTCAGACCCCTGGTGCTGGAGGTGGCTGTCTGGGGAAAGATGCAGGATGGAGCTGAACCAAGCATCAGTGGGAGAGTCAGAATGGAGGGCCTGGGATCTGGAGTAAGGCCATGGAGTCCACAGCTCCATGTTAGAAGCATGGAGAAACATGCTCCATGTTAGAAGCAACTTTTAGCATGTTACTGGCCCTGATAAGATAGAATGCTTGATCATGGGACACCAAGCAACCATGTGTTTCCAAGTGCCTGTGTGTATTGACTTCTATGTGACCCATAGAGTCATAGATTGGACAGGCCCAGCGGCATCTATCATGAGACGAAAATGGTCCATGTCGGTTGAGCCTCAATTCCATGTTAACACCCACAGAAAACACCCAGTCCTGATGTGGCCCTGAATAACCAAACAAATTGAAGTTAGCCAGTCTGCATCATGGATCAGCCCAGGCCTGATAGGAAGGACCCGTGAGTGGAGCAACCACAGTGGCAGGGATGAAGCTACAAATGAGTCCAGCAGCACTGTCTCTCCACTACCAAGGCCATCCAGCTACTGCTTCCTCTGAATACTCTGCTTGTGAGCATTACAGACCAATGATAGACACCGATAGGGCACTATTTCTTCAGGTAACTGACTAGCCCCTAAGTGACAAGTTGAATAGCTTGAACACCATCTATCCTGGAAGGGGCAGAAGTTCATCCTCACAGGGATAGGCACCTATTCGATGTGGTGTGGTTTTCCTCTCTGCTTTCAGATCCTCAGTCAACAACACTATTGGCATTCCTGATCCACTGGCTCAAAATTTCAGTACGTTATCTGCCTGGGGGACACACCTCATGGGGAAGGGGATCCATGGGATCCCCTGGTCATATCACCACCTGCGCCTGTCAGGTGCTGCCAGGCACACAGAGTCATGGACAGGTCTCTGCAGACACAACTCAGTACCAGCTTGGATGAAACCCTCTGAGGAATGGGTGCCATCTTTCGGGATGTGAAGCATGTATTGAATCAAAGACGTCTCTGTGGTGCCGTTTTCAGAAGGAAGAATATGTGGGTCCAAAAACCAAGAAGTCAAAGCAGGTGTGTCTCATTCCTTATATTCACCCCCAGGGTGATTTATTTATTTATAAGTAAATAAATAAATACATAAATAACATAAATACATACATAAATTTATTTATTTATGTATTTATTTTATTCATTATATTCACCCCCAGGGTGATTTTGCTCTTCTTACGTCCAAAATCTGGACTCTGCAGGGGAGGAGGTCCTGGTTTCCCAAAGAGGGCACCCTGGCAAGGAGACAAATGAGAGTCCATGGAACTAAACATTGTGGTTGCACCCAGGGATATTTGAATAGTATGCCCAGAGACAAGCAGGGGAGAAGAGGAGGAGGCAGGGCTGCTATCACACAATGAGGGCAGGAGAAGTGTGTGTGGAAACCAGGAATCCACTTGGGGACATCCTGGTTTCCCTTGTCCGTTGTAAGTGTGAGCAGAATCATCCAGCAACCCAGCCTGAGAGGGTTTGATATTCAAGAGCCCAGAACCCTCAGGAAGGAAGGATTGAGTGATACACCTAGGTAATGTCCCACATCTCTGCTCCTGTGCTCTGACATCCTCAGCAGGATTAGTGCAGAAGCCCTGCTTCCCATGAGTTGTTCCCAGCCAGTGACTGGTCACAGCAAGCACACTAAGGCAGGCCATTTCTGGGAGACACAGGACTCCTCTGATGGCCAAATGTGGCTCCAGGACTCCTCCATGCCCTTGCTCAACTCTCCTTAGATTGCCTCTGCTCTAGGATGCGTCGAACAAACCTTGTCTCCTTCTGTCCAGCACTTGGGGTCACACTTGCATCATTGTCTGCCGCCTTTTCCAGGGATTTCTGGCTCGCTTCCCATATTCCCTTACAGGTGTGTTCCCTCATAAGATGCCACAGACTTTAAGCTCATCTTGGCATCTGCTCCTTGGAGGACTTGGACTAAAAAGCATTTCCATGTGCACACCAATAACTTTTACTTATTCCAACCTATAAAATCCATCTCTTTATCTAACTTCTGCCACCCCCATAAAATCTATCTTGCTTGTGTTTTTAGTATCTCTTTGAATTAACAGATATTTGTTGTATTAAGCCACTAAATTTTGAGGTAGTTTGTGACACAGCAGTTAATAACTATTAAGGCTTTCTTAAGTTTCTATTATTCCATGGATGTTATCTACATCTTTTAATTCCCTGCATTTTAATAATGTTAGCCACACTTGCTGTTTCTAATCCTTTCCTCCTATTCTTTTTTGAAAATGTTCATTTTGTCTTTCTCTGTCCTTCCATCTTTGTTTCCTCCTTTCCTCCCTCAGAGCTTTCTCCCTCCCTCCATTTTTTCACAAACTCTATGTGGTTAGGCTAAAAAGAAGCATTATTTGAATCTTATGCTTAAAGTATAATGCCATAATTTACAGGATAAAAGTAAAGAAAAGGAAGTTATTAATGGAATATGAAAAAATGCCTAGGGTGATTCTGTAGCCAAGACAGTGGTTTTTCACATGTAATCTCCACCTTCAACTGAGTGTTTTCAGAACACATGAGCAACATAAGTTCTTTCCCATTCTTGGTACAAGCACTTGAGGAATCAAATTAGCCTTATCTAGTATGATTAAGGTCCATACACTGTATAATCCCATCATCTGCTCCTGATCATACACTCTGGGGAATTCTTGGCTATGTGTCCTGGAGACGTGTACACCAATGTTTATGGCAAAAACTGGAAACGATCACATATACATCAATGGGAATTAACAAAATTGTGATATAATCATGAAAAGTAAAACTTCAGCAGTAAAAATGAATGAACAGCACCCACCCACATCAGAGATAACTCTCCTACACATAAGGTGCATCACAGAAGAATACATATAGTGTGAGTTCTCTCTACAGGGAAGTTAAAAAAACAGGTCAGACTGTGATTTGGGTATATATATTTATTGTAAAAATCTTTAGTGACAATGCAAAGGAATAGTAAATACAAGACTCAAGATAGAGGTTCCTTTTGGGGGATAGGATTGGACAACAGTCTAGGGTGGCTTCATAGGTTCTGTTTCTTATGCCAGGAGAGGATGCCCAGGTAGTTAGTTACTTGATCATAAATCTTTATTTATTTATTTATTTATTCATTCATTTATTTTTTGAGATGGAGTCTCACTCTCATCGCCCAGGTGGGAGTGCAGTGGTGTGATCTCAGCTCACTGCAACCTCCGCCCCCCGTGTTCAAGCGATTCTCCTACTTCAGCCTCTGAGTAGCTAGGATTACAGGCACCTGCCATGATGCCCGGCTAATTTTTGTATTTTTCGTAAAGACTGTGCTTCACCATGTTGGCCAGGCTGGTCTCAGGTGATCTCAGGTGATCTACCCACTTTGGCCTCCCAAAGTGCTGGGATTAGAGGCATGAGCCACCACTCCCAGCCCACAAATCTTTAAAGTGGCAATTTTCAAAATGCACCTTGTGTGCCATTCCTGATTATTTGGAAATGAAAGAGAAAAGAAAACACAAAAGTTCATTGAAAGGATCCTTAGCGATAACTACCTGCGTTAAAACAAAGCCACAGCCAATTGTAAGCAGCCATGTGACAAAGAGGACCAGGATGCCATGAAAAATAGCCTTGGCTAGAAATAGGTCATTTGATCCTTGGCTAATTGGCATCTCTCTACATTCTCTGGTATACAATGTTCAATCTGATGTGCAAGGCAATTGTATCTCGCAAAGAATTTGAGAATTTGATATGTTGCTCACATTTTACCACACATACAAGTGAATTAAACTTTTACAGAATAGAAAAAACCATTGTCGAGCAAAATAAATTAAATGAAAAGACATAAAGGAATAACTAGTGATGAAATAGCAATAAGAATGGAAAACACAAAAGAGCTGCTTTTAAAGCAATGTTAGAAGCACAAAATAACTGCATTTTTCAGAATCATACTGGAGTCCAAATCACTTCTAACACATCTAATTAAAAAACACAGTGAAGGGGGAGGAGCCAAGATGGCCGAATAGGAACAGCTCCGGTCTACAGCTCCCAGCGTGAGCGACGCAGAAGACGGTGATTTCTGCATTTCCATCTGAGGTACCGGGTTCATCTCACTAGGGAGTGCCAGACAGTGGGCGCAGGCCAGTGTGTGTGCGCACCGTGCGCGAGCCGAAGCAGGGCGAGGCATTGCCTCACCTGGGAAGCGCAAGGGGTCAGGGAGTTCCCTTTCCGAGTCAAAGAAAGGGGTGACGGACGCACCTGGAAAATCGGGTCACTCCCACCCGAATATTGCGCTTTTCAGACCGGCTTAAGAAACGGCGCAACACGAGACTATATCCCACACCTGGCTCGGAGGGTCCTACGCCCACGGAATCTCGCTGATTGCTAGCACAGCAGTCTGAGATCAAACTGCAAGGCGGCAACGAGGCTGGGGGAGGGGCGCCCGCCATTGCCCAGGCTTGCTTAGGTAAACAAAGCAGCCGGGAAGCTCGAACTGGGTGGAGCCCACCACAGCTCAAGGAGGCCTGACTGCCTCTGTAGGCTCCACCTCTGGGGGCAGGGCACAGACAAACAAAAAGACAGCAGTAACCTCTGCAGACTTAAGTGTCCCTGTCTGACAGCTTTGAAGAGAGCAGTGGTTCTCCCAGCACGCAGCTGGAGATCTGAGAACGGGCAGACTGCCTCCTCAAGTGGGTCCCTGACTCCTGACCCCCGAGCAGCCTAACTGGGAGGCACCCCCCAGCAGGGGCACACTGACACCTCACACGGCAGGGTATTCCAACAGACCTGCAGCTGAGGGTCCTGTCTGTTAGAAGGAAAACTAACAACCAGAAAGGACATCTACACCGAAAACCCATCTGTACATCACCATCATCAAAGACCAAAAGTAGATAAAACCACAAAGATGGGGAAAAAACAGAACAGAAAAACTGGAAACTCTAAAACGCAGAGCGCCTCTCCTCCTCCAAAGGAACGCAGTTCCTCACCAGCAACAGAACAAAGCTGGATGGAGAATGATTTTGATGAGCTGAGAGAAGAAGGCTTCAGACGATCAAATTACTCTGAGCTACGGGAGGACATTCAAACCAAAGGCAAAGAAGTTGAAAACTTTGAAAAAAATTTAGAAGAATGTATAACTAGAATAACCAATACAGAGAAGTGCTTAAAGGAGCTGATGGAGCTGAAAACCAAGGCTCGAGAACTACGTGAAGAATGCAGAAGCCTCAGGAGCCGATGCGATCAACTGGAAGAAAGGGTATCAGCAATGGAAGATGAAATGAATGAAATGAAGCGAGAAGGGAAGTTTAGAGAAAAAAGAATAAAAAGAAATGAGCAAAGCCTCCAAGAAATATGGGACTATGTGAAAAGACCAAATCTACGTCTGATTGGTGTACCTGAAAGTGATGTGGAGAATGGAACCAAGTTGGAAAACACTCTGCAGGAGATTATCCAGGAGAACTTCCCCAATCTAGCAAGGCAGGCCAACGTTCAGATTCAGGAAATACAGAGAACGCCACAAAGATACTCCTCGAGAAGAGCAACTCCAAGACACATAATTGTCAGATTCACCAAAGTTGAAATGAAGGAAAAAATGTTAAGGGCAGCCAGAGAGAAAGGTCGGGTTACCCTCAAAGGAAAGCCCATCAGACTAACAGCGGATCTCTCGGCAGAAACCCTACAAGCCAGAAGAGAGTGGGGGCCAATATTCAACATTCTTAAAGAAAAGAATTTTCAACCCAGAATTTCATATCCAGCCAAACTAAGCTTCATAAGTGAAGGAGAAATAAAATACTTTATAGACAAGCAAATGTTGAGAGATTTTGTCACCACCAGGCCTGCCCTAAAAGAGCTCCTGAAGGAAGCGCTAAACATGGAAAGGAACAACCGGTACCAGCCGCTGCAAAATCATGCCAAAATGTAAAGACCATCGAGACTAGGAAGAAACTGCATCAACTAATGAGCAAAATCACCAGCTAACATCATAATGACAGGATCAAATTCACACATAACAATATTAACTTTAAATATAAATGGACTAAATTCTGCAATTAAAAGACACAGACTGGCAAGTTGGATAAAGAGTCAAGACCCATCAGTGTGCTGTATTCAGGAAACCCATCTCACGTGCAGAGACACACATAGGCTCAAAATAAAAGGATGGAGGAAGATCTACCAAGCCAATGGAAAACAAAAAAAGGCAGGGGTTGCAATCCTAGTCTCTGATAAAACAGACTTTAAACCAACAAAGATCAAAAGAGACAAAGAAGGCCATTACATAATGGTAAAGGGATCAATTCAACAAGAGGAGCTAACTATCCTAAATATTTATGCACCCAATACAGGAGCACCCAGATTCATAAAGCAAGTCCTCAGTGACCTACAAAGAGACTTAGACTCCCACACATTAATAATGGGAGACTTTAACACCCCACTGTCAACATTAGACAGATCAACGAGACAGAAAGTCAACAAGGATACCCAGGAATTGAACTCAGCTCTGCACCAAGCAGACCTAATAGACATCTACAGAACTCTCCACCCCAAATCAACAGAATATACATTTTTTTCAGCACCACACCACACCTATTCCAAAATTGACCACATAGTTGGAAGTAAAGCTCTCCTCAGCAAATGTAAAAGAACAGAAATTATAACAAACTATCTCTCAGACCACAGTGCAATCAAACTAGAACTCAGGATTAAGAATCTCACTCAAAGCCGCTCAACTACATGGAAACTGAACAACCTGCTCCTGAATGACTACTGGGTACATAACGAAATGAAGGCAGAAATAAAGATGTTCTTTGAAACCAACGAGAACAAAGACACCACATACCAGAATCTCTGGGACGCATTCAAAGCAGTGTGTAGAGGGAAATTTATAGCACTAAATGCCTACAAGAGAAAGCAGGAAAGATCCAAAATTGACACCCTAACATCACAATTAAAAGAACTAGAAAAGCAAGAGCAAACACATTCAAAAGCTAGCAGAAGGCAAGAAATAACTAAAATCAGAGCAGAACTGAAGGAAATAGAGACACAAAAAACCCTTCAAAAAATCAATGAATCCAGGAGCTGGTTTTTTGAAAGGATCAACAAAATTGATAGACCGCTAGCAAGACTAATAAAGAAAAAAAGAGAGAAGAATCAAATAGACACAATAAAAAATGATAAAGGGGATATCACCACCGATCCCACAGAAATACAAACTACCATCAGAGAATACTACAAACACCTCTACGCAAATAAACTAGAAAATCTAGAAGAAATGGATACATTCCTCGACACATACACTCTCCCAAGACTAAACCAGGAAGAAGTTGAATCTCTGAATCGACCAATAACAGGCTCTGAAATTGTGGCAATAATCAATAGTTTACCAACCAAAAAGAGTCCAGGACCAGATGGATTCACAGCCGAATTCTACCAGAGGTACAAGGAGGAACTGGTACCATTCCTTCTGAAACTATTCCAATCAATAGAAAAAGAGGGAATCCTCCCTAACTCATTTTATGAGGCCAGCATCATTCTGATACCAAAGCCAGGCAGAGACACAACCAAAAAAGAGAATTTTAGACCAATATCCTTGATGAACATTGATGCAAAAATCCTCAATAAAATACTGGCAAACCGAATCCAGCAGCACATCAAAAAGCTTATCCACCATGATCAAGTGGGCTTCATCCCTGGGATGCAAGGCTGGTTCAATATACGCAAATCAATAAATGTAATCCAGCATATAAACAGAGCCAAAGACAAAAACCACATGATTATCTCAATAGATGCAGAAAAAGCCTTTGACAAAATTCAACAACCCTTCATGCTAAAAACTCTCAATAAATTAGGTATTGATGGGACGTATTTCAAAATAATAAGAGCTATCTATGACAAACCCACAGCCAATATCATACTGAATGGGCAAAAACTGGAAGCATTCCCTTTGAAAACCGGCACAAGACAGGGATGCCCTCTCTCACCGCTCCTATTCAACATAGTGTTGGAAGTTCTGGCCAGGGCAATCAGGCAGGAGAAGGAAATAAAGGGTATTCAATTAGGAAAAGAGGAAGTCAAATTGTCCCTGTTTGCAGACGACATGATTGTTTATCTAGAAAACCCCATCGTCTCAGCCCAAAATCTCCTTAAGCTGATAAGCAACTTCAGCAAAGTCTCAGGATACAAAATCAATGTACAAAAATCACAAGCATTCTTATACACCAACAACAGACAAACAGAGAGCCAAATCATGGGTGAACTCCCATTCACAATTGCTTCAAAGAGAATAAAATACCTAGGAATCCAACTTACAAGGGATGTGAAGGACCTCTTCAAGGAGAACTACAAACCACTGCTCAAGGAAATAAAAGAGGAGACAAACAAATGGAAGAACATTCCATGCTCATGGGTAGGAAGAATCAATATCGTGAAAATGGCCATACTGCCCAAGGTAATTTACAGATTCAATGCCATCCCCATCAAGCTACCAATGACTTTCTTCACAGAATTGGAAAAAACTACTTTAAAGTTCATATGGAACCAAAAAAGAGCCCGCATTGCCAAGTCAATCCTAAGCCAAAAGAACAAAGCTGGAGGCATCACACTACCTGACTTCAAACTATACTACAAGGCTACAGTAACCAAAACAGCATGGTACTGGTACCAAAACAGAGATATAGATCAATGGAACAGAACAGAGCCCTCAGAAATAATGCCGCATATCTACAACTATCTGATTTTTGACAAACCTGAGAAAAACAAGCAATGGGGAAAGGATTCCCTATTTAATAAATGGTGCTGGGAAAACTGGCTAGCCATATGTAGAAAGCTGAAACTGGATCCCTTCCTTACACCTTATACAAAAATCAATTCAAGATGGATTAAAGATTTAAACGTTAAACCTAAAACCATAAAAACCCTAGAAGAAAACCTAGGCATTACCATTCAGGACATAGGCGTGGGCAAGGACTTCATGTCCAAAACACCAAAAGCAATGGCAACAAAAGACAAAATTGACAAATGGGATCTAATTAAACTAAAGAGCTTCTGCACAGCAAAAGAAACTACCATCAGAGTGAACAGGCAACCTACAACATGGGAGAAAATTTTTGCAACCTACTCATCTGACAAAGGGCTAATATCCAGAATCTACAATGAACTCAAACAAATTTACAAGAAAAAAACAAACAACCCCATCAAAAAGTGGGCGAAGGACATGAACAGACACTTCTCAAAAGAAGACATTTATGCAGCCAAAAAACACATGAAGAAATGCTCATCATCACTGGCCATCAGAGAAATGCAAATCAAAACCACTATGAGATATCATCTCACACCAGTTAGAATGGCAATCATTAAAAAGTCAGGAAACAACAGGTGCTGGAGAGGATGCGGAGAAATAGGAACACTTTTACACTGTTGGTGGGACTGTAAACTAGTTCAACCATTGTGGAAGTCAGTGTGGCGATTCCTCAGGGATCTAGAACTAGAAATACCATTTGACCCAGCCATCCCATTACTGGGTATATACCCAAATGAGTATAAATCATGCTGCTATAAAGACACATGCACACGTATGTTTATTGCGGCACTATTCACAATAGCAAAGACTTGGAACCAACCCAAATGTCCAACAATGATAGACTGGATTAAGAAAATGTGGCACATATACACCATGGAATACTATGCAGCCATAAAAAATGATGAGTTCATATCCTTTGTAGGGACATGGATGAAATTGGAAACCATGATTCTCAGTAAACTATCGCAAGAACAAAAAACCAAACACCGCATATTCTCACTCATAGGTGGGAATTGAACAATGAGATCACATGGACACAGGAAGGGGAATATCACACTCTGGGGACTGTGGTGGGGTCGGGGGAGGGGGGAGGGATAGCATTGGGAGATATACCTAATGCTAGATGACACATTAGTGGGTGCAGCGCACCAGCATGGCACATGTATACATATGTAACTAACCTGCACAATGTGCACATGTACCCTAAAACTTAGAGTATAATAAAAAAAAAAAAAAAAAAAAAAAAAAAAAAAAAAAAAAAAAAAAAAAAAAAAAAAAAAAAAAAAAATTGGGATGAGCAATGAATAACATTTTAGTATAGCTAAGCAATATTTGCATATTTATGTGTAATGTGTTTAAGCAAGTATTGGAAGATATTTATACAAATAATAACATTACCCAAAATTCAAAAAAAAAAAAAAAAAAACACAGTGAAAGATGTTAAACTGATCAATGGATGCCCACTGAATACCCAGTTTTTGAAAAATCTTGTTCCTAGATTGGAGTTAACCATTTCCACCTACCACATCAAATCAAATCGTTGTCGTGATGCTAAGCTAGCTGTACAGACAAAGATGTGAGACACATTTTTTCTAATTGCAAAGCACCCTGATTAGGCAAATATTTTTGTAGAAGCTTGAGTAAGAAAATTGGCATTTTGGGCATTCTTAAACGGAATTAGTAACTTCTGAGGAAAAAGAAAGATAGTTATGATTGTAAAGGCATTATTATACGGCACCAGTCTTGGGACTCTTTGATCTAGCTACTGTATTTTCTCAACTTTCTTGTAACTCATCAAAGAGAACATTAATATTAAAGACATTTGCAAAAAAATCTGAGATATTGTTGTATCTCCATTCTCTGTCTCAAAGTTTTATTCATTACTTTACAAAAGATAATTTTAAAGTATTAAAGAAAATTAGCCAGATACAAGAAGTATTTGATTTACAAAATCCTGAAACTATAATGTTAATTGCGGTGCTAGCTACTTGGGAGGCTGAAGGAGGAGCGTTGATCGCATGAGCCCAGGAGGTTGAGGCTTCAGCGAGTCATGACCATGCCACTGCATTCCAGCCAGGGCAACACAGTGATACTTTGTGTAAAAATAACTAACTAACTAACTAACTAACTAACTAACTAAATAATAGAGGCAGTGCATGAGCCCTGGTGAAGGGCACTTTGGTTGCATTGAGCACTTGCAAATTTGAGGTGATTACATACTGTACATTACTTAACATGCATACTGTACATACTTAACATGCATATAAATTCTTTGATACTCCTCCTTGCAGAGGTGCAGCTTCATTCCCTTCCTGTGAGTGTGGCCTGAACTTAATGACTCGCTTACAGGCTGATACAGTAATGCTGACATAATAGTTTATGACTCTGGGTGTAAATCGTAAGACTCACTAAGTCTGGGAGTGGTCGCTCACGCCTGTAGTCCCAAAACTTTGGGAGGTCAAGAGAGCGGATCATGACGTCAGAAGTTCGAGACCAGCCTGGCCAACATGGTGAAACCCTGTCTCTACTAAAAATACAAAAATTAGTCGGGTGTGGTGGTGCATGCCTGTAATCCCAGTTGCTCAGGAGGCTGAGGCAGGAGAATCACTTGAACCTGGAAGTCAGAGGTTGCAGTGAGCCAAGATCCAGCCTCTGCATTCCAGCCTGGGTGACAGGGTGAGACTCTGTCTCAAAAAAAAAAAAAAAAAAAAACAAACAGAAAACAAAAAACAAAAAAGCTCACTGCAGCTTCTACTTTGGTTCTGGTTTTCTCTTTCTCCGGGATCATGAGCCCTGGGGGAAGCTGGCTGCTGTGTCATAAGCAGGCCTGTGGAAAGCTCCAAGTGACTAGGAAGTGAGGCCTCCTGGGGCCAGACAATAAGAAGATGCCTCTTCCAACAGCCACGTGGGATATTCTTGTGACTTGTGAATCCCCAGCCCCATTTGAGCCCTCAGATGATAAAGCCCTGGATGACAACTACACTGCAATTTTGTGAGAGGCCCTGAGCCAGAAGAACTTTGAGAAACCTCTCCTGGACTCCTGACCACTAGAAACTGTGGGACATGATAAATATTTGTTGACTTGAGTTGCTAAGTTTTAAGTGACTTGTTATGCATCAGTAGCTAACTAATACACCTTCACAAGAGAGGATGAATCATTGAACTTTTTCATTTGCTCTAAATTGATTATAAGATATTAAACATGTCATTTGCTTTTAATATTTAACAAGAATTTTCATGGTTATATAAGATATATTTTATTATCATTAACAATGATCTATTTTTTTTAACTTCAATTTGTATGTTCTATTCAAACACAAAAGGAAGATCCAGGCTATGCTAGACTGATTCTATGATGACACCCCAATAACCACCGTTGGTTACTCACGTTACCCCAGTTACTCTGTTGACACTAATGTAGGTGCTGCTGTGAAGGGATTTTGCAGATGTATTCCAGGTCCCCTGTCAGTTGGCTTTAAGATGGGGATTATCCTGCTTGGACTGGCCTAATCAGGTAAGATCTAAAAAGGACTGGGTTCTTCCTGAGAATAGAGACTCACAGTGTGAGAGGGATTCAGTGTGAGGGGCTTCCTCCACTGTGGGCTTTGAAAATGGAGGGATCATGGGGAAAAAATACTGGTGGCCAATAGGAATTAGAAGCCCTCCCCACTGTCTACTCTGATAGCCTGAAGGAAACGGGGACCTTAGTCCTACAATTACCAGAAACCGAATTCTGCCAACGAGCTCTATATAAGCTTGGGGGAGAATCCCAATCTTAAGATGAGGATACAGCTTTGCGAAACCCTGAACAAAGAATCTCTCACACTAGGCCTGGATTTCTGATGAAGGAAATGCAGACAAATAAATGAGTGCTCTTTTAAGCCACTACGTTTGTGGTAATTTGTTATGTACTAATAGAAAATTCATAAACAGATTCAACAGCTAAGCATATGACATTTTCTCCACTGGAATGAATTTATGAACTGATATGCATAGTAGTTGAATAAAACCAAATGTTTCCTCACTTGCTTTGCATTTTTCATTTTGTGATTTTTGTGTGACACAATTTTTAACACAATCATATTTCATTCATTCAAGAAAATTAACTTAGTGCCTACCATGTGCCAGATACGCTTTTATAGGCTGCAGGAACAACTTTGATCAAAACAACCCAAAGCCCCTGTGCTCATGTGCCTTCCATTCTAGAGGCTTCTTGAGAGTGAGATGGAGCCATTGGAGGGTTTTAAGTGAAGAAATGACACAATCTAACTCACATTAGCAGGATTTCTGACCATTGTGGGGAGAACAGTCATGGGCAGCAGGTGAGGGGACAGACCTAGGGCCACAATTCAGTAGTGACAGAGTAGTAGAGACTAAGGGGAGAGGAAGGCCTGAGAGATGACAGGGACAGAGAGAAGGGCTGGAGAAGCAGGAGGTGAGGTAAAGGAACAGAGAGAAAGAATTCTAAAGCAATAGAATTCTCAGACTTAAACACAGTGTTTTTATAGATTTGTAATGCATTCATCTGCAGAGCCTGGCACAGTGTTACTTGCACCTTGGTCTTTAATACATTCTGTGGGGCTGTCTAATAACTAATTGCCTCCTTATGATAAACAGGTTAGAAAAGAATACCAAGTGTCCTAATAAAATATGCACATAGCTTAGATGTGAATAATTCATAAATATAGGCAGGTGCATGAGATGGCCATTGTGGCTCATGCCTGTAATACCAGCATTTTGGGAGGCTGAGGCAGGAGGATCACTTGAGCTCAGGAGTTCAAGACTAGCCAGAGCAACATAGTGAGACCTCATCTCTACAAATTTGTTTTAGAAAAATTAGCCAGGAGTGGTGGTACAAGCCTGTGGTGCCAGATACTTGGAGGCTGAAGGAGGAGCTCTGATCGCATGAGCCCAGGAGGTCGAGGCTTCCGTGAGTCATGAGCATGCCACTGCACTCCAGCTAGGGCAACAGAGTGTTACTCGGTCTAAAAATAACTAACTAACTAACTAAATAAATAAATAAATAATAAATAAATAAATAAAGACGGTGCATGAGCACTGGTGAAGGGCACTTTGGCTGCATTGAGCACTTGCAAATTTGAGGTGATTAAATTCTGCCCAGGCTCCTGGTTGCAATATACGGTAACACAATGTGCTTTGTATTGAGATGTCCTGGACTCGCGCACACAAACTCAGGGCTATAAGATAAAGATAATTTAAAAATACAACAGACCAGAGTCACAGATACACAGTCTGGGAAAGTAAAACTTAACTTTGTGAGTCTAACTGCAATGCGTTTAGACACATTTATATATAATGGGGCCAAAAATCACCTCTTTTACAAATTAGATTCGCGATCATTCAGGGGTTACCAAGATTGTGCTACCCACTGTACTGTGATACCCACTGTTACTAAGATTGTGCTACTCCGCTGCGGGACCAGCGGAGATCCTCCACCAAATAAAAGCCCCAGGTGCCTATACCGGATTCCATTTTCAGTTCAGGCCCAAATCCCCGGGGGTTGGTCGAGGCTGAGGCGGGGCTCAGCGGCCTGGGCTGACCTCGGTCGCTGGGAATGGGTCTCACACCCTCCAATGGGTACACAGCTGCGACCTGGACTCGGACTGCAGCCTCCTCAGTGGGTATGAACATACCCTATGACGGCGCCAGTTACCTCGTCCGAAACCAGGAACTGCGCTCCTGGACTGCAGCGGACAAGGCGGCTCAGATGCCCTGGCGGAGGAACATGCAGAGCTGCTCGAAACCTACCTGCAGGGAAGGTGGGCGGAGTGGCTCAGCAAAGTCCTTAAGAATGGGAAGGAGACGCTGCACTGCCCAGGTACCAGTGGCCACGGGGTGCCTCCCTGATCTCCTGCAGATCTCCTTGAGTCACATTCCAAAAGAAGGGAAGGAAAATGGGACCAACGCTAAAACATCCCTCTCCCTCTTGTGAGGAGGAAGAGTCCTCCCGGGTTTTCAGATCCTATACTAGAGAGTGACTGAGGGCCTGCCCTGCACTCTGGGACAATTAAAGGATGAAGTCTTTGAGGGAAAGGAGGGGAAGACAATCCCTGAAATACTGATCTGCGGTCCCCTTTGTCCCCACAGCAGCCTTGGGCACCAGGAATTTTCCTCTCAGGCCTTGTTCTCTGCCTCACACTCAATGTGTATTTGTGGGTCTGATTCCAGCTTTTTTGACCTCGGCCTCCGCTCAGGTCAGGACCAGAAATCTCTGTTCCGGCCTCAGACACTAAAACTTTCTAAGGAATAGAAGATTGCCCCAGGTGCCTGGGTCTAGACTGGTGTCTGAGTTGCTCCCTTCCCCACTTCAGGTGTCCCGTCAATTTTCAGGATGGTCCCATGAGGTGGAATGTCCCATGAGGAATGCAAAGTGCCTGAATTTTCTGACTCTTCCCCTCAGAACCCCAAAAGACTCACATGACCCACCACCCCATCTCTGACCATGAGGCCACCCTGAGGTGCTGGGCTCTGGGCTTCTACCCTGTGGAGATCACACTGACCCAGTAGTGGGATGGATAGGACCAAATGTAGGATGCAGAGGTTGTGGAGACCACACCTGCAGGGTACAGAACCTTCCAGAAGTGGGCAGCTGTGGTGGTGTCTTCTGGAGAGGAGCAGAGATACACATGCCATGTGCAGCACGATGGGCTGCCAGAGCTCCTCACCCTGAGATGGGTAAGGAAGGAGATGAGGGGTCATGTCTCTTCTCACGGGAACTAGGAGCCCTTCAGCAAGGTCAGGGTTTGAGGCCTGATGGTCAGGGCCCCTCACGTTCCCCTCCTTTCTTACAGCTGTCTTCCCAGCCCACCATCCCCATCATGGGCATCGTTACTGTCCTGGTTGTTCTTGGTGCTGTTTTCACCAGAGCTGTGGTCACTGCTGTGATGTGGAAGAGTAAGAGCCCAGGTAGGAAAGGGGTGAGCTCCGAGTTTTCTTCTTCCATTGGTGGATTCCCAGCCCCAGATGGGAGTTGGCTTGTATCCTGCCTAGTCGTGAGGCACCATCTCTGTCTATCAACACTTACTCTTTTGTAAAGAACTTGTGAAAATGAAGGACAAATTTATCACCTTCATTGGAGTCATGAGAACCTGACTCCCAGCAGTCACAGGTCAGGGGAAGGTACCCGCAGAGGACAGACCTCACTAGGACAATTAGTCCAGTTTCAACACATCCTCTTACCTAGGGTTTCCTGATTCTGACCTGGGTCTGCAGTCACAGTTCTGGACACTCCTCTGGGATCTCATGACCCTGCTTCCTTCCTGGCCTTTCACAGTTTATTTTCTTTCCACAGATGGAAAAGGAGTCAGCTATGCTCAGGCTTCATGCAAGTGTGGTAGGGGTGGGAAGAGTGATCCCTGAGATCCTTGGGATAGTGTAGACAGGAGCCCATGGGGGAGCTCACCACCCCACAATTCCTCCTTTAGTCACATCATCTGTGGGCTCTGACCAGATTTTGTTTTTGTTCCACCCCAAACAGGGACAGTACCCAGGGCTCTGATGTGTCTCTCAAGGCTTGTAAAATGACAACTTAGGGGGCCTGAAGGGAAGGAGGAGCTGGGGCATAGGGGACACAACTAGGCTCTGGAGATTCTTTGATTTGGAATTTTTCAGGGTGTGGTGGGCTGTTCAGTGTCACCACTTACTATGACTGTTCTGAATTTGCTCATGACTATTTTTTTTCTAAGACTGCCTTGTGAGGGACTGAGATGCAAGATTTGTTCATGTCTCCCCTTTGTGACTTCAAGGGCCTCTGTCTTCTCTTTCTGCCAAGGCGTCTGAATGTGTCTACATCCCTGGTATCATGTGAGAAGTGGGGAGACCAGCCCACCTTCATGTCCACCATGACCCCTGATATTGTTTGGATCTGTGTCCCCACCCAAATCTCATGTTCACTTGTAATCACTAAGGTTGGAGGTGGCACCTCAGGGAGGTGATTGGCTCATGAGGATGGATCCTTCATGAATAGTTTAGGACCATCTCTTTGGTGCTGTTCTTGTGATAGTTCTCCCAACGTCTGGTGTTTAAAAGTGTGTGGTACCTCCCTGCTCTCTCTCCCTCCTACTCCAGGCTTGTAAGTCATGCCTACTTCCCCTTAACCTTCCAGCATGATTGAAAGTTTCCTGAGGCCCTCTCATAAGTTGAGCAGATGCCGGAATCATACTTTCATATAGCCTGCAGAACCATGAGCCAATTTAAACCTTCTGTCTTTATAAATTACCCAGTCTCAGGTATTTCTTTATAACAGTTGAGAATGAATAATTCAGAAAATCAGTACCAGAAGTTGGGTACTGCAATAAACGTAGCTGAAAATGTGAAAATGTCTTTGGAACTGGGTAACAGGTATAGGTTGGAAGAGTTTGGAGAGTTTAGAAGACAAGAAAATGGGGGAAAACTTGGAACTTCCTAGAGGTTTGTTAAATTGTTGTGACCAAAATGCTGATAGTGATATAGACAATAGAGCCCAGGCTGATGAGGTCTTAGATGGAGATGAGGAACTTACTGGGACCTAGAGAAAAGGTCACTTTTGTTATGCATTGGCAAAGAACTTGGAGGCATTCTGCCCCCTCCTTAGGGATCTGTGGAACTTTGAACATGAGGGTGATGATTAAGGGTATCTGATAGAAGAAATTTCTAAGCATCATAGCATTCAAGATTTGGCTTCCTGTTGTAATAGTCTATGCACATATGTGTGAGCAAAAAAATGATCTGAAACTGGAACTGATATTTAAAGGGGAAATTTAATATCCAGGACAATTCCCAGTGGAGCTGCAGGAGCAGGACCCCTGCCAGGACTACTAAATGGTAGAGCCACTGGCAATGTGCAAGCTCAGCTTGGAAAATCCATAGGTATTCAATTTTCACCCATGAGAGCAGCTATATGGGTTATGTTCAGCAAAGCCAAGGATGTGGGGCTGCAAATGGCATTGTGAGCCCACCACTTGAACCAGTGTGCTCAGGATTCAAGATATAGGGTCAAAGGAGATTATTTTAGAGCTTTAAATTTTAACATCTTCCATGATGAGTTTCAGCTTTGTGAGGACACTGCATTCATTTCTTTTGGCCCATTTATTCCTTTTAGAATGGAAATGTATAAGAAATGTCTCTTCCACTGTTGTATTAATATTTTAGAAGTAAATAACCTTTTTAAAACTTTACAGGCTCACAGCTATAGGGACTTACCTTGAGTCTCAGATGAGACTTTGGAATTTTGAGTTGATGCTGGAACAACCTAGCACATTTGGGACAATTGGGAAATTATCATATTTTGCAATGGGAGAAAAACATGAGCTCTGGCTGGCTAGGGACAGAATGCAATGATATAAATATTTACCCCCTGATACCTCATGTTAAAATCTGACCCCCAGTGTTGGATGTGGGGCCTAATGGGTGCTGTTTGGGTCATGGGGGCCAATCTTTTATGAATAAAGAGATCCTGTCCTCTCTCGGAAGTGAATGAATTGTTACTCTTTTAGTTTCCAAGAGAGCCAGTTGTTAAAAAGAGCCTGGCAACTTCCTAAGCTCTCTGTTCCTCTCTTACCGTGTGAACTCTGCACATACCAGCTCCCCTTTGCCTTCTGCCATGGGTGGGAGCAGCCTGAGGCCCTCATCAAATGCTCAAACATTTCCAGACATCAGAATCCCAAGCCACATGAACCTTGTTTATATAAATTAGTCAGTCTCTGACATTTCTTTATAGCAACACAAAATGGAATAAGACAGCGCTCTCATCACAGGTATGTGTCTCTGGCAGCCAGCCCCCATTCTCAAGATATCCAGGGTCCGCTCAGCCATGAGTCCTCTCATTAATATTCTAACTCTTATCACGCAAGAGATTCTAAGGTTTTTAGGAGAAACCAGGGACAAAGACTAAATGCTTTTGTTTTACCTCAGATTACCCGCTTTTCTTTGACCACATATCTTTTATAGGAAAAGGATTATAAAAGTAAAGAGGTATTGGCGTATTATCAGAGTCTCATTCAGTCATTCAAAATTAGAACAGTTTACCATCCTCTCGTATGAATATGTCTCCCAGAATGAAGTCACTCAGGTTTGCAGACACCACTCAACCTTACCAGGCTCCAAAAACAAGAATGGTCTCAAGGACATATGGCTTCACTCTTTTAGGCACCCAGTATAATTGACCTAAGAGACAATATCTTCTCTTGCTCACAGCACTTTTGAGGAGTTAAGCTAATATTGAATTTTCCTCATTATATAACCCTTTGATTTATTCACTTACCCTCAGCCACTATTCCTCCTTCTGTCCCTTTATATCAGTCTTTTCCAGTTTTAGAGGTGACATCAGGTTTGTCTGCTGTGCTGACCTAGACTGCAGGCAGCAATAGTATTCTAGCATGCCTTCCCTCGGTCTACTCTTGGTCATAGAGGGTAGGTTATGTAGGTAAGGAACTAGTGGGGGCCATCTGACTACCAGGCTATATAGCTCTATTTACTGTTAATCCTGACTTTGCCAGATGAAATGAAGGCATAGCACCATCTTTGAGTTGCTTGGGAATTCTTATATAAAGATGTAAATATATAGTTATGGTTTTTGGCTTAAAGATAATTCCTGTTTCTGGCACTTTGATTTTCATCCCTATTCCTGGTACCACTGCATCACATATGAAAAAAGAAATTTGAGGTGAAGCGTAGTCATTATTCCAGCATCCTCTCCCCTTCAGAAGAATTGTATGTATAGTCATAACAGCATCGTCCTGATCCATCAGGTAAAAGAGAGGAAGCTATCTAGAGGAGTCACTCTTGCAGCCCCACCCATGTGGACAGTGAGCACATTCATGAAGATGTAAAAGCCAGTCCTTCATGTTTATATTGCCCAACAACTATATTGCCAGTTTTTAGACAAACAATGCTTCAACTGACCATTTCAATTTTCTATCAAAGTTTTCTTCTGAGGAGGACATCTCCCTGTGCATTGTTAGCCATTTGAGGCTGTAAAGTGTGTTTTCTTGCGTAAAGAAATGGGACTCAGCAGTCCACATTGGTGCAATCTCTTTTTTTCTGGTGATTTCATAGCCCTTGAAGCATTGACCTCTTCCCCTGGTTGAGCATAGCCCAATCCAGAGTCAGTGACTTTCCTGTCAAGATCCCTTGGCAGCTCCTTTGGGGTTGCTGCCATCAGTCTGGCTTGCCAGCCATGTATGATCAAAGCCTTCCCACTAGAGAATCACATAGCCATCTGCTGCCTCTGTCTGTTTTCTTGACCAACAGTCAAAACAGAGATGATAAGAAATGAGATAAATTACCAAAATTGTGAACAAAAGAGAGATTATCACTAGTGACCCTTTAGAAATTCAAAAGCATTATAAGTGAAGACTCTGAAAAACCTGAAGTCAATAAGTTAGACCACTTAGATAAAATGGACAGATTCATACAAAGATAGAAATTGCCAAAACTGACTCAAAAATAACTAGAAAACCTGAAATAAGGAAAAACAAAAAATAATAATGTATTGCTGTTTTATCTGGCCTAAAAAGTCCATTTGTCAGCCTTCAGTCCTTTGGCCTAAGTTTAGCTCAAATAAGGACTGTATATGCCAAGCTTTAATTCTCTATGTGAATGATAAAACCCCATCTTCACAAGAGGAGATGGGTTATGCTGTTTGCTGGATTAGTGAATTGAGCCCCGTGTTCCCCCTTAAAGAGAAATAAAAAGAGCATAGTAAAGAGCCCTCACCCAGTGAAAAGCCCTGGGATCCCCTAACACGCTTGCCCTACACCCTATACATCTCACAAAGTAGAGGACAGGGAGATCAGGGGGCAAAAGGAAGGTCAGAGGAAAAGGATTTGGGAGGTCATGAAGGAGCTAAACCCAATGCTCCCTTAAATCCTTATCCAAACTTGAGGAAAGAATTAGAACAATGTAAGGAAGGACAAACCTGATAAAAACAAGCAATGGGGAAAGGATTCCCGATTTAATAAATGGTGTTGGGAAAACTCGCTAGCCATATGCAGAAAACTGAAACTGGACCCCCTCCTTACACCTTATACAAAAATCAACTCAAGATGGATTAAAGACTTAAACATAAGACCTAAAACTGTAAAAACCCTAGAAGAAAACCTAGGCAATACCATTCAGGATCTAGGCATGGGCGAAGACTTCATGACTAAAACACAAAAAGCAATGGCAACGAAAGCCAGAATTGACTAATGGGATCTAATTAAACTAAAGAGCTTCTGCACAGCAAAATAAACTATCATCAGAGTGAACAGGCCACCTACGGAATGGGAGAAAATTTTTGCAATCTGTCCATCTGACAAAGGGCTAATATCCAGAATCTACAAAGAACTTAATTTACATGAAAAAAACAAACAACTCCATCAAAAAGTGGGCGACGGATATGAAAAGACACTTCTCAAAAAAAGACATTTATGTAGTCAACAAACATATGAAAAAAGGCCCATAGTCACTTATCATTAGAGAAATGCAAATCAAAACCACAATGAGATACCATCTCACACCAATTAGAATGGCGATCATTAAAAAGTCAGGAAACAACAGATGCTGGAGAGGATGTGGAGAAATAGGAACGCTTTTACACTGTTGGTGGGAGTGTAAATTAGTTCAACCATTGTGGAAGATAATGTGGCAATTCCTCAAGGATCTAGAACCAGAAATACCATTTGACCCAGCAATCCCACTACTGGATATATACCCAAAGGATTATAAACATTTTACTATAAAGATACATACACACATATGTTTATTGCGGCACTGTTCACAATAGCAAAGACTTGGAACCAATCCAAATGCTCATCAATGATAGACTGAATAAAGAAAATGTGGCACATATACACCATGGAATACTATGCAGCCATAAAAAGGATGAGTTCATGTCCTTTGCAGGGACATGGATGAAGCTGGAAACCATCATTCTCAGGAAACCATCAGCTACGTGTTCTCTGGGTCTCTCAGAGAAAGACCCACAAGAACAGAAAACCAAATGCTGCATGTTCTCACTCAAATGGGAGTTGAACAATGAGAACACATGGACACAGGGAGGGGAACATCACACACTGGGGCCTGTCTGAGGGTAGGGGGCTAGGGGAGGCATAGCATTAGGAGAAATACCTAATGTAGATGATGGGTTGATGGGTGCAGCAAACCACCATGGCACATGTATACCTATGTAACAAACCTGCATGTTCTGCACATGTATCCCAGAGTTTAAAGTATAATAATGATAATAATAATAAATTGGATTTGTAAGTGTGCCTTTAACAAGTACTGAGGTTAGGAATTTTAAAAAGGAAATTAGGCCACTCTCGGAAGATCCCCTCAGTTTAGCAGAACAGCTAGATCAATTTTTAGAACCTAATTTTTATACTTGGGCTGAGATAATTCAATCATGAATATTCTGTTTACTGGGAAAAAGACGGGAATAATTAGAAGGGCAGCCATAATCATTTGGGAGAGACAGCAGCATCCTCCTGGGTAAGGAGTCCTGCCAGCTAAGCAGAAATTCCCAAATGCAGACCCTGGATGGGATAATAATGACCCCAGGGATCGGGTCCAAATGCAAGACCTTAGGGAGCTAATAATTAGAGGGATTATGCAGTCCACTCATAGGACACAAAACGTCCCCAAAGCATTCAAGATCCAACAACAAGAAGAGGAGACTCCCTCTGCATTTCTGCAGAGGCTCAGGGATCAAGTGAAAAAATATTCAGGATTAAATCCAGAGGACCCAGTAGGGCAAGGCCTTTTAAAGGTTAATTTTGTAACTAAAAGCTGATGTAATATTACAAGAAACTGCAAAAGATTAACGGATGGAATAAAAAACCAATTAAGGAAATACTGAGGGAAGCTCAGAAAGTTTGTGTGTGTGTGTGAAAGAAAGAGAGAGAGAGAGAGAGTTAAGCTGCTATACCTGAAGGAAGAGAGAGCCAGCGGCACAGCTGTGTGTGGCAGCTGGCTTCTAAAAGCTGTTGATAAAGGTTACTGCTGAGTCATTTCCGCAGAGCTGCCTGTTTTTGCAGACAGACAAGGGGAGCCAGGGCACAGCACAGTTCGGCTCATGCCCAGAGAAAGAGGAAGAAGCTGAGTGTGAGACAGAAAGGAAACAGGGGATGACAGAGAGAGAATAGAAGAGGAAAATTAGCAAGAGAGACTAAAAGAGACAGAGATCAAAGAGAAACACAGAAGGTAAAACTGGGGAGACAAATAATGTAAAAGGAAAAAAGAGTACAAGACAAAGTGAGAGAATGCTGAGAGGTTGGCAGGGCTGGGGGAAGTTTCTGGGGACTTAAGCAACAAGGAGGTGCAGGGGAAGGGTGCATGCAGTGCGTGGCCACTGAGGAACGACAAAGCCCGGGAACAGGGGGATGGATGCAAGTGAGAAAGGGATGTGGAGGAGAGTTTAGGATCAGGCTGCCTGAGGTGTAACGGGTTGCCTACAGCAAAAACTAGATGGCTGTTTATCAGGAGGTGGTCAAAAGGATTCAAGTTATGGAAGAGTAAATGAATAAGATAACATTAAGGTTTTGTTGTTGTTTTAGTGAGAGGCTGGAAGGCCACCAGGGGCAGTTAGCTGTCAGTAAGGCAGCAGAAGGGCTGGGGTCGCTACATAAGGAAAATCAGTACTAGGGCTGTAAACTCAAATGACTACAGGGCCAGCAAATAATAAAAAGGAGGGCTGCAGGGCTGGGTGGGAACTGTGGCGGCTGCTCAGCTCTTCTTACAGTGCTGGCACTGTGTTGCCAGATTGTCTGCTTTGTCAGAGGACAAAATTCTGACTTTTTATGTAAAATATAATTTTAAAATGCTGATATTCTGTTCAAATAACTTAAAAACCCAAAACAGGCAAAAGAGGATGCCAGTTTGCAATCCCTGAAGTAGAGAGAGCTCGTGCTGGGGAAAAGTCTGCCAAAATGCTTTAAGGTGGAATGTGTAAAAGTTCTGTTTCCCAGAGTCGGGCTGGGCCAGGGGAGGATCCTTGCAGCCCAGGAGGAGGAAAAGCCACTAAGTCCCCTCCCAGGGCTGGACAAACTGGAGACCCTTTACAGTTGCTGGGTCACCAGTGGGGGTTGCTTGAAACACAAACAGTGCACCTCTAGGCCTGCCACGGAGAGGAACGGTGCCTTTGAAGCACAAAAAAAAAAAAAACAGGAAGGGAGGGCGGAGCCAGAAATGCCTTTTCTAATGAGAGTACCCATCAGGGAAGGCTCCATAGGCTGGCAGATCTTCAAACCAGCAGCTCTTGGCCCAAAGCCAAACCCAGCAGGGCCCGGCCAAGGGCACTCTGGGATGCCAGCTGATCAGTCCCTTGCCTCCCCAAGTTCCTCCTGGGGTCAATGGGCCCTCGGGAGGTGACTAAACTAACACCAGCCAGTTTCTTATGAAAAGGAGAGGAGAATAAGAAGGCGTCAGAGTATAACTGTTTAGATATCACAGAGTATCAAACTAAAGTTAGTACCAAACCTTAAAGGAACTCTACTACATAATGGGATGAGGTTGTTTATGAATGGGTCATCCTGAGTAATAAATGGTAAAAGACACAATGGCTGTGCTGTCATGAACAAAAACAAACAATCCTTATGTGAAAAAGTTAAATTACTCAATAACTGGTCAGCCCAAACCTGTAAATTTTATGCTTTTAACCAGACCCTAAAGCTCCTAGAAGATCAAGAAGACACTATATATACTAATTCCAAATATGCCTATAAAGTAGTACACACCTTTGAAAAAATCTAGACAGAGCAGGGCCTAGAAAATAGCAGGGCAAAATAATTGGTACATGGGGAACAAGTTTTAGAAAGCCTCCTGTTTCCAGCAGAGACAGCCATAGTTCATGTAAATGGCCATCAGAAAAGAAACACTATAGAAGCTGTAGGGAACAGGCTTGTGGATAAGGCTGCTAAGCAAGTCTCCCTGGAGGAAAAATTTAAACTGTTTAGCCCAGATATCCCTAAGGTGATATTAAAACCCCAATTTTCAAAAGAGGAGGAAAAGCTAGGCAAGATAGGAGCCACTTAAACTAAGAATGGAAGGTGAGTGCTCCCTGATGGGAGAGAAATAATAAACAAACCCATAATAAAAAATCTAATGTTGGCCGGGTGCGGTGGCTCATGCCTGTAATCCCAGCACTTTGGGAGGTGGAGGCGGGTAGATCACAAGGTCAGGAGATCAAAACCATCCTGGCTAACACAGTGAAACCCTGTCTCTACTAAAAATACAAAAAAGTAGCCGGGGCGTGGTGGTGGGTGCCTGTAGTTCCAGCTACTCGGGAGGCTGAGGCAGGAGAATGGCATGAACCCAAGAGGTGGAGCTTGCAGTGAGCCGAGATCGTGCCACTGCACTCCAGCCTGGGTGACAGAGCGAGATTCTGTCTAAAAAAAGAAAAAAAATCTAATGTCTATATTGCATAAGGGAAGTCATTGGGGTCCCCAGGACATGTATGATGAAATACTAAAGAATTATGGGTGTATAGAAATGTATGCCCTGGCTAAACAAGTGTGTGGGAATTGTGTGAACTCCCAGGAAACAACTTAAGGTTAAAAGAACTTGTAACACAAACCCCACCCCTTGAGTTCACAGTTCACCACTTCCAGCTTGGCAACTCAGTGCTAATTAAGACTTGGAAAGAAGACAAGCTCCACCCAAGCTGGGAAGGTCCCTATCAAGTGAGGCAGCTGTACAAACAGCTGATCAGGGGTGGACACATTACACTCGGGTCAAGAAACTGGTTAAAAAAAAAACGGAAGGTAAATTGGAAGTGTATAGATCACCTAAGAAACCCTTTAAGCTAATTCTAAGGAAAACCTAAAAGTAAGCCATAAGCAGGCTCCATCACTGGGGGCTGATATGGTTAGAATTAATCCTAACACAAGGGGTGAAAGGAAACCTAAGTATTGTATAAGAACCACACGCCACCTAACTGTAAAAATTTAAAGTGCAATCCTATATTAATTACTATAAACAACCCAGCTACTCTAAACCAGAAATCTTGAAGTTATAAATTAAAAATAAATATCTCAGAAAGGAATCCCGTGGGACAGTTAGCTTTTAGGTTAGTCACCAACTCTACCCCAAGCCCACCCAGAATTACTAGAACTCCTGGTCCCATTAACTTCCTTTAACCCACCAAACAATAAACCTAAGAGAGTAAAAATAATTAAAGTAACTGACTTAAGGCAGACTTTAAAAATTAAAACAGGATATAGAGACATAAATGCCTGTGTTAAATGGGTGAAATTTTCAGCACAAGCCCTCGATAAAAGTAACTGTTATGCATGTGCTGCTGGTCAACCTCAGGCACAGGTGGTTCCATTTCCCCTTGGATGGGATACTAATCCCAAAGGAATGTGTTGCGTGTTGGCTGTATACCAAGACAAGGTTGCATGGGGAAATAAGACTTGTAAAAGTCTGTCATTGCTCTTTCCCACTTTGCAGAGATCAGATCCTAAAGCAATCCCCTCATTCTCTATAGGGAATATAAATCACTCCTGTTGTCACTCTAGACAGAAGGTGAGGTTCGATAAACCTGTGGGAAAACTCGCAACCTGCACCCACATCCTAAATGTCACTGGTAACCCAGACTGTGGCAACCATTCAACTCTCCATATACCCCAGGCAAATGTCTGGTGGTATTTCGGGAAAGGGAACCTCCGTAACTTGTTACCGTCCAATTGGACCGGGACTTGTGCTTTAGTACAATTGGCCATTCCGTTCACCCTGTCATTCCATGAAACAGCTAAAAATACACATGGTCATAGAGATCAGAGTAATTTAGCAATTTATTTTAACCCATATATAATGTGTGTGTGTATATATATATATATACACACACACACACAAACATATACATATACATATATATACACACACATATATATACACACACACACACATATATATATACACACACACATACACACAAGGCTTCTGGAACAGTGGATGAAAGCTTTGTATATCTATCTATCCATCTATCTATCTATTTATCTATCTAAACTCCATAGGAGTACCTAGAGGAGTGCCTAATAAATTTAAAGCACGAAACCAAATACCTGCTAGATTTGAGTCAGCACTTTTCTGGTGGTCAACTATTAACAAGAATGTAAATTAGATTAATTACATGTCTTATAATCAGCAAAGATTCATCAATTACACGCAAAATGCCCTTAAGGGAGTAGCCAGACAACTAAATGCCACTAGCTAAATGGCTTGGGAAAACAGAATTACACTGGACATAATATTAGCAGAGAAAGGTGATATATGTGATATGCTGGGTGGAAAATGTGACACTTCCATTCACAACAATGCTGCCCCAAATGGAACCATCATAAAGGGATGGCAGGGACTAACAACTCTAGTCAACGAGCTGGCAGAAAACACAGGAGTAAATGACCTTTTTACTAACTGGTTAGAAGGTTGGTTTGAAAAATAGAAAGGAATGGTACCTTCAATTCTTACATCTCTCGTGATTATGGCTGGGGTCTTAACAGCCATAGGATGTTGTATCATACCTTGTGTGAAGGGTTTATTTAACACAAAGGTTAATTAAAGCAGCTATTAGTAAACAAATGCCCCTAATGTCCCAACAGAATGACTTACTATTATTAAAAGCCAAACTAAACTTCTCCTCCTATAATGAAGAAAGTAAAAAACTTCCAGAACAGTTAATAAACAAAGATATGTAAGTGAAAATAAGACCAAAAAGGGTAAAAAGAAAAAGAGGAGGTAAGTGTAAAAAATAACCTACATGTGAAGAAGGTTCATTTTCATAAGTGCCTTAGAATATGTTTAAGCAGGCCACATGGAAACAAAGAGATAAAGAAGCAAAATATACTAAGCCACAATCCCCTCCTTCCTGCTTTCCCTTTGACCCAGTGTCCAGGAGCCTACTGGTCAGGGCCCCCTCAATGACCCCCCTCCCCACCTCACCAAAGAATTTAGTTTGGGCTAGCTTGCCATCACCTAAGTGCAGCCACTAGGGCCATAAGTCAAATGCTCAGAGTCTTGAGACAGTCGCCATGCATTATGGGTGGCTGCAACAAAATGCAGCAAAAAATGCAGCAAAAAGACCCTAAAGAACATACTTGAAGTCTTAATACAACTACCAATAGGCGATGCCCAGGAAGACTATAACCCCGTAGTACTCAGCTAATGAGGAATTGGGGAAGGGACTTGCACACTAGGGAAGAAATAGTTTGTTGAAACTGTCCCAGGTGTACCTGCACTCCAGACACCTGATCTTGCAAGACTGTCATTAAAAGTCTCTCTTTCGCTGTTCTCTGGGTCTCTGAGTCTATTCTTTGGGTTTGAATGGGTGAGTTTCTTTCTCACAGGGATGTAGATGGCAACGTGGCTCTCATTCCCCTCCCAAATACCCCAACTTTCATCGCCTGTTCCAGAAGCCTTGTCACCTACAAGCCTATCTGCACAGAAGGTATGAGGGGACCCTACAGCCCAGACAGGGACCCTCCCATCTCTAGCAACTGTCCCCTTTTCTCACCTGGACCCTCTGCACCTGATGTTGTCTTCTTCTTGCATCAAAGGACACAGAGAATAATAATACTACTAATAATACTAATGATGATGAAAGCAGCAACAGCAGCAACATATGGAATGGCTGGTCATCAACTCTGAAGCACCAGGGCCATCCCTGAAAAAAAGGGCCTGTTACACACTGGGCACCCACAGCCACAGCCGTTCCTGCTGCCCCCACCCTGGCCTGATCCTCCTTATGTTGGAACCCTCAAGGGTGGTCCCAGGTTCACTAGAGGACACAGGGTGAGTGCTGTGATTCCTGCTGTATCCCATGGAGCAGATGACCCTCTGCTCCTCTCCTTGGGGAATCCTGCAGGCCACCTCTGTGTGGTAGGTCCCATCCCATTGGACAGAACACCCCAAGACTGCTGGGCATCCTGGCTCAAAGACGCCCCATCCTGTCACCAGGTCAGAGAGATATTCTGGAGATTCAAGCCAGAGCCCAGCATATCAGGGTGATGTTGCCCTCCAGGGCCTCACTGCAGGCCACACTCATGGTGGAGGAGTGGGGGACTGGAGAAGAAAGGGCAGAGACAATGAGGCACATGGCCAAACCCTGCTCCCCTCTAATGGAGATGCAGGGAATAGGGCTGGTCCGCTCCACTGCTCCGACTCTGGCAGAAGTCCTCACGGACCCCAGACCTTCTGCAAGTCTGTCCTCACCCTGGGGACCAATTCCTCAAGGCTGGCAGAAGGATGGGCCTCGAGACTGTGTCTTTATGCTCTGGGATCCCTGCATTGATGCTGAGGAGGGGAATGTCAGGGGTGGGCTCCTGGTACATGGGGCCAGAGGGAACTCTTAGGGATGGGCAGGCTGGGAAGCAGATGGGGCAGCCTTGGCCCTGGGGCCTTCCTCTCCTGCCTGACACACACCCAGGTTCAGGCTTCTGTCAAAGGGCCCACTGCTTCCCCAGATTGTGACACTGGACCCTTCAATCCCTGACCCACTGTCTTTTTCCAGTGGCTCTAACAGGAGAGAAAAATCAGGATATAACACACCAACAGAAAACACATGCATCCATAGCACAAGGAGGGTTTCCCTGGACAGAGTTGGGGGTCGGGGTGACTCTAGTGGAATAGGGGAGAGGAAAGCCCCTACCCAGGCCCAGTACCTGCTCTCCTGACACCCACACAGGATTCCAGATACTGCTGTAGTTTCTGCCTGCAGTCTACCCATATAGGGTGAGAGTGTGTCTCGGCCGGCATAGCATCTTCCTTCTAGAAATTTGTGATATTCATAGCAAAGGTCTGAGTTCTGGAGGACTGGGATACTGTCCATTCCTGAGTCTCCAGGTTGAGAGAGAGGAAGAGCTACCCATAAGAGTAGGAATGCCTAGAGCCCCTGGTGCTGCTGGCTTCCTGATCTCACAACCCCTAATCTCCTGGAGGGAATGCAAGGCTACCCCCACCCAGCAGTTCCAAGTGAGGAACTCAGACCAGAGGAGACCCCTCCCTGGCCCTCCTCCATGCCTTTCTGTGTGGGCTGAGTGCCAGGTTACCTCCCCACCGAGCTCTGCTGACCCCTATTCCTCACCCCTGCCCCCAGCCAGATCCAGTGGGGACAGACAGGTCCCTGCTCTCTGCCCCCAGCTCTCCTGGAAAAGGTCTCCCATCACTCTTGCCTGCTGCCACCTCTCACCTCCCTTCTGTCCCTTGATATATGCCAGGGCCCTTCTGAGGTCCTGCCCATTCTCTGTCAAGTCCTCAGTCTCTGTGTCCCAGGTCTCAGCTCCCAGAACTGCTTCTGCCCACTGTCCCCAGGACCCAGCCCTGCCTTTCTGCCTGTTGAAGAGCAGGAAGGGCTGACCATCCAGATGTCCCTCAGCAAGAAACCCTGACTGCACAGATCCATCCCGGGACAGCACCGTGAGGTTGTAATGAAGACTGTGGGGCCCTGGGGAACAAGAAACCACGGATGAAACTTCTTCCTGGAAGTAACTTCACATTGATGTTTAACACACAGGTCTGCTGTCTCAACCTTTCTGAGGAGGCAGGAAATGTACATATGCAAAGGGACAAGAATGAAGATTTCAGATACAAGGAAAACTGGGAGGGCAGGAGGATGGAGGAGCAGACTGAGGAACAGAAGAAGGGGGAATGGAGATGGCAAACATGTAGGCCAGCTGCCAAGGCAGGGTGGCCACAGGCCACCTAAGGGTATAGGGAGGAGGCCAAGGAGAGAGGCTGCCCTGCAGTGGTGAGGGAGGAGCACGAAGGCAGTGGTGGAAGGAAGGTCTTGCCAGAGGGGAGGGTGGAAATGGGAAGGGACCCAGGCTCAGAGGGACCCATGACCAGCATGGCTGTGCTACACAGGTGAGGGTGAGATGGAGTCGCGGGCCGCTGCCTTTGAGGAAGGCTCATCATGTACAAGATGGGAGTAAGGGAGGATCAGTGCATCTTTTCCAGAAACAGTGCCAGGAAAACGACATTCACATGCAAAAAGAAATGAAGTTGGACTCCTGACTTACACCACATATACAAGTTAACTCTAAATAAATCAAAGACCTACACTCAGGAACTAAAACTGAAAAATTCTTAGAATGAAACATTGGGAATAATCTTCATGACATAGGTTTTGACAACACTTTTATGGATATAACACCAAAGCACAGACAACAAAGAAAAAATTGATAAGTTGGACCCATCAAAATAAAAAAAATTGAGCATTAAAAAACACAATCTGCAGAGTGAAAAAGCAACCATTAGAATGGAAGAAAATATTTGCAAATCATTTATCTAATAAAAGATTAATATCCAGAATACATAAAGAATTCCTGTAACACAAACATAAGACTCAAAAAAACTATGTAGGCAAAGAATTTGAATAGCCAATTCTCCGAAGAAGACATACAAATGGCCAATAGACACATGAAAAGATGCTCAACATCTGTAGTTATTAGGGAAATGCAAATCAAAACTGCAATGGGCTACTACTTCACACCAATTAGGATGGCTATAATCAAACACACACACACACACACACACGCACACACACAGAGAGAGAGAGAGAGAGAAAGCAAGTTTGGCAAAGAGGTAGAGAAACTGGAACATTTGTGTAGTACATTGGGAAAGACAAAGTGGGGCACCTGCTATGGAAATCAGTGTGTTGCTTCCTCCAAAAACTAAAAAATTAATTACTATGTAATCCAGAAATTCTACATCTGGGTATTTACCCAAAAGAAATGAAAGCAGGAACATTAAAAAGATATTTGAACACTCATGTTCATAGCAGCATAATTCCCAATAGCCAAATTCATAGAGACAGAGAGTAGAACCAGTGGTTCCAGCGGCCAGGGGGAAGGAGGAATGGGGAGCTACTGTTTAGTAGGCACAGAGTTTCAGGATGCACAAAAATGTGAATGTACTTAATGCCACTGAACTGTACACTTTTAAATGGTGAAAATAGTGAACTTTATATATATATTTCACGACAATTAAACAACAAAAAAGAAATTGTCACAGCATACCAAACAATAATATAGAATTAGAAAGAGGCTGGGGTCCTGGTCAGAGAGAAAAAAAACAAGGCCTGAGGAAGGGCCTTCAGAGAGGAGTGGTGCTGAAGGCGGAGCAGTCACACTCCAAAAGAGGGTTCAGGTTAGAAAACCCTCACAGGAGGAAGGTGGTGCTGGGAGAAGGCCCAGAGGAGGGGATGACCACAGCCCACTATGTGGTAAGTGAAGATTTTGGATATGAAGTCTAGGAACTGACAGCCCACCGGGGTCAAGGAACCGAAAGAGGATGAGGGTCAAGGAGCCGTTGGACTAGAGCCTGTGTTGGGTCTGGGTGGGGGTGAGGAGATGGGCAGGGCAAGGACTAAAGGGTGGCATGAGAAGGAAGGGGGGGTGACCCTGGGAGAACTTGGGGTAAAGTGAGAACAGGAAGGGAGGGGTTGTCTGGGGGAGGGTGGGGTTTGGGGAAGGTGAGAACTTGCTGAGGGCCCAAGGCAGCTGGTCAAGAGGTGGGAACAGCACAAGGTCCCAAGGCAGAGAGGGGCAGAGGGACCAGGGAGGGATGGTCCAGCACCTGAGGGTTTCAGGGTGGGGTCCTCAAGAGGGTGAGGCTGAGGATGAAGGAGTGGGGAACGGGTCACCTGAGGCAGGGCCCAGAGCAGGCATCTGCACTGGAGGGGAGGGAGCATCTGCGTTGCCCTGCGCCCTGCCTAAGGCCCAACTTTCATTAGCACCAGGGCTCCCCTTAAGTGGCCTGGAGGGGAGTGGGATGGAGGGAAGACTCCCCCGACAAAAGGCAGCACCAGAAAGTTAGGGTCAGGGACAGCTGGGAATGGAGAGGCATAGGGGCAGCACTGGGTGAAGGCTGCTTGTAGGAAAGGCCCATAAGGGAGGCAGGAGGGACCTGCGGTGGTGGGAGCAGGGGATGAGGGCAGAGGACACCCTACAAATGGATCAGAGAACTGCAGATAGAAAGGGGTAGCAGGGAGCAGGGAGGGCAACAGGACCCAGGGGGCCATGAGAAAGGAAGCTGAGGAAGTAGGAGGGAACTTGGTGTCCTTAGACCATTGGAGTCCACAGTAGCTGGGAGGGTTGACAGAGGAAAGAACCCTGGGAACGGGAGGCGAAGGGAGAATGAGCTGGGGATGGGAGCAGTCGCAGGAAGAATCCTCTGCCTGGAGCCGGCAGACTCCAACCCCTCAGCTTGAGACTCAGGAGCCCCATAGTCCCCACAGCAATAAGAAGCACCAGCTCCTGGTCCCGAAAAAAGGAGGGCCCCAACTCCAGGGACTGCGGCCCGCCCTGGAGCTGAGAACACGCGGACTCCAGGGAGAGGACAGGGCTTCAGGGACCCGAGAGCCGCTCTGAGCACCGGGGGATGTGACTGCCTCAGCGGCAGAGCTGGAAGGGCCCTCGAATGCCATTCACAGGAACAGCCCAGGAACCCAGGGACTTCAGAAGGTTTGTCCAAAAAGTGAGAGGAGGCGGAGGAGAGGTGAGGAGAGCAAGTGCAAGAAGAGACCAGAAAGTGCAGGGGGTGGGGGTGATGCGCGATCCCGAGGAGGACTGAAAAGAGACTGAAAAGCAGGGCTGAGGAGTGGCGGCAACCGGCAGCGTCCAGCTCCCGCACCTCGCTGCACATCGCACCTGAGCCCCGCCGCGACCGCATCGCGCTCGCTGCGACCCATTCAGACCCCCCAGAAACGCCAAGCCGCTCCCGCTCTAGCCGAGGGCTAGAACAATCCTGCCACCTCAGCCTCCTGAGTAGTTGGGACTACAAGCGAGTGCCACCACGTCCAGCTGTCATTTACCATCTGGTACCAACCCCCATTAGACAATGAACCATCCATGATCACGAACTGTGTCCCTTCCATCTTCGTCAGCTTTACGAGCATTTTTTTTTCCAATGGAACTCTACCTATGATTACTAACCATTCCCCAGGACCCCTAGCCTACACTTTTCTGTAGATGAAAATGTCATACACCACAGAGTTTTAACAATTACTTAGTTTTCCCATCCACATTCACTGATTATTTATTTCGAGCATTATCATTTATTGAGCACAGCAGGGACTGGGGTCTTGTCCCCACCTTACAGGGATTATTTACACTGCTAAAGGTCACAAGGGTAGTGAGGGGCAGAGAGGGAGATGGACCCAGCTCTCCTGACGCTGGTCCCAAGCTCTTCCCTCCACAGTGTCTACCCTCTCTCGAGGACTTTTTCTCCCTGTGCCAGTTCCAGCAAAGGATCTCATTCAGCTCACCCCCAAGAAGACTTTTAATACTTCAATGACGATGATACTAATAATAATAATATGCAAAGTTTGTTCCAACGCATTTAGAGGTGATCGCGACAAGACATGAAGCCAATCCCTCCCTTTCTGGGGTAGGGGAGGCAGTGATGATCTTGGACTTTGGATGAGTCGCTCCCCAGGGTCTAGGCCTGGCTGCCCCTCCCCAACCAAATCTCCCAGGTCTTTTCTGTCCAAAGCCCTCCCCCTCTACCCTACCTCCAGCCCCTTCTGCTCTGAGCCATCAACTACGTTTTCTCCCTCAGCACTCGCCTTAGATTCCTGGACTTACCAGCACAAAGGTGATTTTCTCCTCGCAGACTGTAGGCGCCACTGCTGGGTCCGGAAAAGAAAGAGAAAAGGCCCAGCGCGGTCGCGTGTGTAACTCAGGACGCGGCTGCGCTGGGCGCCCGAGCGCGTTCTCAGGACTGCGGCCCGGAGTTCACTGCGAGGACTGGGATCACCCATCATCCCGCCCTGGTCTACGGAAAATGACAAGTGTTTACTGATATAGAAACGGAATAACGGCGCTGTGGGCTGGGGAGGGCCGAGCTGCCTTCAGGTTTCTGGGCTCCAGCTGCGGGGCACTCACACCTGCCGCTGTGAAAATGCAGACCCGCGGGGCAGGAATTCCGAGTCCGGGCTGGAGCGCGATCTGGAATCTGACTCGCTTGAAACAGCACCGCGGTGGATTCGGAGCCGGGTGAGTAGGGAAAGGCGCCTCAGCCCCTCCCGCAGGCCGCCCACTGATTCCAGGATCCGAAAACGCTTCCAGCTGCTCCGTCACCCCAGGAAGGCAGCGCCCGCCTCTGGGCGGTTCTGGTGGAAACGGGCTCCGCCGCCCGCAGGAAAACTCACAACTAAGGGACCAGGAAAAAGCCTCTCAGGGTCCCGCGCCTTCAGTGAGGATCCTAATTTACACCCCGAGTGTGGCCCCGTCAAAGACTAGAGCGAAGGTCACTGAAATGACACAAGATCAGCGAGGCCCAGGGCGCTGCCGCTCACAGAATGCGGAGACACGGCTGCCTCGCGTCCCTTCCCTGACCTGCCCCAGGCGGACGCGGTGACGTGTGTTTGCCTCGAGGCTGGAATACATGGGGATCAAATGCAGAGAATGGAGAAAGGAGGGAAGGATGGGGGGACATTTCGAGGAAAGGAAGGGAGAGGGAGAAAAGGGGAGAGGAAAGGTGAAGGTGAGAATAATATCTGAAAGATGTAGTTTTATTATTTCTAATTTTATTTTTGCCCTTTATCTAGTTTTGTTATTTATGAACATTTTTACCAAAGCTTTTTTTTCTCTGTGTGTGAATCTGTAAATATACGGCTTATTATTCTTATTTCAGAGCCTGCGAGGTCAAGCTGCAGAGAACATGAGCTTCTACCTCCAGATGTGCCAGGGTGCATCTCGTGGGTGCAAGAACAAGGGTTTTGTTTTGTTTTACAAAATCAAAGTACAAATCTCAAATAGAATAATATTTTTAAACCATTATTGGGACATACTTTGCACACAATCAATGTATCTATTTGAAATGTACAGCTCATTGAGTTGTACTGCTTGGCTGTTTTACACACCCACATATCCACTACCACAATGAAGATAAAGAAATAACATTTCCATAGTCCCCTAAAGAATAGCCACGCGATAAAATTCCACGCAGTCCTTAAAAAGAGGAGGATAAATTTGTAAGTATTGTTATGAGAAGATCTGTGCCCAGCCTACTTTTATCCATTTTTAAAAGGACGAGGATATATGGAATTATAATACCAGTAATACCACTTACATAATATATATTTTAAGTAGGGGAAAACATGGAGGATTATTCCCCAAAATTTTGACAGGGACCCCAGGGACTGGGATAACGTTGTGACTTTCACCTTCTCTGAAATGTTGGAATTTTATATTACAGAATAAACTTGGATTTTGGCCAGGCGCGGTGGCTCAGGCCTGTAATCCCAGCTCTGGAAGCTGAAGGATAGCTTGAGCCCAGGAGTTCGAGGCTGCAGTGAGCTATGATCTCACCACTACACTCCAGCCTGGGTGACAGCAAGAGATCTTGTCTCAGAAATAAATAAATAAAATTTAAAAATAAAAATAATAAACTTGGATTTGTGTGGTGGTTAAGAAAAAATATTTGTTTGAAAATATTATAAAGATAAGCCACACACCCAAATAGTTACAGGATTTTAAAAACCAAAGTGTTAATTAAAACCCAACTCCAGAAACTCTCTTTTAAGGGGGCTTCATATTTTCATGTCATTAAATCTTTCTCAAAGTATCTTTGATAGAGCCGTTTTTAGTGCAGTAGAGAGATGTGTAACAATTTTACAAAAGGGGCGGGCTGTAATAAAAAGGGAAAGGCAAAATCCAGTGTGGACACACTGTCCCATTTATTTTCAAAGCACGTTTGAAAACTGCGCTGCTATAGCGTCTTTGGGTTGAGACAAAGTCGAGGAAAATCTTGTTCCTGGAGTACTGATTTCCTTTTTCCCAGGGCCAAAGTCTTTCGAAGCAAGTCTAAAAACTCAGGCTGACTTTCAGATCTGAAGAAATCTCAAGAATATTTGTGTGGAAGAACATTCCATGCTAATGGGTAGGAAGAATCAATATCGTGAAAATGGCCACACTGCCCAAGCTAATTTATAGATTCAATGCCATCCCCATCAAGCTACCAATGACTTTCTTCACAGAATTGGAAAAAACTACTTTAAAGTTCATATGGAACCAAAAAAGAGCCTGCATCACCAAGTCAATCCTAAGCCAAAAGAACAAAGCTGGAGGCATCACGTTACCTGACTTCAAACTATACTACAAGGCTACAATAACCAAAACAGCATGGTACTGGTACCAAAACAGAGATATAGATCAGTGGAACAGAACAGAGCCCTCAGAAATAACACTGCATATCTACAACTATCTGATCTTTGACAAACCTGAGAAAAACAAGCAATGGGGAAAGGATTCCCTATTTAATAAATGGTGCTGGGAAAACTGGCTATCCCTATGTAGAAAGCTGAAACTGGATCCCTTCCTTACAAGTTATACAAAAATTAATTCAAGATGGATTAAAGACTTAAACGTCAGACCTAAAACCATAAAAACCCTAGAAGAAAACCTAGGCATTACCATTCAGGACATAGGCATGGGCAAGGACTTCATGTCTAAAACACCAAAAGCAATGGCAACAAAAGCCAAAATTGACAAATGGGATCTAATTAAACTCAAGAGCTTCTGCACAGCAAAAGAAAATACCATCAGGGTGAACAGGCAACCTACAACATGGGAGAAAATTTTTGCAACCTACTCATCTGACAAAGGGCTAATATCCAGAATCTACAATGAACTCCAACAAATGCACAAGAAAAAAACAAACAACCCCATCAAAAAGTGGGCAAAGGATATGAACAGACGCTTCTCAAAAGAAGACATTTATGCAGCCAACAGACACATGAAAAAATGCTCATCATCACTGGCCATCAGAGAAATGCAAATCAAAACCACAATGAGATACCATCTCACACCAGTTAGAATGGCAATCATTAAAAAGTCAGGAAACAACAGTTGCTGGAGAGGATGTGGAGAAATAGGAACACTTTTACACTGTTGGTGGGACTGTAAACTAGTTCAACCCTTGTGGAAGTCAGTGTGGCGATTCCTCAGGGATCTAGGACTAGAAATGCCATTTGACCCAGCCATCCCATTACTGGGTATATACCCAAAGGACTATAAATCATGCTGCTATAAAGACACATGCACACGTATGTTTATTGCGGCACTATTCACAATAGCAAAGACTTGGAACCAACCCAAATGTCCAACAATGATAGACTGGATTAAGAAAATGTGGCACATATACACCATGGAATACTATGCAGCCATAAAAAATGATGAGTTCACGTCCTTTGTAGGAACATGGATGAAATTGGAAATCATCATTCTCAGTAAACTATCGCAAGGACAAAAAACCAAACACCACATGTTCTCACTCATAGATGGGAACTGAACAATGAGAACACATGGACACAGGAAGGGGAACATCACACTCTGGGGCCTGTTGTGGGGTGGGGGGAGGGGGGAGGGATAGCATTAGGAGATATACCTAATGCTAGATGACGAGTTAATGGATGCAGCACACCATCATGGCACCTGTATACATATGTAACTAACCTGCACATTGTGCACATGTACCCTAAAACTTAAAGTATAATAATAATAATAATAATAATAATAATAATAAAGACCAAAAAAAAAAAAAGAATGTTTTTGCGGACAGCTACGCTCTAAGAATCCAGCTCTCTTGGGCTCCAAGCTCAAGCTCTCTGGGGCTTCACCCAGTGACAATGGCCGGAAGGACAGGACACAGTGAAATGGCACCAGTGATTCAGAGGCCAAAGGAGGATTTCTGGCCCCAGCGCGCAGGATGTGCTTTGTTATAGTGGGGTTGGGATAGCGGAGCGGAGGCAAGGACACTCTGGGAATAAATGGCGAGAAAAAGTGCGCTAGGGAGGATCCAAAGCCTTCAGACTTCTTCCTTTCCTTCCTGTTGGGTGGGAGGGGACCAACATGGTCCCTGGTGGGGAGGTCCGTGGGATGCAGAGAATGGGGTCGCTGCAAAGGGGCGTTGCGCGCCCCACGCAAGGCTTCTGGCACTCTTCTCCTAGCTACTACTGATGAGTTCAAACTAGCAGGAGACTAAGACGTGTCCTTTGCAATGTAGACTCCATATCTTGCACTTCGGCTGGTTTACTAAATCCATCTTAATAAAACACAAAAACAAAGAACCAAATTCTGCGTGTGATATTTCTGACCTCTAGAAGGTCCTCCCTCTCCCCATTCCTCGTGGGCTCCCTTCTTGCCCCGCCCCCTCCGCTTTGTCTCCACTTCTCCATCCCTGTCCATCTCTGGACCCCGCTCCTGAGTATCTCCCCGCTTCTTCAGAGGACTTCCCCTCATGGAGTGCAGACTCCTCCACCTCCAGGAAAAAGAGACAAAGTCCACTGAGAAGGAACTGAGAGACTCCTTTTACTCCACCCCTGAAGTCAGCCTGTCCCACAACGCTCACTCAGTCTGCATGTGTGTGTGTGTGTGTGCCTGTGTGTGTGTGCCCGTGTGTGTGAATCTGTGTGTGAGAGTGTGTCTAAATATGTGTGTGAATGTGTGTGCGACTGTGTGTGCCTGTGTGTATCAGTTAGCATGTGTATCTGTATGTGAGAGAGTGTGTGTATGCGTGTGTGTGTGTGCGTGAATGAGAGTCAAAGTGCTAAACCTGGCATCCAGGAAACCTCCCCACCTTGGCACTGCACGCAGGAGTCAGTGTTATGTGCACCTGTGCTTTTATTTCAGGGGCTGAGACAATTGTATTAATCAGATGTGCAGAGAGCCAAGGGCCCCACACTGGAAAGCATCAGAGAGGAAGGTGAGATTGGAGGAGCCCCTGACTCCAAGTCTCTTGATCACTCTTACACAGGGATCTTGAAAAAAAAGTGCAGGACACTCCGTTCTCTCCTGGGAGTGACAGGGAAGCCAGAGCCACTGTGCGTGTCAAATTCCATCAAAGAAAAACCATTATAGCAAAACTTCCATGTCACAGTTTTAAGCCTGCACAATGACTCAAATAGAACCAATACCAAAAAAACAAATTCCTAGCTCAGGTGAGGTCAGTGAAGTTGGCTGTCAGGTGTAAAGGAAACTGCAGGTATAAAGAAGGACACCTGTAGGTAGGGCTGCAGCCCAGTCGCCCCTGCATCTTAGGGCGCCTGGAAAGGACTGTCTCCATTCAATAGTGCAGGGTGAGGACATTTTGGGGGAGAAATATAGACTGTCCTTAGACCCCTGGGGTTTGTACATTTACTTTCTGACTTTTTAGCTGTTGACTTCATTTTTGAACAAATTACAGTTACATAAATTTGCTTTGACTTTAAGTGTAAAACAGGAAAATATTCCTGAAACAGGAAACAAGGGCCAAGTGACCTGCACTGTCACCCCCCTCTGTGGCTCCCTGATGCAACACAATTGTGAGCCAACAAATCTATGGCTGGGGAAACAGTCAACTCCATTTCTGCAAATGTTTCAGATGTTCCTTCTTGCTGAGTAATGTTCTAGTTTTACCCCAGCCTTAATATTTTAAGTCTATATTTTCCCAGCTGTTTTTTTTTGTTGTTGTTGTTGTTTTTGAGAAGGAGTCTCATTCTGTCACCCAGGCTGGAGTGCAGTGGCACGATCTCGGCTCACTGCAACCTCCGCCTCTCAGGTTCAAGCGATTCTCCTGCCTCAGCCTCCCCAGTAGCTGGGATTACAGGGGCCCGCCACCACGCTTGGCTAATTTCTGTATTTTTAGTAGAGATGGGGTTTCACTGTGTTGGCCAGGATGGTCTCAATCTCCTGACCTCGTGATCTGCCCGCCTCGGCCTCCCAAAGTGCTGGGATTACAGGCATGAGCCACTGCGCCAGGCCTTGTTGGTTTTTAAATAATGCATGTATGTTTATTATTTGGTTTGTTGTAGTAAGCCATCTGGAATCAACTGTGGAAATAAATGAATGGTTCTCTATTAAATAACTGCTGAGACCATCTGAAAAATGTATTAACCCCAAAACCAATCACTTCACACTCGTCTACTGCCTCCTCCCCAGAGCCATTCTCTCTAGGATAGTAAATCCGACGGGCCTTCCAGCTGGGCTGCCTGCTGCATCTCATGCAGCTGTCCATCACCCACACAACAGGCAGAGTGAACCTTTCGAATGGGAATTAGAGCCCATCCTCACCACCACATCCCAGAGACACTCCAGCCTCTTCCCTTCCTCTCTCCATTTCCTATTAGCCCCTCAACACGGGGCCCCTCTGGCCATTCTGGCCTCATCTCACCACTCTCAGCCCAGATCACTCATCTGCACTCGCACCAGTCTCTTGTTACTGCTCAATCCTGTCTCTGCCACCGGCCCCTGCTGGTACTCCCACATGCACTTGCTCCCTAGGGATCCACATGGCTCACTCCTCATGCCATTCAGTTCTCTGCTCAAATGTCCCTTAGTCAAGTTCTCAGGAACCTCTTATCCAACAAAATATATCTCCTGCCATCCTCACCACCACCAATCTTCTAACCCGAGTATATTTTCTCCATAACAATTATCACTGATATTAGAATAAATTTGAAAGTTGTTGTCTGTACCACTAAAACATATTATTTGAGGCCAGGACCTTGTCCAGCCACCACTTGTATCCCTAGCATCTAGAACATACCAGTACAGAGGAGGGGCTTAACAAATAAGAGGTGAATGATGGGTGAATATAATTGGTATGCTGCTTTTGATAAGCAATTTTATAACATGTGTGTCCGAGGCGGGTGGATCACCTGAGGTCAGGAGTTCGAGACCAGCCTGACCAACATGGTAAAACCCCGTCTTTTCTAAAAATAAAAAAATTAGCCAGGTGTGGTGGTGCACGCCAGTAATCCTAGCTACTCGGGAGGCTGAGACACAAGAATGACTTGACCCTGGGAGGTGGAGGTTGCAGTGAACCGAGATTGTGCCACTGCACTCCAGCCTCAGTGACAGAGTGAGACTCCATCTCAAAAACAAAGCAAAAAAAGTTCATGCAGTTTGACCAAATAATTTATATTTGAGAAATCTATAATTCTACAATGAAATGCAAAATATAGAAGAATCTTTAGGTATAAGGATATTAATCAGATATTATTTACAATAAGGAAGAAGAACTTGTAAAAGAAGAGTAGCTGGGTCATTTTTTGGAAATAGTATACAGCCAGGAAAAGTACTGTTTAAGAAGAGTTTATGATAACATATAAAGTTGCTTATTGATAATAATAAAGTTTGAAAAGCAAGATTCAAAATAACTCATACAGTGTGACTGCACTAAGTCATCCTGCACAGACACCACATGCACAGAAACCAGGGGTGGAAACTCAGGGGGCAGCTGCAAAGCACAGCTCCAGGGCCCCTTTTCACTGACGTCTCTGAGGCTCTGCCAGGCAGAGGTTCATCCGGATCCTCCCAGTGGGGACACAGGTGTTTTCCATCTTTCTGCTTCACTACATTTTTTATATTTTCTGTAATTGAGCAGATTCTACTTTCTAAAAGGGTAAAATGCTGATTATGAAGTTTTACAACATTTGAAATACAATTTTAATGAAAAAGTCCAAATGTCCTGTCCCAACTCAGGTCACTTTCTCTTTTTTTAGAGATAGGGACTTGCTCTCTCACCCAGGTTGTAGTGCAGTGAGTTGATCATAGTTCACTGCCGCCTTGAGCTCCTGGGTTCAAGTGATCCTGCTGCCTCAGTCTCCAGAGTAGCCAAGACTACAGGAAAGCCCCAAAATGACCATCTAATTTAAAAAAAAAAATTGAACAGAATACATCTCACTGCTTCCCAGGCTGGTCTTGAACTCCTGGGCTCAAGTGATCCTCCTGCCTTAGCCTCCCCAGTGTTCTAGGATAACATGGGTGAGCCACTGTGCTCAGTCCTAACTTAGCTTGAAGCAAAGTCTCCTCTCCATGTCATAGGGCAAAAACTCCAGCTGATGGAGCCTTCAGAAAGAAGAAATAAACTCTTCCTCCACAATGCCTCATCCATCCCTGGGTTATAGGCGTCGGCTGAATGATAAAGTCAACACTGAGAATATGATCATTTTAGATTACTGATTGTCATTTAATTTTAATTCCACCACACCTGAGAGAGTGGGATGGATTCTTTCTTTTATTATGATTTGAGCATCTGAGTCCCTTCCATCCTGAACATCTGACATGGGTGCTTCAAAAATGTAGGTCTTGAGACTTAAAGGGCACTTGGTCTCCTGAGCAGGCCCCCTGCATGCGCCACACCCACTAAGGCTCCATAACAGTGGGAAGAGCAGCCACAGTCAGAGCCCAGGTGGGTTCACACTGAGGGACCATCCACATCCAGGGTACGCTGAGGAGGGGCTGAGGTGAGAATCCAGCCCCTGCCTAGGCTCTGGGTGAGAGGTGGGCAGGACAGTCAGCTACTGAGTATTACTGGAGCTATTGCCTTTTTTCTCCTGAAGACCCCACCCCTGCACACACCAAAACTTTACATTCTTTGTGGAGCAATTTTCTTTTTAGAAATGTAAACACCCCCTAATCTTAAAGCCACCCAATATCACTCATAGTGACACCGCAGTAGGATAAGCTCTTAACTCCCACCAAATTAGCCTCAGAGTTGTAGTTTTTGTTTGTTAGACATGGGGTCTTACTCTGTCATCCAGGCTAGAATGCAGTGGCATGATCACGGCTTACTGCAGCCTCGAACTCCTCGGCCCCAGAGATCCTCCCACCTCAGACTCCTGAATAGCTGTCACTAGAGGTGAACGCCACAAGCCCCAGCTAATGTTTTGTGTTTTTTGTAGAGATGGGGTTGTGCCATGTTGCCCAGGCTGGTCTCTAAGGCCTGGGCTCAAGTGATCTGCTGCCCCGGCCTCCCAAAGTGCTAGGATTAGCATGAAGCCCCACACCAGGACTGCAGCTGAGTATTTGGAGCTAAGGCAGGAAGTTGCTGTGGAGTTTGTACCCAGCTAATTTGAAAGGTGGTCCTGAAAGGTAAAGTGCGATTAGGTGGACCTTGGTGGGGAAGCATAGATGTTTCTGGTGAGAAGAGAACAAGATAGATGGGAAGCTTCTAAAAGTGAACATCAGTGGGCCCTGTGCTCACACAGCACTGGGATTTGGAAGACCTTTTCCCACCCACTTTTGGCTTGTGAGCTTTTATTCCACCTTCTTGTCTCCTAGGTCATTGCAGGAAATCCCTTCATTTGGTAAACATTTATCAAACACCTACCATGTGCTAGGCATTGTGTTAAAGGAGCTGGGGCTGAGGTAAGAGGAACCAAACCCCCCTTGCCTTCAAGGTTAAGCCGTCTTGCTCAGGCAGAGATCAGTAAGGAAACTATTTATTTATTTATTTATTTATTTATTTATTCATTTATTTTTTTAGACAGAGTCTCACTCTGTTGCCAGTAAGGAAATTCTTACACAAATGGTTGGCAGAATATGCAACTTGCTTTGCGGATGCACATGTAGACCATCTGCTCTGACCAAGGAGTCACAGAAGCTTCATAAGACACAACATTTGAGCTGCGTTTTGAGGTATAAATAGGAGTCTGACAGGCATCCAGGACAGGAGAGCATTGCTCAGAACCCAGGACATGAATTTTTCTCTCCTAGGCCAGGCCAGGACTCAGACTAAGCTGACTGAGGAGCCAGGTGCTTCCTGGCAAGGAAGTGTGTCCCATATATGACTATCCAGAAGTCACAGCTGCTCAATATTGAGTCTTGAGACAGAGAGAGAGAGGCCTGATTTGAAATGCAGAATTCTGCTGGGGGCCCGTTAAAATGCAGTTTCTGATTCAGTAGGTCTGAGGCAGGGCCTGAAAATTGCATTTCTAACAAGTCCTCAGGTGATGCCAATGCTACTTGTCCCAGGAACACACTTTGAGAATCACCACCCTAAGGCAATCCATATTGATTTCTAATATCAGAAGAGGGCTGACAGGCAAAGGTATAGGATAAACTAGACCATGCATGGGCCATCTTGGAGAGCACCCCACCCAAGTCTGCAGCATTTGATTTCCTTGGGATCCCGGGAATGGCAGACACCCAGGAAGGAATCAAATGTGGGGTTACAGGGCAATCCAGAGGCTGAGCTTCACACAGCATCTGGGGTTCCCACTACTTCACAAGTGGCCCCCACACCCCCAATCCTTCCCACCCCTTATGAAACTGACCTACGAGTCTTGCTCTGCTGTCCTGGGCTGTTTGGGCCTGGGATGTGAGCTCTGACTATACCTTCTGATCCAAATACAGGGTGACCTCATATGACACATACTTAGAATGGGCTCATAATGAGAACCTTCCAAATTCAGCAAATGGATTCAATCGTGTGTTTTCCAGGAGAATTACCAAGTGTTCTCTTTTCTAAATATCACATACTTGAGCTCACATGGACAGTAGAGGAAGTTCTGAGCCTGCTGAAGCCACAATTGGTACATTGGACCCCGTAGAATTCCTTGTAGATTGGGCTTCACCATTTACATCAGGATTTGGTCAAAATTTCCTTCACCAAACCGGTTGCATTTGTTAAGTAACCATGCTCTCATTTTGACTTTTAATGAATGAAAGACAGACACACACATAAAGAAAGATAGTGCAATGAAAAAGAAAACAACATACTGAATTAAAGTGACAGGAAACATCCTTGTTTGAGAAGTGATATAATTTTTAGACAGTTTTTTTTTTAATTAAGGAAGGTAAGAGAATTAATTCTGTTAGGCTCTTTTTTTAAGTTTTTTATTTTGAAGGATTTGATTTTGTTTGTTTTGTCTGCCTTGGAATTATCTTTTATTTTATGTTTTGACTTGGCTCAAAACTCAAAAAGTTAAAAGTCTCTCTCTTATGCTACCCCATCTTGACAGGCAGCTATTTATATCAGTTTCTTGCTTATTCTTTCAAAGGCATTTTATGCATATGCAAGTCAATCTAAATGTATATGTATATAATCTTTCTCCCATTTCACACAAATTTTAGCAAACTACATATGCTTTCCTGCACCTTGCCTTTTCCCTTCACATTGTATCACAAAGACCATCACATGAAGAAATACCAAGAGCTTAGCTACATCTTTGTTTGAAATTTTCATGATACACCATTGTATATATATGCAATATTTTAAAAAAAAATAGAGATTGCTTCTTTTGAGTGCGGTGCTTTTTAATCAGCCCCCTCTTGATAGGCATTTGGATTATTTCTTTCAGAGAACAATTTTGCATCATGTAACATCATATGGAAAAGCTGTAGTGACCCCACTCCTATATGCATATTCTAGGGAAACTCACATATCTCTGAGAGCAGGAGGCAATGTCCCAGGATGTTCATTGCAGTGAGGTCTACAATAGAGAAAATCTAAAGGTCAATGAAGAGGGAAAGAGAAGAATTGTAGTATATTCCTCCCATGGAATACTATCCACCAATGAAAGCAAATGAACTATTTGTATGAACATAGATTCATGTCATAGAACATGTTAACTGAAAAAGCAAGCAAATGAATGATAAAATTAGCCAGAAACAATTTATAAGAAGTCTAAAAGCAAAGCCAGGCAAGGTGGTGTACACTTGTAATCCTAGCACTTTGGGAGGTCATGGTGGGTGGATCGCTTGAGTTCAGGAGTTCAAGACCAGCCTGGGAAACATGGCAAAAACCCTCTCTCCAAGAAATACAAAAATTAGCCCGGCATGGTGGAGCATAGCTATACCCCCAGCTACTTGGGTGGCTGAGGTAGGTGTATCGCTTGAGCCTGGGAGGTTGAGGTACAGTGAGCTGTGTTTGTGCCACTGCACTCAAGCCTGGGTGACAGAGTGAGGAGACCTGTTCTAAAAAAACAAGTCTAAAAGACTTCAAACAAAGAGATTTCCTAAAACTTAGTAAAAATATAAAGGCATACACTAAATTCAAGTCACACATCCTCTTGCAATTCTTGATTTGCTCAGTACAGTACTGACTGAAACATGTGCATATCAGAGCTGTGAAAAATCAAGGCTATCTACATATATTTCTATTATTTTTCTATGTATACTACATATAGCCAATAATATTAAAATGTCGCCAATTGACAAACCTGGGTGGTGCCTTCACAAAGATTTTTTATAATTTTCTATTCTTTCTTCCAGCTGGAACTACTTTGAATTAATGTTTGTGAAGTGAATCCACAGGAACTGAGCAAAATAAGAAAAGAGTTATTGAGTGTGAGGAAAGCTGCACAGAGGTACAGACAGATGGAGAGATGACAATACTGAGCATGTCAGTGACCTTCACAGTAACAGACTTCCTGGAGGAGTGTGAGCTTGAGCCAGAATGAAGAGGATAAAATATAAAAGAGGGATGAAGGAGTGGGGACTTTAGGGGGCAAATATGGGATTGAGTAGGCCAGACTGGGAAGCGTGGATGGATTCTAAACATTCCGCTTTAGGTCTAGCACTTAGAGAAAGAGAAATCATGTTTATTTAGCTCCTTCCACAATCTTTAGAGAAATCTTCTGAAACATTACAAAAAAGACACATGAATGGCCAATAGTCATCAGGGAAAAATGCAAAGTAAAACCACAGCGAGAAACCACTAAGCACTTATTAGAATGGCTGAAATTTAAGTGATTAATAAATATAAATGTTGTCAAGGATGTGAAACAGTCTCATCCACTGCCTATAAGAATATAAAACAGCCACTCTGAAAATCACTTTTATATCATCTAATAAAGTTAAACAAGCTAGTACTCTATGGCTAGCATTTCCACTCCTAGGTATTTACTCAAGTGAAATAAAGATTATGTCCAAGAATCCCTGTACAATAATGTCCATAGTTCATTTGTAACAATAAAAAACCGTGAATACCCCCAAAATGTACAAAAAAATTGTGACTCAGTGATACAATGCAATACTACCAGCATTAAAAATGAATGAATTACTGATACATGCAACAAGCTGGGCAGACCACATAGATATTACACCAAGTGCAAAAAGCTAGGCACAAGGGAGGCCATATGGGATGAATGGATACGTATGAAGTTTTGAAACAGGAAGAGCTACTCTATCATGATAGTCATCAGATCAATGGCTGCTGGGGAAAGGGGGCTAATTTGAAGGCAGAAAAATAGAGAACTTCGTGTATCTTCATAGTGGCATGGGTGCTATGGCTGTATTTGTCAAAATTCATTGATGAATTTGATACAGATCTGATCATTTCAGTATATGTAAATTTTACAAGTTTAAAATGCTTACAATAAAAATTTAAACGTTAGTAATAAAAAATAGTAATTGAAAATATTAGCAACAAAATCCAACAACAGATCAAAACAATACACCATAATCACGTGAGTTTTATACCCAGGATGCAAGGATTGTTTGACATATGTGAATCAAAATATGTCATATACCGCATCAACAGAATGAAGGACATAAACCATATTATCATCTCAATAGATGCAGAAAAAGCATTTGGTGAAACTAAACATTGCTTCTTAATGAGAACTCTCAAAGGAGTTCCTCTGACAAAGGAACCAAGAATATACACTGGGGAAAGAACAGTCTCTTAAATAAATGGTGCTGGGAAAATGCTACCAGATGCAGAAGAATGTAACTAGACCCCTGTCTCTCACCATATACAAAAAATCAACTCAAAAGGGATTGTAGACTTAAACGTAAGACCCAATACTGTAAAACTACTAGAAGAAAACTTATGGGAAACATTAGTCTAGGCAAAGATTTTATGGCTAAGACCTCTAAAGCACAGGCAAAAAAAGTAAAAATAGACAAATGAGACTATATTAAGCTAAAAAGCTTCTGCACAGCAAAGGAAACATCCAACAGAATGAAGCAATAACCTGTTGAATCGTGAAAATATTTACTAAGTATTCAACCAACCAGTATATTCATCCAATTAGTATATTCTAGACTAATATCTAGAATATACAAGGAACTCAAAAACTTGGCAGTAAAAAATACAAATAATCCAATTAAAAAGTGGACAAAGGATCTGAATAGACATTCCCCAAGAGGAGGCATACAAGTGGCCAGCAGGTGTGTGAAAAACACCCAACATCACTAAATACCAGGAAAATGAAAATCAAACTACAATGAGATATATCTTACCCTAACCCTAGTTAAGATGGCTATTATTAAAAAATAAAAAATAATAGATGTTGGTGAGCATGTGGAGAAAGGGGAATGTTATACACTGTTGGTGGTCATGTAAATTAGTGCAGCCATTATGGGAAACAGTAGAGTGATCTCTCAAAAAAACTGAAACTATTAATAGAACTACTATCTGATGCAACAATTCTACTTCTGAGTATTTATCCAAAGGAAATGAAGTCAATATATCAAAAGAGTACCTGCACACCCATGTTTATTGAAGCACTATTCACAATAGCAAAGATGTGAAATCAATGGTGAATTTATCAATGGGTGAATGAATAAAGTAACTGTAGTATATACACAATGGAATGCAATTCAGCCATAAAAAAAGAGTGAAATCCTGTCAGTTGCAGCAACATGGATGGAACCAGAGGTCATGTTAGGTGAAATGAGCCAGGCAAGGAAACACAAATATCACATGTTGTCACTCACATGTGTGAGCTAAAGACGTTAATCTCATGGAGGTTGAGAGTAGAATGAAAATTACCAGAGGTTGGGAAGAATGTAGGGGTGGGAAGATGTAGAGAGGTAGATTAATGGGTACAAATGTACAGTTATATAAAAAAAAAAGTTCTAATGTTCTATAGCACAGCAGGCCAACTAAAGCTAACAATTATGTATATTTAAAACAGCTAGAAGAGTGGATTTTAAATGTTCCCAACACAAGGAAATGATACATGCTTGAGGTGATGGATTCCCTAAACACCCTGACTTGATTATTCCACATTCTGTGTATGTATCAAATGATCACATGTGCCCCATAAACATATAAAATGTTATGTATTACCTTTAAAAAATATTTTTAAAATAAACTCAACACAATATGGGACATTTTAAAAAGTACAAAAATATGACCATGATAAAAATTGGCAAATATTTCCTTTTTATTAAGATCCACTTTGTAAGTTCAAGCAGAATGAAGCCCATACAGCATCAGAAGAAGTGGCTCTCCTGAGAGAATCTTCTCCCCAGTTAGAAAGGCAGAAACAGAATTCCTGGAGAAAGTAAGACTCTGGAGAACTGCATAGCACCTCTTCTTGGGGTCTGGGGTTACCCAGATGTAGGGAGGGTTCACCTTCTGGGAAAAACTAAACGTTGGTTCTTGTTCTTTTTTGTTCTTATTGCAAGACCAAAAATTGAGAAAACCAAGAGAAAGCACCAAGCCAAAGGGATATACTCTCTTTTATTTTTTAGAATATCCACTACCAAGGATGATCCACGCTGTTATGAGACGAATTGTGTCCCTCCCCAACCGAAATTCATATGTTGGAGTCCTATGTTGAGAAGACAGAAGTGGCCATCTACAAGCCAAGGAGAGAGGCCTCAGGAAAAAGCAACCCTGCAGCACCTTGACCTGCACCTGTAGCCTCCAGAACTGTGAGACAATACATATTTATTATTTTACTCACCCAGCATGTGGTACTTTGTTATGGTAGCCCTAGCAAATTAAAACAGAAATATTACCTTTTCTACTCTGTCCTATGTATGAACATGAGACTTTTTAAGAATATGAATTACCTGGGATTCCAAAACATAGAGTGAGTCAATGGAAAATAGATGATACAGGGTCATTTCCAAGCCTTTGTGGGTCTCCTGGCCACCACACAAACATGGATGTGTTCCCATTTCTTTTCAGTTTCACACAGTGCAAAAGTTGTGGACATAGAATCACAAACTGTGTTTAATTTATTTGAGACATTGAGTGAGCTAGTTTTGCCCTAATTTTATAGAAAGATGATGAACAATCATAATTACTAAACCAAAGAGGCTTTTTGGCAGGGGATGGCAGGTACTATGTTTTCTCCTCCTTTTAAAGTGCATTTTCCTAAAGAGTCTTGTCTAGGAGTAAATGTCATCACTTTGCTTTTTTCCTCCGCATTGATCACTTGGTCCTCCCTGCATTTCAGTAAGGTTGCTAGAATGGAGGCATTTGTCCATGATTCACAGATGAATCAGAGGCCCTATGAGTAGAGAGCTTCTCCTGAAGTCACACAGCTCGTGAGTGGTGGAGCAATGACAGGCACATGACTCTCCAGGTCCCTAGTCCAGTTTTCTGGGTGCCATGAGAATTACAGCCTTTGGTTCCTTTTACATGTAGTTCATTTCTGAACCTGAGAAGGAGAATGCACCTCAGGTGACTAACAGTTTTTGCTCTTCTGTACTTGTCTGAGAATGACCCCAAAAGATTTTTAAAGGCCAATTCTTTGGCTACCAACCCTATTTTGCCCAGGCATGGACATGGAGCAGGTGAACACTGCCTTTACCTGTGACATGCCTGAAGATTCTGAGACCTACGTGAATCAGGTAAGCTCCATACACAGAGGGACACCCACTCTCCCACCCACTTATTTTCTGTATCTTTTCACACTTCACTTCTTCATTCCTCCCTCTGGCTGTCTTCCCTCTTTGGGGTCTTCTAGTCCTAACCTCTGTCTCCTTCCAGGTGACTAGAGCAGGCTGGTTTGGAACAGGGCTTGTGTCGGATGAGAATTGTGCCAGGATCCTCAGTGATGGGCAGCATCACTTTAAGTTCAGTGTTAGGAGCTACCTGCTGAGACAGACGTCTCCTCCACAGTGAGTGCTGATTTCATGAAACCCTTAGTTCCTCCCTATTCCTTACTGTGTCTTCAATCCCATCATGTAGGTCATGGGCACTTAACGCATAATGAACAATTGACTGCTTCATGCCCCCTGGCCGTTGATGCTGTGTTGGGACGTTTTGCTGCCCTCTCTGTGGGGTCTGTGCCTTTTCTCATATTACATCTCTTCCACCACGCCCAAGTCCATCCTCTGAACCCAGGCAGTACACCAGCATCTGCATGTGTGTTGTGTGTTCCTGCCTTGCTTTGTCCTTTCATGCCTTATTCTCACTGTGCCATGTCTCCTTCTCAGTTGAACAGATGCAGTAGGAGACTCGCTCATTCTGGAATGTGACCATCTGCCCTTCAGGAGAGGACAGCAGGGTGTGGGTGAAGGAGACCCTGCTGCCCCCACACCTGACAGCCTCCACCACCCCCTGGCTTTCCTCTTCTGCATCAGCACCACTCCCGAACCATCATTCCTGATCGTCAGAATTTTTAATGTAACTAAACATGAAACACAAGTGCATCTGCATTATGTGTGGGTGCTCTCTCCCTTTATTGTATTTGGGGTAAGATTATTTTAGGGCATGGTCCAGGGTAAATTCCTGTAAGGCCTGGATGCCCTGCTGTGAGGTCAAAGGGGGACGGACTGCAGAGCCCTGGCTCCCCAACTACCTGCCTATTTCCGGCCCTTTGTTGGGGTCTCTTCTGCTTTATCTGGCCTGAGAGAGGCTGGGATGTTTCTGATCCTGGGGCTCCTGGTGGATGGTGCGCAGTATTTCCAGGGATGGAGGGTGCTGTGGGCACTGGTGGGAAGCTTGAGTGTCTCCACCCAGGCTTTCTTGGTGCCTCCTCATCTATTCCTTCAAATTCTAGACCTTGAGCACCAGGGCCTGGGCCCCTGACCCCCTCCTGCCCTTCCAGCAGGGCCTGGTCCAGCTCCAGCAACTCCTCAGCTTGGGCCAGCTCAGCTGTGTTGGGGGCTCATGGCCCTGGTGAGGGGGAGTGGTGGAGGGAGCATCAGCCAGGGCAGGGGGCTGAGGCCCTTGGAACCTGTATTGCAGGGTCTGGCTGTAAATGAGGAATTCTACCTCCCTTTCCCTTTTTCTAGCCCATTAGCTTAAGGCCTCCTGTACTGAGAAGCCCAGGGAGCCCCTTGTCTTGGGCATAGGCCTCTGGGGGGCAAATAGAGATCCCTGGCTCAGGGAGTATAACTGGATACCTTGAACAAGGATATGGGGTCACTGGAAAGAGAGGACCGGCTGTCCCTCTCCGCTAAGAAATAATTAACTGTTAGATGAGGGGGAATTTCTGTTCAAGGGCTCTGTGGACTGTGCTGCTCTGGAGGGGGTGGGGAGAGAGAGCCCTGAGGTCTGAGCTGGGGTGTGGTTGGGAAGGAGCTGAGAGCTCAGAGCTGGAACTAGGCAAGGAGCTGCAGGGGTGAGGGTGGTGCAGGGTGGGATTTAGAGGATTTCCCCTGACTCCTGTGCTGATCCCCTTCACGTCCTCCACCCCCACCCTTGGTGTCCGTCAACATGCTGGGGTGACCTCATCTTCCCACTGTCCCTGGAGCTGTTCTACTCTTCCACGCTTGCCTTGGGGTTTTCAGAGCAGCATCTTTGTGAGTCCTGGAGAGCTAGGGACCAGGAGGGCAGGAGGAGGTGAAGACAACAGCACCGAGAGATCCTGGAAGAGAAAGGACCATGGTAGCTGAGGCAGGGAGCAGTCTGAGTTGCCTAGAAGACACCAAGAGTTCGCTCCCTCCAGGCCTTGGCTTTGCTTCAGCACCTGGTGCTGCATAGGCCCCACCCCTGCCCTGCTCTGCTGCCTCCACCTCCCTCTCAGCCTGGTCCCAGACAGAATCCAGACCAATTCCTGTTTCTGATGTGAAAAATGATCCTGCCAGTTTAGGCAGAGCTTGCTTTAGAGCACTGGTGCCCAGCCTTCCACAGGTCTTGTGTCTGTTTTTCTTGGCACTGGGTTTCTTCTCACTTATTCTTCTGAATTGGCAAGGCAGGAATTACATCACTAGTTTGCAGATGAGGAAACTGACTCGTATGGGCTCATTCAGCACTCACTCACTGGGCAAGTGTCTGTCAGGGCCAACTGTGGGCCAGATGTGCCCAGGGCTCTATAGCTAGCTGGTGGAAGGGCCTGGAGGGTTCATATTCAGGTCCACCTGACTTGAAAACTCATATTGACCTTACTTAAGTACTGATTCCCGATTTACAATCCATGCCACAAACTTTATTGTCATATCTAAAGAAGTTGCCACAGCAGCCTTTAGCAACCACCCTCCTGATCAGCCAATAGTCAACACTGAGGCAAGACCCTCCCCCAGCAAAAAGATTAGCAAAACCTCCACACCCTCTCTCAGGATGTTCCTGCACCTCACAGCTACAGCAGCAACCTGGTCTCCCTGAGGACACGACCCCCTCCAAAGTCCTCCCACATGGGGGAGTTTTCCCAGGGACTTGTACCCCTGGGTTCAGAGGTGAGGTGGGGTCCTTGCTCCTCACTGTGGTTCTCACACCTTTCTCCCTCCCTCCTCCCTAAACCCCTAAGCTGTCAGCAGATTAGGGCCCCATTCCCCATGTTGTAGCCATTCCCTTTGTGCCCCAAGCCATTCCTCTTAATCCTGACCCTTGTAGCTCCTGGTTCACTGTCACCCTCTCCAGCAGTGCGTCTCCTTGACTCTTGGTGACTTCAACATACGCAGATGTGGTGGGCTGAGTAATGGTCCCCAAAGATGTCCAGGCTTAATCGTTGGAACATGTGAATAGGTTGCATTGCATGGCAAAAGGGACATTAATCATGTAATGAAGATTAAGGACCTTAAAATAGGGAGAGTATCCTGGACTATCTGCGTGGGCCCAATCAAATCACATGAGCCATTAAAAGCAGAGAAACTGCCCTGGCTGGAGTCAGATTCTGCAGAAGAGGAAACAGAGGAGAAGCTGGAGAGAGGAGGTCAGACGTTCCAAGCAGGAGGACTGGATGTGCCTTAGGCGCCATGTGTGAGTACCTGAGAGAAAACTCTAGGAGCTAAGGGTGGCTCTTAACAAGGAAGTGGAAATCTCTGTTCTATCTGCAAGGAAGTGAATTCAGACAAGAACTTGAATGAGCTTGGAAGTGGATTCTTCCCCAGTCTCCAGGAAGGAATGCAGGCCTTCCCGTACATTGATCTTAGCCCCATGAGACTGTGTGGACTTGCAACCCACATGACTGTGACATGATAATTAGGTGCTGTTTAAAGCCACTTGGTTTGTGGTAATTTTTATGGCAGCAACAGACACCTATACAGCAGAGAAGATGCCCTTGCTCCCTGGACTCTCAGATCCTGTAACTCCTCTCCTCCATGACCTTCTCCTCTCTCTGCCTGAATCTCATGCCCTTGTCATCCCCTAGGCCTCATCACGGCCAAGAACCCCAGCCCTTCCATACTCTCAATCTCACACTTCCCACTCTCTGGCCATCTTTCCACTCATCCCCTTGCAAGGTGGCCACAGGCTCTGATGACACAGACACTATCATTTTATCATATGCTGTGATGTAATATCAATGAACCACTCATTTCCTATGTGCCTGCATTCCAGGCTTGGAGTCCACCCTGTGGTACATCAATTCCAACAATCCTTCCAGCCCACTGGGATTCCCAATTGAGTGATCCTGCCATCTACTCCCTGTCACTCACCCTTGGTGTCCTCTCCTCCCTCTTCTCCCATTTTGAATTCTACAGTAAATAATTTCAATCCCTCCCTTGCCTCTCCCTTGCATTGTCATACTCACCTGGCAAAACTACACAGCTGGTGGGTTCCACCTCTGTCTATGCTGCACCTGCCCCATGAGCTGCAGGAGGCTGGACAGCAGCACACAACATGCTGACTGGTCTCTTTAAGATTCCAAACCTCATGGGGAGCCCCTACCATTGACGTGGCCAGCAATCACCCTCTCCCTACGTGGTTCACCCTCAGCCTCCTCTTGGCCTGGGTGACTCCTAGACACCTTCTCTCTGTGCTCACACATCCAACCCTTCTTCCCCATTCTTACCTCAGCTGACAACCTTGCCTCCTACCTCACTGAGAAAACTGAACACATTAGAAGACAACTTCCCCGATTCCACCACTGTCTGCTCATGCATTTGCAGCTGCACCACATGTCAGGCATTTTACCACGGGAGGGATTGCTGGGGGTTAACAATTCTGCTCCCAGTCAGAGCCAGTCCCTCTTCTGGTGCCCCAAACATCATCCCTTCTCATCTACTTAAAGTTGTCAGTTCATCAACTAGTATCTTTTTTTATCTTTATCATCAACTTTTTCCCTCTCTCCCCACTGGATCATTGTGGCAGTCATGAGAATGCACATCCCAGCCCCTCAGCTACAGGAAGCAGAATCGATGATGACCCCAGCTCTTGAAGCTTGAAATCTATTGCCACATTTGCTCTGATCCCACACCTGCCCCCTGATCTTTTCCAGCCAATGATTGAGGAAAGCAGGGCAGAAACTAAGGCAGGAGTATTTCTCCTCTGAAGGCTGACTGCAGCCCCAGGGCTCCCTGCCTCCTTTACTAAATTTCCCTTAGCCTGCACAGGGTCTAGGATGCTTCCAGCTGAACTTCCTGCCCTCTCTCCTTCACTGGGGCTCAGAGTTGCAGTGTGGTCTGATGGCTCTCCCAGTGTTTTCTGTCTCTCTCCTGAATTTCTCTCACAAGTATTTCCCTGAATAAATCCTTGCACATTTACTACCGTATTGGGCTCTGCTCCTCAGGGGACCCTAACTAACCCAAGCGGTATGAAGGGTGACCCATGAAAACAGGCAAAAATGGGAATTTGAAATAATCTTGCCCACTGCCTGGCAGGCCAAGAGGATGCCACCCGGGTTGGTGGGGGACACAGAAAGTCCATGGCATAAGGTGCAGCTGAGGTGCTGTGGTCTCCTCAGTGCTGAGCTGAGAAGATGCCCTGGTTAGGGGAAGCTATGGCAGGTGAGGTGATAGAATGCCCTACACAATAATGATGAGGTTGGGGGAAACCTACAAAGACAGAGGAGTTGGGTGGTTACTGCTTGGCTGCGTTGATACCCTATAAAAGGATCATGAGAATCTGCGGGTTGTTAACAGCTGTCACTGGCTACAGGTGACAGCCTCTGCAGTGTCTCATGGAGAGGCCTTTATCTCCTGTAGCGAAAGGGCAGATAGCGTGGAATGGCAGCTGAAGACATCATTACGAGGGCCACAGTGCTCCAGACATGTCTGACACTCAGCCAAAGCAGGCCTGTTACAGGAAAGTCAGGGTCCTGGTGGGGAAACCTGAGATTCTGGAAACTGGAACCAGGATATCCGATGGGTGCCCTCCAGGACCCTCTGGGAATGCAGAGGAGGCTCACCATTATCTAATAATGGTTCCCACTTCCTACGCTGGAAGATGCTGCAAAAGCCTCACCCCCGTGATTCTGCGGGAATCCTACTCAGCAGCTTTGCAGGAATTAGCCGCCATTTCCCCACAGGAGCCCAAGGAGCACTTCTGGGATTGGAATTTGAGGGCGTTTGATCAAGAAACCAGAATTTCAGGCTGGATGAATAAAAATCCTTTGGCTTGGAGGCACTTTCTCAAGGCATGGGTTTGTCAAACACCCCAGGACTTTGATAAGTGGAGCTAAACCCACCGCTGGGGTGAATCCATATAGATTGGAAAAAAAGATGCCCAACTCTCAACAAGGTAGACATGTCTTAGTTGCCCTGGAACATGTAAAGGAAGGAATAACGAGGCTGAGGGAAGTGGGCATGGTGAAGGCCCACCAGGGCCATGCTCCACAAGAGGGCCCAGAGGACACAACCTTCCACCAGAGCCTCAGGAACATGATGGTGAAAGGGACCTGCATCACTAAGTATAGGGGTGTTGTCCTCTGCAGGCTGCGGGTGATGGTAATAAAGATGGTCCCAGAGTTGCATTTATCCATATCCCTGGGGAGAGTGTGGCCCTGAAGAGACAGAGAAGAAGTGGTGGCAGTGACCTGAAAAAGCAGAGGGCATGGTTACTATGGCAACTTCAGAGTAGCAGCCAGGAGGACTCAAGTTGCAGGGAATGTGGGGAAGGTTAATAGAGGGTGGTGTCCCAGGGTTAGGACAGGCAGCCAACAAGGGCGCTGCTTGATATCTATGATAGGAATGAAAGAATTGAGGAGCAGGAGGGTGAAGGTGTTTGACCCAATACAAAGTCATGATCCCATCCTCAATGCCTAGACCTCAGCCAAGATTCAGATTCAGATCTCAGTGACAGAGGAGGAGTCCATATCCCTAGGAGGAAGACCCTGCAACCCTGTGGAAGTATATGCTGGCACAATTCCCTCAATCATTTGGCAAAGGAACCTATAGACATTTACTTGGGTGGTTGTACACTGGGGAAAGGAAACACGCAGAACTGGAGGGATTATTGACACTGGGTGTGAGCTGACATTGATGCCCAGATGCCCACAGCACTCATGTCTCCCATCACAGTGGGGCTTATGGAGGCCAGGGAGTAAACCTGGACAAATTATGGCCCACAATGGGACCACTGGGCCAACAGACCCAACGCTGGATATCTTTCAATTCCCTGAGTGCATGATTGACACTGCTGCACTGCTAAGTGGAGTCACCCCCACACTGGGTCCCTAGTCTGTGGAGTAAGGACTCTCATTGTGCTGAAAGCCAAACGGAAACCTCTGACACTGCCCACATCCTGGCCAAATCAAAAACCATAGTGTGTCCCAGGGTGGGTCTTGTGGAAGACACTGAAAGTATTATGGGGTCGCACCAACATTAGAGAGCTGAAGGATGTGGGGTGGTGTTGGGGCTGTCTATTGTCTCTATGTAATCCAGCAACCTGTCCCTGAGGGAAACTGGTAAGGTCTAAAGAATGAATGAGATTACTCCAGGTCTGGCCAAGTAGGAGTTATAATTGCAGCTTTTATGTTGTCTGGTTATCACTGGTAGAGCAGGTTAATAAAGCCCCGGGCACACAGTGTGCCGCTGTGGATTTGGTGAGTGCATTCCTTTCCACTCCAATTAGAAAGTGGATATGGGCTGGGCGCAGTAGCTCATGCCTGTAATCCCAGCTTTGGGAGGCCGAGGCCGGTGGATTACCTGAGGTCAGGAGTTCTAGACCATCCTGGCCAACATGGCAAAACCCCGTCTCTATTAAAAATACAAAAATTAGCCAGGCATCATGTCAGGTGCCTGTAATCCCAGCTACTCGGGGGGCCAAGGCAGGAGAATCACTTGAACACAGAAGGCAGAGGTTGCAGTGAGCCGAGATCACGCCATTGCACTCCAGCCTAGGGGACAAGAGCAAGACTTTGTCAAAAAAGAAAGGAAGGAAGGAAGGAAGGAAGGAAGGAAGAGGATATGGAGTGATTCACATTCATGTGGAATCAACGACACATTTATTTATTGTTTGCCTCAGGGCTATTGTAACACCTGTGCCCTCTATAGTATAGGCTTAAGACTGTACTGGACATACTGCATATCCTTTAGGATATTAAATCAGCACATTTCATTGACAACTTCATGTTGACTGGAGTAGATGAGCAGCAGGAAGAAAGTGCACTGTAGTCCTTTGCAAAACACACGCACCCCACAAGGTGAAGATAAACCTTATACAGCTTCAAAGGTGGGCACTGAAGTGAAGTTTTATGGGTGAACAAGTGCCAAGTGTTTAGGGGAATGCAGGTGTGTCCCCTCCAAGGTAAAAGAAAAACTGTTGCATCTTGCATCCTCACCAGAAGCAAGGAAGCACACTGCTTGGTGAGCCTCTTTGAATTATAACAACACCACATTCCACATCTAGACATTTTGCTTTGGCCCACAGTCTAGGTGACATAGGAGGATGCCAGCTTCAAGTGGGGCCTACACAGGAAAGGACCCTGCAGCAGATCCAGGCCATGGTACAAGCAGCCACCATCCCTCAGACCCCTGGGGCTGGTGGTGCCAGTGGTGGGGAAAGACACAGGATGGAGCTGAACCAAGCACCAGTGGGAGAGTCACAGTGGAGGGCCTGGGATTCTGGAGTAAGATCATGTCATCCACAGCAGAGACACATGCCCCCTGTTAGAAGCAACTTTTAGTGTTCCTTGTCCTGATTCAATAGAATGTTTGACCACGGGATACCAAGCAACTACGGGGTTCCAAGTGCCTGTGTGACCCACAAAGTCATAGATGGTACAGGCCCAACAGCATTCATCATCAGGTGAAAACAGTCCACCTGGGTTGAGCTTGAATCCCTTGCTGACACCCACAGAAAACACCCAAGTCTGAAGTGGCACTGAACTACCAAACAGACAAATGGCAGTTAGCCAGCTTTCACCATGGGTCAGCCCACGCCTGGTAGGATGAGTGCATGAATGGAGCAACCACAGTGGCAGGCATGAGGCTCCGTAAGGGGCCAGCAGCACTGACTTCCCCACACCAAGGCAGATCCAGCTGCTGCCACCTCTGAATGTCCAACTCATCAGCAATTGAGGCCCATGATGTGCCCTAGTGGGGCACTATTTCTTTACATGACTACCCACTAAGTAACAAGTTGACTACATTTAGCTACTTCCAACCTGGAAGGGCCAGAGTTTCATCTTCACAGGGTTAGGTACCGATTCTATGGGTGGGTTTTCCTGTCCTGCTCTCAGACACAGCCAGCACCACTCTCTGGGTGCTGTTGACATTCCTGGTCTGCAGGCTAGGCAGTGCTCCTAGCCCATTATCTGCCTGAAGGACCCACTTTGCAGGGAAAGTTTCAGTGTTTCCACGGCTGTGGGTTCCACTAATCCTATCACCATCTGCACTACCCAGGAGCTGCCAGCCACAAGGAAGGCTGGACAGGTCTTCTACAGGCACAACTCAGTGCCAGCCTGGAGGAAGCACTCTGAGGGGTGGGTGCCATCTTTCAGGACACAGTGCATTGTTTGAATCAGAGACGTCTCTAGAGTTCTGTGTTCTCAATAGGAAGAACATGTGTGTCCAGAAATCAAAAGGCGGAAGCAGGTTTGGCTCCATGTCCAATCTCTTAGATTCACTCAATGGGGTATTTCGCATATTTTATCTCCCAACACTGGGCTGTGCAGGATACGAGGTTCTGGTTTCCAAAGGAGTGTACCCCTAAAAGGAGACAAAAGACAGCCCACTGAACTACACATTACTTTAGTCACCAGAGAAGTTTGGACAGTGTGTGCCCAGATACCACTTGGTGAGAAGAAGATTCTCCTCCTCTCCAGGCCCAGGTAATAAATAGATCCTCATCCCCAGGAGAAGGCATGGCTGTTTCACACAAGGGTAGAAGTGTGTGTGGAAACCAGAGATCCACCTGGGAGCCTTCTGGTTTCCCTTGCCCCATTGTAAGTGTGAGCAGAATCATCCAGCAATTCAGCCTGAGAGGATTTGATTTCCAAGGGCCCAGACCCGTCAGGGCAGAAGGTTTGAGTCACACTTGTGGGCAATCTCCCAAGGCCCTGCTCTTGTGTTCTGACATCCTCAGTACATTGGTGCTGAGGCCCTGCTTCCCATGGGCTGTTCCCAACGACTGATGGGTCATACCAGTGACACTAAGGCAGGACATTCCTAGGAGACAGGGGACTCCTCTGATGGCCAATTGTAGCTCGAGGGCTCCTCTATGGCCTTGCTCAGTGAAGTCCTCAGATGATGCAGGCCTAGGCTGACAACTGGACTGCAACCTTGTGAGAGGCCCTGAGCCAGAAGCACTCAGGGAAACCTCTCCTGGATTTCTGATCATTGGAAACTGTGGGAGATGAGGAATATTTGTTGTTCTGAGCTGCTAAGTTTTACATAATTTGTTATGCATAGTAAATAACTAATACATTTTCACAAGACAGGATGCATTATTACATGTTAATTTGCATTTGCTCTAAATTTATCATCATCATTATTATTATTTTTGAGACAGGGTCTCACTCTGTCACCCAGGCTGGAGTGCAGTGGCATGATCACCATGCACTGCAGTGTTGACCTCCTGGGCTCAAGGGATCCTCTGACCTTAGCCTCCTGAGTAGCTGGGACTATAGTCATGAACCACCATGCCAGGCTAATTTTCTAGTTTTTTTGTAGAGATGAGAGTTTCACCATGTTGCCCAGGCTGATCTTGAACTTCTGGAGTCAACAAGTCTGCCTTCCTCTGCCTTCCATAGTGCTAGGATGGCAGGCGTGAGCCACCACCCCTGCCTAACTTAATTATAAGACATTAAACATGTAACTTAGTTTTAAAAGGAAAGGAGAAGTTCCATGGCTGAAGAGGATGTATTTTATTATCGTTCACAATGATCACTTTACTTGAACTTCAATTTCCAACTGTGTCCCAATTAAACACAAAAGGAAGATTCATCCCTTGCTAGAGTGATTCTATGATGGCCCCAACAACCACCTCCTGGTCATTCACCTTCCCCCAGTTATTCAACCAACTCTAATGTAGGTGCTGCTGTGAAGGAATTTAGCAGACATAATAAAGGGGCTCAATTAGTTGACTTCAGGCTGGGTTTATGCTGCTTGGACTGTCCTAATCAGGAGAGTCCTTGAAAGGACTGGGTTCTTCCTGAGCATAGAGATTCACAGTGTGAGAGGGATTCAGCATGAGGGGTTTCCTCCACTGTGGGCTTTGAAAATGAAGGGGCTGTGTAGGAAACAACACTGGTGGGCACCAGGAATTGAGTACAGCCCTCCCTGTTCTCTACATTGACAGCCAGCAAGGAACAGGGACCTCAGTCTTAAAACTGCAAGAAAGCACATTCTGCCACCTCTGTATAAGCCTAAAGGAGGATTCAAAATGAAGACTCAGATTTGGGAAGCCTGGAACAGAGATTCCATCTACATCATGCCCAGATTTCTGACTAAGGTACTATAAACAGATAAATGGGTGTTTTTTGGCCAGGCGTGGTGGTGCACTCCTGTAATCCTAACATTTGAGGAGTTGACACAGGAGGATCACTTGCAGCCAGGAGTGTGAGACCAGCCCAGGTAATACAGTGAGACACTCGTCTCTACACTTTTTTTTTTAATTAGCTGGGTGTGGTGGCACTTGTCTGCAGTCCTGTCTACTCTGAAGACTGAGGCAGGAGGATTCCTTGAGCCCAGGAGTTTGAGGCTGCAGTGAGCCATGATCATGTGACTGCACTTCACGCTGGATGACAGTTTTTAGAGACTCTGTCTCTAAAAACAAATAAATGAATACAATAAATAAAAACAAATAAATAAATACAATAAATGGGTGTTGTTTAAAGCCAATGTTTGTGATAATTTTTTACACAGTCTTATAAAATTCATACACAGGCTCAACAGACTAATGGAATGAACTGATGAATTGATATATACACTAGTTACATAAAATAAAATCTTTCTGAACTTTTTCAGTGTTTTGCATTTTATAATTATCTGTGATGCAATTTAATATACTCATATTTCATTCATTCAGTCAACAAAAATTAATTTAGTCCCTACAATGAACCAGGTATCCCCTCATATGCTCACGTGCCTGACATTCTAGAAGCTTCACAAGACCAAGGTGGAGCCACTGGAGTGTTTTAGGTGGAGAAATGACACACTTTGACTCACATTAGCAGGACCACTGTGGAGAGAACAGTCACGTAGCAGGTAACGGGAGAGTGCCAGTGTCACAATTCAGGAGTGACAGTGTGATGGGGACTAAGGGGAGAGGAGGGGCTGAGTGATAAGAGGGACGGAGGGAAGGGCTGGAGAAGCAGTAGGTGAGGAAAAGGAGTAGAGGGATAGAATTCAAAAGCAGCACAACTCTTAGGTTTGAACACTTTTTTTAATGGTATTTCAATAGATCCATCTACAGAGCCTCGCAGGGTGTTACTTGCAGTTGGCCTTTAATACCTTAAGTGGGTCTGCTTAAAAACTAATTGTTTTTATGTTAATCAGGTTTTAAAAATACTAAGTGTTCCTAAGAAATATACACACCACTTAGATGTGGATACTTCCTAAAAACAGGCAGTGCATGAGCACTGGTGATGGACATTGTGACTGCATCGAGCGCTTGCAACTTTGAGGTGAATGAAGTCTGTACTGACTCCTGGTTGCAACACATAGGAACACAGTGGCTACTTTGTATTGAGGAGATGTCCTGGACTCACAGAAACTCAGGGCTATGGAATAAAGGTAAATTTAAAACACCACAAGCGGGAGTCACAGATACCTTGTTTGCAAAAGTGAAACTTAGGAGCTTTGTGAGTCCTGTTGTAATGCTTTTAGACACTTTATATATCAAGGGGCCAAAGTCACATGTTTTTACCGATTAGATTCCTGATCATTCAGGGGTTACCAAGATTCTGCTACCCACTGTAGTTAATACACAAAAAGCAAACTGGTCTCTATACTATCTCATGCACCCAGGCACAACTTTTCCAGATTTAAAGAAAAAGAAAAAAGAAATAAAAGAAAAAAACCTCTGTCTCTACACCTCCATTCCCAGGGAGAGCTCCCTCTCTGGCACCAAGCTCCCTGGGGTGAGTTTTCTTTTTGAAGAGTCCAGGGGAACAGGTAAGCAGTGGGGAAGCAGGGAGTCCATTTCAGGGACAGGAATTCCCGGATGAAAAGTGAAAGGAGAGGGACGGGGCCCAAGCTGAGGGTTTCTTCCTGGTTTCTCGGACAGCTCCTGGACCAAGACTCAGGGAACATTGAGACAGAGCGTTTGTCACAGGAGGAGCGGGGTCAGGGCGAAGTCCCAGAGCCCCAGGCATGGCTCTCAGGGTCTCAGGCCCCGAAGGCGGTGCATGGGCTGGGGAGGTGCAGCATTGGGGATTCCCCATCTCCGCAGAGTTTCTCTTCTCCCTCTCCCAGCCTGCGACGGGTCCTTCTTCCTGGACACTCACGACGCGGACCCAGTTCTCACTCCCACTGAGTGTCGGGTTTCTAGGGAAGCCAATCAGCGTCGCGCGGCCCCGGTTCTAAAGTCCCCACGCACCCACCGGGACTCGGAGTCTCCCCAGACGCCGACGATGGGGTCATGGCGCCCCGAACCCTCCTCCTGCTGCTCTCGGGGACCCTGGCCCTGGCCGAGACCTGGGCGGGTGAGTGCGGGGTCAGGAGGGAAACGGCCTCTGCCGTGAGGAGCGAAAGGTCCACCTGGCTGGGGCGCAGGACCCGGGGAGCCGCGCCGGGAGGAGGGTCGGGCGGGTCTCAGCCCCTCCTCGCCCCCAGGCTCCCACTCCATGAGGTATTTCAGCACCGCCGTTTCCTGGCCGGGCCGCGGGGAGCCCAGCTTCATTGCCGTGGGCTACGTGGACGACACGCAGTTCGTGCGGGTCGACAGTGACGCCGTGAGTCTGAGGATGAAGACGCGGGCGCGGTGGGTGGAGCAGGAGGGGCCGGAGTATTGGGACCTACAGACACTGGGCGCCAAGGCCCAGGCACAGACTGACCGAGTGAACCTGCGGACCCTGCTCCGCTACTACAACCAGAGCGAGGCGGGTGAGTGACCCCGGCCCGGGGCGCAGATCACTTACTCCCCGCTCCATGCCTCACGGACGGCCCTGGTCCCCTGAGTCTCCGGGTCCAAGATCGACCCCGAGGCTGCGGGACCTGCAGAGATCCTCGACCCGGGAGAGCCCCAGGCGCCTTTACCTGGTTTCATCTTCAGTTGAGGCCAAAATCTCCGCAGGTTGCTAGGGGCCGGGCCAGGGCTCGGTGGGCGGGGCTGACCGCGGGAACTGGGCCAGGGTATCACATCCTCCAGGGAATGTTTGGCTGCGACCTGGGGCCCGACGGGCGTCTCCTCCGCGGGTATGAGCAGTATGCCTACGACGGCAAGGATTACATCGCCCTGAACGAGGACCTGCGCTCCTGGACCGCCGCGGATACCGCGGCTCAGATTACCCAGCGCAAGTATGAGGCGGCCAATGTGGCTGAGCAAAGGAGAGCCTACCTGGAGGGCACCTGCATGGAGTGGCTCCGCAGACACCTGGAGAACGGGAAGGAGACGCTGCAGCGCGCGGGTACCAGGGGCCATGGGGAGCCTGCTCGATCTCCTGTAGATCTCCCGGGCTGGCCTCGCACAAGGAGGGGAAGAAAATGGAAACACCACCAGAATATCGCCCTCCCTCCTGTCCTGACGGAGAGGAATCCTCCTGGGTTTCCAGATCCTGTATCAGAGATTGACTCTGAGGGCCCACCCTGCTCTTCCTGGGACAATTAAGGGATGAAGTCTCTGAGGGAGTGGAGGGGAAGACAATCCCTGGAAGACTGATCCGCGGTCCCCTTTCACCCCACAGCAACCTTGGGCACCAGGACTTTTCCTCCCGGGCCTTGTTCTCTGCCTCACACTCAATGTGTCGGAGTCTGACTCCAGCTCCTCTGAGTCCCTTGGCCTCCACTCAGATCAGGACCAGAAGTCCCTGCTACCCTGCTCAGAGACTAGAACTTTCCAAGGAATAGGAGATTATCCCAGGCGCCTGTGTCCAGGCTGGTGTCTGGGCTCTGTGCTCCCTTCCCCACCCCAGGTGTCCTATTCATCAGGATGGTCACATGGGCGCTGCTGGGGTGTCCCATGAGGAATGCAAAGTGCCTGAGTTTTCCGACTCTTCCTTTCAGACCCCCCCCAAGACACACGTGACCCACCCCCCTCTCTGAACATGAGGCATAACGAGGTCCTGGGTTCTGGGCTTCTACCCTGCGGAGATCACATTGACCTGGCAGCGGGATGGGGAGGACCAGACCCAGGACATGGAGCTCGTGGAGACCAGGCCCACAGGGGATGGAACCTTCCAGAAGTGGGCGGTTGTGGTAGTGCCTTCTGGAGAGGAACAGAGATACACATGCCATGTGCAGCACAAGGGGCTGCCCAAGCCCCTCATCCTGAGATGGGGTAAGGAGAGAGATGGGGGCGGCCATGTCTCTTAGGGAAAGCAGGAGCCCCTCTGGAGACCTTTAGCAGGGTCGGGGCTGGGTCCTGGAGGTCAGAACCCTCACATTCCCCTCCTTTCCCAGAGCCCTCTCCCCAGCCCACCATCCCCATTGTGGGTATCATTGCTGGCCTGGTTCTCCTTGGAGCTGTGGTCACTGGAGCTGTGGTCACTGCTGTGATGTGGAGGAAGAAGAGCTCAGGTGGGGAAGGGGTGAGGAGTCGGGTTTGAGTTTTCTTGTCCCACTGGGGGTTTCAAGCTCCAGGTAGAAATGTGTTCTGCCTGGTTACCGGGAAGCACCATCCACATTCATGGGCCTACCCAGCCTGGGCCCTGTGTGCCAGCACTTACTCTTTTGTAAGCACCTGTGACAATGAAGGACAGATTTCTCACCTTGATGATTGTAGTGATGGGGATCTGACCCCAGTAATCACAGGTCAGGGGAAGGTCCCTGCTGAGGACAGACCTTAGGAGGGCAGTTGGTCCAGGACCCACATCTGCTTTCCTTGTTTTTCCTGATCCTGCCCTTGGTTTGCAGTCACACATTTCTGGAAACTTCTCGAGGTTCCAAGACTAGGAGGTTCCTCTAGGACCTCATGGCCCTGCTACCTTCCTGGCCTCTCACAGGACGTTTTCTTCCCGCAGATAGAAAAGGAGGGAGCTACTCTCAGGCTGCAAGTAAGTATGAAGGAGGCTGATCCCTGAGATCCTTGGGATATTGTGGTTGGGAGCCCATGGGGGAGCTCACCCACCCCACAATTCCTCCTCTAGCCACATCTCCTGTGGGATCTGACCAGGTTCTGTTTTTGTTCTACCCCAGGCAGCCAAAGTGCCCAGGGCTCTGATGTGTCTCTCACGGCTTGTAAAGGTGAGACCCTGGGGAGGCTGATGTGTGTGGGTTGTTGGGGTAACAGTGGATATAGCTGTGCTATGGGGTTTCTTTGACTTGGATGTATTCAGCACATGATGGGCTGTTGAAGGTGTGACCCCTCACTGTGAGTGATATGAATTTGTTCATGAATATTTTTTCTATAGTGTGAGACAGCTGCCTTGTGTGGGACTGAGAGGCAAGATTTGTTCATGCCTTCCCTTTGTGACTTCAAGAACCCTGACTTCTCTTTCTGCAAAGGCATCTGAATGTGTCTGTGTCCCTATAGGCATAATGTGAGGTGGTGGGGAGACCAGCCCACACCCGTGTCCACCATGACCCTGTTCCCCACACTGACCTACATTCCTTCCCCGATCACCTTTCCTGTTCCAGAGAAGTGGTGCTGGGATGTCTCCATCTCTGTCTCAACTTCATGGTGCACTGAGCTGTAACTTCTTACTTCCCTATTAAAATTAGAATCTGAGTATAAATTTACTTTTTTCAAATTATTTCCATGACGGGTTGATGGGTTAATTAAAGGAGAAGATTCCTAAAATTTGAGAGACAAAATAAATGGAAGACATGAGAACCTTCCAGAGTCCACGTGTTTCTTGTGCTGATTTGTTGCAGGGGAGGAGAGTAGATGGGGCTGTGCCCAGTGTGTGCTCAGGCCACCATGGGCTTTATGTGGTCACAGCTCACCTGGGTCATCTTTGCTGCTCCACTGTCCTTGGCCCTTCAGTAGAACCTTGTCCCACCAGGACCTGTGATCACAGGGACTTGGATGTCACCTAGGGTGGTCCCTACACATCGAAGTCCTTCCGGTATGAAGAGACAAATTTTCAGTCCCCTGTATCTTTTGCCCTCCTTCCAGGTCTCTTTCCTGGATTGTATTTTCCATCTTTTTCCCCAGCCTTCTTAAAGGAAGCAGATTCTGAAATTTGCAGAGAGGAGGGGTCCCATAGTTTCTCATCGTAGGTAACTTTCTGTTGGAACTCCTCTTCTGCTTTCCTACTCTTCTTCCTGCCTGAGTTGTAGTAATCCCAGTGCTGGCTCCAATCCAAACTCATGCATTTATAAAGCAGAGTCTGATTTAGATTTATATGGGGTTGGAAAATTGGACCCACAAGGCTAGGATTATCTTTCCTGAACAGAAAAATATGGCTGTGCGCTGCAGTGTGCAGGAGGGTTGGTGTGGGAGGAGGTGGGAAGGACACACAAGCAGCCCTGGTGAGAAAAGCACTGGCAGCACTGATGTTGGTGTGAGATGATGTTGTTCTTTAGCTACGTTAATAAAGATATTGCCTTTAGAATACAGAGGTGCTCTACAGTGATCATTCATTCAACTGACATTTGTTGTCTGCTAGGTATATGACTGTTTCTGCATTTAGAAAACATCATTAAAGTAAAAACAGAAAAATTTCTGGCCTTGTGGTGTATACGTTCTAGATGCAAGCTTGTCCAACCTGCAGCTCTCGGGCTGCGTGTGGCCCGGGACAGCTTTGAATGTAAGAAGTTTTTTTGCTTATCTGTGGTAGCAAATATCATGAAAATTATGCACGCACATGTTTTTCTTTTTTCTATTCTTTCTGCTCATCAGCTGTCATTAGTGTATTTTATGTGTGGCTCAAGACAATGCTTATTCTTCCCAACTGGCCCAGGGAAGCCAAAAAATTGGACACCTCTGTAGGCAGATGATAGATATAGTATAAGCAGAGTAGGAACAGAAAATGCTTGAGTTAGAAGGTGGCAAGTGCTGTGTGGCAGGTGATCCAGAGGGTGGGCTGTGGGGACAGGAAGGTGGCTGTTGTGCTGGGTGGTCAGCATGGGCCTTGTTGCAAATGTGACCTTGGAGTAAAGATTTGAGGGATGTGAGGAGTTGTCTACAAGGATGTCTGGGAAAGTTCTTTTCAGGCAGGGGAACCTTCAGTGCAGATGCACTAGGGCAGGAAATTGTCTGTGTTCCTGGAAGGAGGAAGAGGCCAGAAGGGCTGGACACAGAGAAACTGAAGTGAGGTCAAAGGTGTGGCTAGAGCAGGTAGCCCTGAAGGGTGTGGGAAGGGTGTTGACCTTTGCTCTGAATGACATGGGGAGGACAGTTTTGAAAAGTGGGACATGGTAGGGCTCATCCTTTGAAAGCTTCTTTCTGGCTGCTGTGCTGAGAACAGAATTGAGAGGTGGGGAACCAGTGATGCAGTGGGGAAAATGGTGGGAAAGGAGTACAGTATTCTAGGATGGACACGTTGCTTACCTTGACTAGGGTGTGAGCAGGGGAAATAGTGAGAAGTGAAGGGATTCTGGATGAATTTGAAGATGGACTCACAGCACTTGCTAATGGATGTGAGAAGAAGAATCAAGGACACCCACAGTATTGGACTGAGTGAGCAGAAGGGTGGAGCTGCTGTCAGTGGAGATAGGGAGACTCTGGCAGGAGTACACAGAGGAGAGGGCATCGCAGGCATTCAATGGAGGAGACATCTATGAGGAATGCAGGTGAGGGGCCCAGATGCCTCTGCAGCTACAGATTCATCATCCAATCACTCTCCTACTCCCACCACCCCTGTGTCTCAGAGCCAGAGCACTGATTCTCCCCTGGGCTGTGGGCACAGGTAGGTGAAAGTCAGGGAAGTTGTGGTCTGCTATTGGTTATAATAAGTCACAGATCATTATGCTTTCTCAGATAATTAAAGAAATAATAAGAGAATGTGTAATTAGGACACTTAGAAGACTACAATAATGCAAAGGTTTTTATTCATCTAAAGAAGGTAACATAAGAAAAATAGTTGAGCAAGAAAGAGATAATATTAGAAGGCAGCAAATGACAATGGACAGACTTAAACCCAATGAGGTCAATAATTACATTAAACATAATGGACTCAGACACTCCAATTACAAGACAAATAGTGCAGGGGGGTAAAAATAAATAACTAAATAAATAATCATGGGCTGTTTACAAAAGACATAATTTCAGTAGAAGGTAAAGAAAAGTTGAAAGTAAAAGGATAGAGAATACCAGACAAACATTCATGAAAGACCACATGGAGACGCCATTTAGAAAAATTACAGGATATGAGTCTCCTGAGACATAGAGTACACGTAGACAGCTCACAAGGTCTTTTTCCCTTTTTTCAGAGACAGGGTCTGTTGCCCAGGTTGAAATGCAATGGTGATATCATACCTTACTGTAACCTCAAACTCCTGGGCTGGAGCAATTCTCCTGCCTCAGCCTTCCGAGTAGCTAGGACCACAAGCCTGTGCCGCCACACCTGGCTATAATGTCTCATTTTCTCATTTGCTGTGGTGTGAACAAGGAAACAATACCATGCCATGTATTTGACTTGCAGCAGGTACACAACAAATGTCAGGTGAATTAAGAAATAAAACCACTTAGTAATCCAAGCCATATCCACATTTACATCTTACAGATGAGGAGCAACATCCCAGACAAGTAAAGTAAAATAAATTGATTTACATCATCCAGAGCAGAATCGAGAACACATTCCCTGTGCTAAAGGAATCAGAGCTCTACTAGGGGTCATAGCAGATATCATGCAAGTCACATATGTTAATTACTAGAACAGGAATTGATACATTTCAAGATATACTAAACAAAGGGTTTGGAAGGATTAACTGAATGCAGAAATAGAGGAAGAAAATGGATTTGTTTAAAAGATGGTTAGAATCTTTAAAGAAACAACATTTTTTTAAAGTGGCCTTATGTGGACCAAAGCAGAGATGAACTCAAGTGTCAGGTGGGAAAATGCCTAAGTGCAGCTTCTAGACCCAAGGGAGACCTAAAAATCCTGGGACATTTTCGGTTGTCACATGGGGATTGGTGGGAGGGGGTGAGTGGGGTGTTGCTGGCAAACCTCCCACAATGCACAGGACAGACCACTCCACAAGATTCTCTGTCCCAAATTGTTAATAGTGCTGCTGTTGAGAAACCCGCCCCAGAGGTAAATGCTGTAATGTCCTCACCATTTCACAGATTAAGAAACTGAGGCACCAGGGGGAGAAGTGTCAGTAAGACCTGAGCTGCAGGTTGAATCCAGGCCACTTGGCTACAGGGTCTTGGCTCCCCTGGTTAAGTCAGGGACCCAGTAGCCGACCACAAACAATCCCAGCTGCACGGTGCCTTCATGGTCTGTGGGCGCCTTCATGGTCTGTGGCGCCCCCTGGTGTTGACACTGGGCCTGTGGCCAAATGAGGCTTGAGGGAAAAGGAAAAAACAGGTTTGGGTAGGGGGATACTCTTTCAGGCTCTCCAGATTTCCAGCCACGACTTACGCTCAGAAAAAATAATGTCCACCTTAATTATCTCTCCAACCCTGTTTTTCCCTGTCCCGGCTAGTTCCCTCCCTTGACTCCATCAACATCGGCACCTGCCAGACGCCCACCACCCACCATGTAAGGAGTGAAAAGGCCCCAGGACTAAATGACAAGACGAGGTTCCACCCCAGCCATCCCTCCCCTCCTAGAGCTCTAGCTCTGTGCCTTTAGTGCTTAGGCTCTTAACCTGGGGTCCAGGAACCCACTTTCCTATGACACTGCGTGAAGAAGTGATGTTACACGCACACATGACTTCACTACAGGACATTGGATATTAATATTCATCAGATCAGCTAGAGGCCCAAGATACCACTCTTCTCCCAACAGTTTGTGATCCTCTGAATTAAAGAAAGGGTAGGGATTGAGGGAGGCCCTAACTCCAAATCTTCTACCACTTCTAGCGAAGTGCTGAGAAGAAGTGCAAGGTACTCAACCTGCTCTGGGGATACAGCAGGAAAGCAGAGTGTTTACGGATTTCACATTCCATCAAAGAAAATCCATTTTGACAAAATATCCAAGTCACTTTTCTAAGCCCCAGGCAGCAGTTCAAACAAATAACATCAAAAAAAACAAAATCTTGGCCCAGGTGAAATCATTGAAGCTATAAAACTTTGTGAGACCTGTAGTTAGAGAGAAGGACAATTCAGTTTAGGGCTGCAGCAGAAAATTCCTATATCATATTGTGTTCTTCTTCATCATGAAGGTCCCCTGAAGGGACCTTCTCCCTTCAGCAGTGCATAGTGAGGCCATTTCCGTGCAAAAAGATAGAATCTCCTGGGATTCCTGATGTTTACACTTACTACTCACTCCTTCACTTTGTAGATGCCAACTTCACATTAGACATCTTTCAGTTAATTTCCTTACTCTGTCTAAGCAGAATATTTAAACTTCTTTCTGAAGCAGAAAACCAGGGACTGGTTATGTGAGCTATCACCCCACTCTGTGGCTCTCTTAAGCAATAAGCATAAGAGATTGTGGGCCAACAGAATTTGTAGCAAGGTAAACATAACCCTTCATTTCAGCCTATGTTTCAGCTTGTCTAGTGATGTTCCAGTCTTGCTCCAGTCTTAACATTTTAAAATTTATAATTTTACTTGAATATGATTTTATAAGAAGTCATATATATTCATTTCTGTTGAGTCTGTCAGTGAAAGCCTTCTCAAAACAACTGTGAAGTAAAGACAGGTAAATAAATGCATGGTGCTCCCATGTATTAATGCTCACTGCATCTTACAAATGTGTCAGCCCCACTGCAACAGATGGTGCATCAACAAATGGTGCTGGAAACCTGGATATCAACATGCAAAAGAATGATGCTGGAAAAAATTCATGTCCTTCCATTACACCCTTTTCAAAAATTAAGTCAGAATGACTCAAAGAACTAATCTTAAGAATTGAACCTGTAAAACCCTCAAGAAAATACTGAGGAAAATCTTATGGACATTAGAATTGGTAGTGGTTTCTTGGCTGGTGACCAATAGTACAAGTAATATAAGAAAAATGACAAATTAGAATGCATCAAAATTTAAAAACTTTTTTGCATCAAAGGACACTATTAAGAGAATCAAAAGAAAATGCACAGACTAGGAGGAAATATTTGCCAATCACATATCTGATAAAGAATTAATATCCAGAATATGTAAAGAACTACAATTCAACAATAGCAAAACAATCTCATTCAAAAATAAGAAAAAGACATGAATAGACAATTCTCCAAAGAAGATATACAATAAGGACATAAAAATAAGGAATGCTGGTCAGGCATGGTGGTTCATGCCTGTAATCCCAGTACTTTGGGAGGCCGAGGTGGGCGGATCACGAGGTCAAGAGATCAAGACCATCCCGGCCAACATGGTGAAACCCCGTCTGTACCAAAAAAATACAAATATTAGTTGGGCATGGTGGCAGGTACCTGTAGTCCCAGCTACTCAGGAGGCTGAGGTAGGAGAATCACTTGAACCTGGGAAGTGGAGGTTACAGCGAGCCGAGATTGTGCCACTGCACTCCAGCCTGGCAACAGAGCAAGACTCTGTTTCACAAAAAAAAAAAAAAAAGGAATGCCAATAAGGACATAAAAATATGGTAAACTTCACTAGGCCAAGTGTTGGTGAAGATATGGAGAAACTGGAACACTTGTACACTGCTGGTGAGAGTATACAGTGGTGCAGCCACCATGGAAAACAGAATAGTGATTCCTCAAGAAAGTAAAAATAGAATTACTATATGAGCCAACAATTCCACTTTTGGGCATACCCAAAAGAACTGAAAGCAGGAACTCACCCAGATATGTGTACACTCAGGCCCATAGCAGCACTATACCCAATATCCAAAAGGTGGAAGCAACCGAGTGTCCATCAGAGGATGACTGGATAAACAACCCACGGTGCACATAAGCATGGAATATTATTCAGCCTTAAAAGTGAATGAAATTCTAATTGGATGAGCCTTGAAAACACTATAAGTGAAATAAGCCAGAAATAAAAACAAATATGATATTTTACTTATATAAAGTAGCTAGAATAAGCAAATTCATAGAAACAGAAAATAGAATAGAGATTACCAGGGGCTGGGGGTAGGGAGAATGGGCAGTTATGGTTTAATGGGTACAGTTTCTGTTTGGGATGATGAAAATGTTCTGGAAATGGATATTGGCGGTGGTTACACAACACTGTAAATGTGCTTACTGCCACCAAATTGTACACTGAAAAAATGGTTAGAAGGTAAATTATATAGTATGCATGTTTTACCACAATTTACAAAAAATATATCAACACTAAATCCAATCACAGCTCTCATCGAGTTTTTTTATACTGGTGTTTCAACAAGCACATTGCCGCTGTGGAGGGGAGGGGTCCTTGGAGTTCTTATGCCACCATGTTCTTTGGTGTCACTTCTCAGCACAACTTTGGTGGTCAGAGCACAACTTGGTTTTATACATTTTAAGGGGACATGAGACAGTGATCAACATATGTAAGCTAAAGATTGATTCCGTCTGGAAAGGCGGGACAACTCGAAGCAAGGAGGGGGCTTCCAGGTCACAGATAGATGAGAGACAAATGGTTGCATTCTTTTGAGTTTCCGATTAGCCTTTCCAAATGAGGGAATCAGACATGTGTTTATCTCAGTGAGCAGAGGGGCGACTCTGAACAGATGGGAGGCAGGTTTACCCTAAGCAGTTCCCAGCTTGAATTTTCCCTTTAGCTTAGTAATTTTGGGGCCCCAAGATTTTATTTTCCTTTTACAGAACCATCAATACTTACAGAAAAAAAAAAACCCTGAATGTACACAAACCTCTATACCAAACTACCAATTTACAGAAAATACAGGTAATAGAAATACATTAAACCACACCTTGGCGTGCAATCCACAAAATGCAAACAATAGGAAACCTTACCATACAATATAAATTTCAAGGAGAAACCTATGGAACAAATGAGAACAAAAAACATATTTTTAAAGGTAAAACTAAACTATAATTTTGGATGATGAAAATATAAAGTCCAGCATAGGGAAGCAGTTCCTTTAGAATTTTAGTCACAATTAATGGAAGGGTACTGAAACCTGCTATTTCCCAGTTGAATAACAGGTCCTGGGGATATAGAAGGTCTTGCCACAAGTTGAATCCATAACTGCTGCTTTCCTGGTACCAGGGAGAACAGGTTTCCTATCAAGGACTGGGTAGGAGTGTTTGCCAGGCCTGTATCAGCTATTGCCCAAGTTTCCACTTTACAAAAGTGCCATGCATACATGCAACAACATAGTGCCTTCTCCATGCATCCCTTAAGAGATGAACTGCATGCTATCTTAGGGCCAGTACATTATGAGTCCAGTGCTGCCCCTATTGTGGAGCCCTCACAGGAGATGTCTCCAATGGTACATGAAGGCATGGCCCTCATTCCTGATAATGCTTGGTACTTAGATGCATTGAGCCAAGGTAACCCTGTGTATGGACAGTAGTAGCTGCACAACCACAGACAGTATCTGGTTTGAGATGGGAATGCAACAGAGCAGTCAATGGGCAGAACTCCAAGCTACATGGTTGGTTTGTACCCGTGAGCCACCACCTATAGTTCTCTGTACAGACAGTCTGGCAGTACTTAAGGGTCTTACAATTTGGCTTGCCCAAAGGGCCTGAGATGATTGGTATATAATTTAAAAATCCTTATGGGGAGCTGATATGTGGAAAGACATTTGGAAAAGTCTACAGGAACCCACTGTGGACCTAATTGCTTCAGCACACTGGTCAGATTCACCTCCCAGAAACATGGAGGCAGACATCCTAGCAAAAATTAGAATACTGAGCTAGTTGATTAGGTACATATCACAGTGGGGATTTCAGTGCATGAATGGGCTGCCAAATAGCAAAGGGAGCAGGATTGGCTCTCTGCTATGCAGATTTAGTGGTGGCGGTAGCAAACTGCTTAATTTGTTCCCGTCTGTACCTCTGCCACATCCCACATACACCTGGACATATACATAAGACAGCCACCCCTGTGACAGACTGGTAGATAGACTACATCAGACCCTTGCCAGTAATCTTGAGACGAAAGTATGCACTAACATGTGTATACACTGCCATGGGATTGTTGCAAGCTTTCCCTTGTAAGAGCAAACCAAACAGCCACCATCAGGGGCTTGGAGCAACTCAGTGTCATGTAAGGATACCCTCCACATATTGATAGCAATCGAGGCATGCATTTCACCAGACACGGTGTCCAAGACTGGATGCATGAAAGGGACATAGACTGGGTATTTCACTTACTGTATACTCCCCCAAGCAACAGGGTTGATTGAAAGGAAAAATGGTATTTTGAAGGCACAGTTTTGAGCACTCTCAAAATCCAATATCTTTCATAGTTAGACAAAGATTTTGCCTCAAGCCATTAGAAACCTTAATTTAGTTGAGACAAATATGGTGCTGGCACCACACCAATGACTCAGGACCACCACAGAGATGGATCCATTAACCATAATAGTAAAGAAAGTCCAACCAGATGCATCTCTGACCTGAGCAGATAAAAGGCCAATGGCAAAGGTTATTTAGAACTCCTCAAGATCTTGAGCCAGGGAGGAGACACTTGAATGGGGGTTGGACTAGCAACTTCCCCTATGTTGGATAGAGCATTTCTTTCCAGACAGCAAGGAATTCCCTACCAACTAAAGTGGTCTCCATTGATCCTGCTGAAGTCTGGGCCAAAACACTCCACATACCAATAAACTGGAACACAGCCCCTTTTAAGAAGCACCCTGGCTGGCCATTTGACATGGTCCTTTGCTGCCCCTGTAACCTTACACATAATACCAGCGCCTTTGCCCCTCAGGCAACATGTTTGGTGTGTACTCCCAGCCCACAATCCTATGTTCCTAATCAACAGAGATGGAGCTACCAGTAATTCTGTTTAATGGGGAAGAACTGCCCACCAAATACCTACTAAACATTTTTAATTCCACCCATAGTCTTCTGTTCCTATTGTTGTTCTGCTCTATACCTCTTGGTTTGGTTCCTGAATAAACATGGTAAAGGGCATTTTTAATTCTGTGTCTTACACCTGGCATACATATCATCGCCTGTTGTTTGTGTTGTTGCTGTGGCCCCTGCTTAACAAGTAGAAAACAAATTGATAAAATGTGTCACTCACACCATCAAAATGTCACCCACAGCCCTCTCTGAAGGCTCAGGGACTATGGGGGAAATGTGAGTCCATGAGATTGTAAGAGCTGGATTAGAGGGCTGGGATGTGGAGAGAAAAGTGACTCCCTCTTGGATGCTAATTCTCTATGCTGACTTCTGATTAGCCCCAGTCCCAGGACTGACTCCTGATTCCCACTTTATTTACCATCCCTATTGTAAGAACATGTCAACCTTGATGTTATACAAATTCTAGGCTATGACACATTAGCATTCTTACCTGTTCTGGACAGTAGTAGCCTTTGTCTTGCACAGAGCATGTATACTCTTCCCCTGTGGTATATAAGCCCTGGGTGTGGGGGTAATAAGTGCAGAAACCTACCTGTCTTGCTGCCATCCAAGACCACGCTTCTGTCTGTAAGTTCCCCAATAAAACACTCTTTACTGACAACTAGATTTGTCTGTCTTGTTCCTTGGTTTATTGGCTCCTTTGGCATTTGGGGGGCACTTTGCATAGATGGCCCTTTCATGGAACAGAGGGTCTGTGTGGGGCTGGGAGCCCAAGTCAGCACTTGCAGTCAGAGCCTAGAACATGTGCTGAGGAGACAGAGCTAGACCTGTTAGCAGAGACAGACCTGTTAGCGGAGTGGATAGCTGGGCCAGCAGGTCTGAAGTAACGCTATGGAAGAGCAGGCCAGTAACAGCTGAAGAGCTTCAGAAACTCCCACTTCTAACAAGGTCACTTCCTCTAAGAGGGACTACTGTTGTATCATAGTACACAGCTGTCTCTGCCTGGCTGTCCTAGTAAATATGCAGCATTTGGGGGCATCCACACTACTGGAACAGTAGCCATGAGAAGAGTCCATTGTGCCAGCTTAATTGCACCCAACTGTACAATGAGAACATGGGGATCAGTGTGTTCTGCTACTTCTCTGCTTAGCATTCCTGATATACCTGCTTTACATAGGCACCATGTGGCACCGTGGTGTGTGCCTGTGCCACTTTGAATCACATTTGGGTATCTATTGGAAGGCTTCTTCGGGACTGTTGTGACACCAACTACACTATGGACTGATCCCTGTCAGAAGGTAACAAAGGGGCAAGGGACAGCATTTCCAGTCTAAGCCCTGGAATGTGCGTGGCATCAAACTGTTTTGCATTTGTGAGCAGGAATACAACTGCTGGACAACAGATATTCCATCAGCCAACAGAAACTGTGACTGGCTTTAAAGAAAATGGGCTTCCCTTGGTCTTGGGAACACAAGACTCAGCAGTATAGAAACAGAAATGGTTGCAGGTGGAGGAAGCACTTTCGCCGGAGTCAGGAAAGCATGAATAACACAAAATCTTCAGCTTTTCCTCCCTTCTCTCTCCTGAGCTTTCTGCACCTCTGCTGTAGCAGTGATGGCAGCAGTGTGGAGAACACAGCCTCAGGGAACAACCAAGGTCCAGGATCACTAGCAAAGGTTATGAGAAACTATGACTTCCTTTAGAAAAAAAAAAAAGGGAAATGAGAGTGCCCAAGGTCTTAGGAGAGGGCTGGTGCAGGCCTGGGGCGTAGTAAATTCTTTAGCTTGTCTAGATTCACCATGCCAAGTGGGGAGGTTGCTTGGGTCAGACTATATTAAAGGACAGCATCTCCACCCTCCCCTAGAGGTCTCAGAATGTCCACTGACTGTGGCTTTAGTGGTCCTTGAACAGAAATTTGGTAACATGAAGAGTAGCAGATGCTGGCATGGTAAGATTACAAATGTGTATCAGAAGAATTATTTTGTGGGTAACAGAAAAAACAACATATAAAGAAACAAGTTAATACCATGAGAATGTCATTAGCCAAACTCAGAATGTGGATCATTCTACAGGACAAGTAACCTGGCTTTTTTGGGGAAACAGAAGCATAGGAGAGCCAGGGTGACACCATTTTAAAGTCAACTCCATCTTTCAACTAGCAAGGCATATTCCTTGCCAGTCACAACCCATGGTCATAAGAGGTTTACAGCTGATTAAACAACTTAATAATGCCTGCAAGAACAAACGCCTATGACAGACAACAGAATGTCCACATGTCCTGACGTCACATTATAATATATGCTTTTAAGATTATTATAGTCATGCTTTGATATACTAACTAAAATGCCAAGGATAACTTTCTTTAAATCAATAGGTCCTAAATTTTGTCATGCTGTCAGAGCACCCACACATAGACATTTAACTTAGCTTTTATGTAGATTAAACCCCTACATTAGAAGAGTTTACAACAAAGATGGTGCATTCTTCCTTTTGCTTTCTGAGGACACCTACTCTGTATCTGAGTAACTTTCAATAAACTATCTCCTTCTCACTGCACTCTGTGACTCACCTTTAATTCCTTCCTGTGCAAGATCCAAGAATACTCTTTTGGGGTCGGGATCGGGACCTGTTTTTCTGGTAACAGTTTCTCCAACAAATCAAAGCCTTGAGAAAAAAAAAATAGGTAGGGTGGGTGGTATGGTATAGAAGAACAGAGAATAATGAGACATAAGAAGCAATTGCAATGTGTGGACCTTCTCTAGCTTCTGTTTCAGACAGACCAATTGAAAAAGACAAGACAGATATTTGAATATGCATTGAGTGTTTAGCAAAATTAGAGAACTGTTGTTAATTTTGTTAGTGTGAGAATAGCATGGCTTTATGTTTTTTAAAAACCCTATTCTGTGAAAGATGCATGCTGAACTATTTAACTGTGAAATTGTATGTAAAGGATTTGCTTTTACAATCCTCCAGAGATGAGTTTATAATGATATAAATGATGTGATAAATAAATCAATGGAGGAGAGGAGGCAAAATCTCTCCTGCAGAAGAACTCCAAATAAGGTAGGTAGATACTTTGTCCTTAAAGGAACAGCATTAACTCCCTCTTCTGGAAGTGTGAATTCTTGATATCATGTAATGAAAATGGTACCTCACTTGTGGCTTTCCTCCCCCCGAATCCATAACCTCTACTTATTATGAAAAAAAAAAAAAAAACAAAAAAAAAACACCGAATTCCAATAGAGGAACATTCTATAAAATACCTAACTAGTATTCCTCAATAACGTCTAGGTCATCAAAAACAAGGAAAATCTGAGGAATTGTCACAGCCAAGAGGAGCCTAAGGAGGCATGACAACCCCATGTAATAGGGTATCTTGAATGGGACCTTGGAGTAGAAAAATATTATTAGGTAAAACTCAAGGACACCTGAGTAATGTATGACTTTTGGTTAAAAATAATGCATCAATATTGGTTCAATAATTGTAAGAAATGAACCATACTAATGTTAGATGTTAATAACAGGAGAAACAACTTCTCAATTTTCCTGTAGTTAAAACTGTTCTAGAACTGAAGTCTATTTTTTAAAATTCTCCTGGAAAAAAGTGGAAACATATGAAATATGATGGACAAATGTTAGTAATTATTGAATGTGATGATGGATAATGAGAATTCATTATATAATTCTGTTTTTGTGTATTTGAAGTTTTCTATAATGGAAAGTTTGAGGCTGGGCACAGTGGCTCAAACCTATAATCCCAGCACTTTGGGAGGCCAAGAGTTCAAGACCAGCCTGGGCAATGTAGTGAGACCCCATCTCTACCAAAAAACAGAAGAATTAGCCAGGTGTGGTGGGCTTGCACCTGTAGTCCTAGCTACTCAGGAGGCTGAGGTGAGAGGATCACTTGAGCCCAGAAGGCCAAGGCTGCAGTGAGCCATGATGTCATTGTACTCCAGTCTAGGTGACAGAGAGAAACCTTGTCTCCAAAAATAAAAAATAAAAAAAGTTTGAACAAGAAATAAAGAAATATGGAGATAAGGATAAGAAGAAGCTATTTAAAGCACTAGAGTAGCTGCTTTTTTAAATTATGGTTAAAAAAATATATAATAAAATTTACCATTTTGCCATTTTTAAGTGTATAGTTCTATGACATTAAGTATATTCATGCTGTGTAACCATCACCACCCTCCATCTCCAGAACTTTTTCATCTTCCCAAACTAAATGCTAGGTCTATTAAGCAACATCTCCTCACTCTCTCCTCCTCCCCAGCCCCTGATAACCTCCATTCTACATTCTGTCTATGAATCTTACTAAACTAGGTGAATCATGTAAGTGGATTCATACAATATTTTTCCTTTTCAGTCTGATTTATTTAATCTAGCTTCATGTCTTCAAGGTTCATACATAATACAGGAAAATAATTTCCTTCCTTCTTCTGAAAAATATTCCACTGTATGGATCTACCATACTTTGTTCATCCATCGATGGATGTATACTCTGTTGCTTCTACCTTTTGGCAGTTGTGAATAATGTTGTTATAAACATGATGTACAAATATCTGCTTGGTCTCTGCTTTAACTTCTTTTGGGTCTGTACCCAGAAGAGGAATTGCTGGATCATATGTCAATTCTATGTTTAATTTTTTGAAGAACAAAAAGTGGCCGCTTCTACAAAACAGAAATTTTCAGATTAGGAGATGTGGGACAGGGAAAAATTCCTGTCTCTGAAAAGTTAAGAGTTTTCACTATAAGCTTTGTAGAACCATTTTTAAATAATATATGATAAAAATGAAGTAAAGTATGCAATAAAACTCATCTTGTGCTAAGTACTGGAGATACATGGAGGGAGCCCTCAGTCCTCTGGGGGAAGAACCTGGTTATAGAACAGTGTGATCACAGGTGCAACACAGAGAAGACTCCAGGGGCAAGCACAGAAAATAGCCATCAAGGGAGATTCTTTGCACGCCATGCAGAAGTGCCCTACAGGAGGTGACGTGGGAGTGAAGGAGGAAAATATGACATTCTGAGTTGGAGAATTGGAAGATTAAACTTGGAATGATGTCAGCACTGAGATTCTGGGATCATATTGTACAACTGGCCCCATCTCAGCACTAACACTGTGAAATCTTACCTTTCTTATGTCTTCAAATTGTGGCCCTATATTTAGCTTCTATATCTTTCTTTGACTAAATCTCAAAACTAAAATTGGTCCTGATTCCAGGGGAGGTGTTTCTCTGACTCCTCTCTTTTGAATCTCATAGCCTGACATTTTCTCTTCATCTTGAAGACCATATTCAGGAGGGACCCTAGGAACTCTGTATCTCAGCATGTGAGGCTTCAGGCCAAGGGGTGCTAATTTGATTCTGAAAGATCTTATCTGCCTCCAGCGCCATAAGGTCCTGATGAAATGTCCAGCATCTTTGTGGAAATTCAAGTGTCTCCATACAGCATTATATGTCTTGGAGATTATGTATATGAAAAGCTTTACAGATAGGTGTGTCTCAGTGATGCTGTGCAGAGTAACCTGTGGCCTAAGTCAAGTCAGAAAATGCTTTTGACTCTATATTTCTCAAAAATGTAAGTCTTAAAATTTGGCTATGGATGGGAAAATATTACATAATTGAAAGGATAAATATAAGTATGCCAATCAGCCAAAAACACTGCAAATGTTTAATGCAGATTTAAGTTTTCCCTCAAAAACTGTTAATAAATTAATAGTGCAGCTTACAAATGATGAAAAGAGCTGAGACGTTTAAAAAAACTTTCCAAGTGTCAGGTCCTGGTACTTTACATTTATTCTACCTCCTAATCCTTATACTAGGTCAAAGCTCATTTTATGTCTTCAAGATTCAGATGTAACACTAGGAATGAGAAAGGTTAATATAAGTGATGTGTCCAGGACTATACTTCTAGTAATTATAGCTCACTGATGGAGAGAACATTAAAATCTGTTTGGCCTTCACTTAAAAACAAATAATATTTGTGTTATAGAAGCAAGACCTTTTTAGTCACAAGTTAATAATTTTAAAGAAAAGATTCAACATGTAAATTTATCTGGAAAGGCCAGGGGTGAGGCTGCCTAGAGACATGATTAGATTCGGAGATACATTTGTCATCAGATCTCTCTGTACTTCTAAAGAAGATAGCCAATATCAGCTTATCAGCTCCAACTCCTCTCATATTATTCTACCTTAACAGCTTCAGCAGAAAAATAGACATCTTTCTCACAATGTTCATAAATAAAGAACCAGAGAAGATGACCTTTGGACCAATACCTGTTGTTATGGAGATGTGGTACAGTGTGGGAAACTCTGATTGGTCACGGCTGGGTCATGTTATTTCCTCATCCCCTGGTCCATTATATTATTTCTTAAGTTATTTAAAGTCATGGCTACTATTTTTATTTATTTTAATTGACATAATTATACATATTGATATAGTACAGTGTGATATTTTGATACATGTATACAATGTGTAATAAGCAAATAAGGGTATTTAGCCTATGCATCACATCAAACGTTTACCATTTCTTTGTGATGGAAACATTCAAAATCATATCAAAAAGATAATCCACCACAATCAAGTGGGTTTCATACCAGGGAAGAAGGGATGGTTGAACACACTCAAGTCAATAAATGTGACACACCACATAAACAGAATTAAAAACAAAAATCACATGATCATCTCAATAGATGCAAAAAAAACATTCAACAAAATCTGGCATCCTTTATGATTAAAGCTCTCAGCAAAATCGGCATACAAGGAACATACCTCAATGTAATCAAAGCCATCTATGAGAAACCCACAGCCAACATAATACTGAGTGGGGAAAAGCTGAAAGCATTCCCTCTGAGAACTGGAACAAGACAATGATGCCCACTCTCACCACTTCTCTTCAACACAGTCCTGAAAGTCCTAGCCAGAGCAGTCAGACAAGGGAAAGAAATAAAGGTCATCCAAATCGGTAAAGAGGAAGCCAAACTGTCACTGTTTGCTGATATGATTGTATACCTAGGAAACTCTAAAGACTCCTCCAAAAAGCTCCTAAAACTGATACAAAAATTCTGCAATATTTCTGGATACAAAATTAATGTACACAAATCAGTAGCTCTCCTATACTCCAACAGTGACCAGGCTGAGAATCAAATCAAGAACTCAATCCCTTTTACGACAGCTGTAAAAAAAAAAAAAAAAAAAACAAACTTAGAAATATACCTAGCCTAAGGAGGTGAAAGACCTCTACAAGGAAAACTACAAAACTCTGCTGAAAGAAATCACAGATGACACAAGCAAATGGAAACACATCCCATGCTCACGGATGGGTAGAATCAATATTGTGAAAATTACCATACTACCAAAAGAAATCTATAAATTCAATGCAATTCTCATCAAAATACCACGAACATTCTTCACAGAACTAGAAAAAAAATCTTAAAATTCATATAAAACCCAAAAAAAGCCTGCATAGCAAAAGCGAGACTAAGCAAAAAGAACAAATCTTGAGGCATCACATTACCTGATTTCAAACTATACTATAAGGCCAAAGTCACCAAAACAGCATGGTACTGGTATGAAAATGGGCCCATAGACCAATGGAACAAAATAGAGAACCCAGAAATGAACCCAAATACTTACAGCCAATTGTTCTTCGACAAAGCAAACAAAAACATAAAGTGGGGAAAGGACACCTTATTGAACAAATGGTGCTGGGATAATTGGCTAGCCACATGTAGGAGAATGAAACTGGATCCTCAACTCTCACCTTATACAAAAATCAACCAAGATGGATCAAGCACTTAAAACTAAGACCTGAAACTATACAAATTCTAGAAGATAATATTGAAAAAAACCTCCTAGACATTGGCTTAGGCAAGGATTTCATGACCAAGAACCCAAAAGCAAAATGCAACAAAAACAAAGATAAATAGCTGGGACCCAATGAAACTAAAGAGTGTTTGCACGGCAAAAGAACAGTCAGCAGAGTAAACAGACAACCCACAGAGTGGGAGAAAATCTTCACAATCTATGCATCTGACAAAGGACTAATATCCAGAATCTACAACAAACTCATACAAATTAGCAAGAAAAAGAACAAACAATCTCATCAAAAAGTGGGCTAAGGACATGAGTAGACAATTCTCAAAAGAAGATATACAGCTGGCCAACAAACATATGAAAAAATGCTCAACATCACTAATGATCAGGGAAACGTAAATCAAAACGCCAATGTGATACCACCTTATATCTGCAAGAATGGCCATAATCAAAAAATCAAAAAATAATAGATGTTGGCATGGATGTGGTGAACAGGGAACACTTCTTTTTTTTTTTTTTTTTTTTTTTTTTTGAGACGGAGTCTGGCTCTGTAGCCCAGACTGGAGTGCAGTGGCGCAATCTCGGCTCACTGCAAGCTCCGCCTCCCAGGTTCACACCATTCTCCTGCCTCAGCCTCCCGAGTAGCTGGGACTACAGGCGTCACTGTGTTAGCCAGGATGGTCTCGATCTCCTGACCTCGTGATCCACCCTCCTCGGCCTCCCAAAGTGCTGGGATTACAGGCTGGAGCCACCGTGCCTGGCCTGAACAGAGAACACTTCTACACTGCTGATAGGAATGTAAACTAGTACAACCACTATGGAAAACAAGGTGGAGATTTTTTTAGAGAACTAAAAGTTGAACTACCATTTGATCCAGCAATCCCACAATCCCACAATGGGTATCTGCCCAGAGGAAAATAAGTCATTATATGAAAAAGATACTTGCACACACGTTTATAGCAGCACAATTCACAATTGCAAAAATGTGGAACCAACCCAAATGCCCATCAATCAATGAGTGGATAAAGAAACTACTCAGCCACAAAAAGGAATGAATTAATGGCATTCACAGCAACCTGGATGCGATTGAAGATTATTATTCCAAGTGAAGTAACTCAGGAATGGAAAACCAAACATCGTATGTTCTCACTCTTAAGTGGGAGCAAAACTATGAGGATACAAAGGCATAAGAATGACACAATGGACTCTGGGGACTCGGGGAAAGGGAGGGAAGAAGGTGAGGGACAAAAAGCTACAATTTGGGTGCAGTGTGTACTGCGTGGGTGATGGGTGCACATTTGCTCCTTTTAAAATGATACTATTATTATTTTGCTGTTGTTTGAGTTTCTTGTAAATTCTAGCTATTAATCCCTTATCAGATGAATACTTTGCAAATACTTTCATTCTCTAAGTTGCTGTTTTATCTCTGTTGATTGTTTTCATTGCTGTACAGGAAATTTTTAGTTTGATGTAGTCCCATTCATACATTTTTGCTTCTCTTGCCTGTGCTTTCAAGGTCTTAATCACAAAATCTTTCCTGCGTCCAACACTCTAAAGTGTTTTCTGTATGTTTTCTCCCAGTAGGTTCATAGTTTTGGGTCTTGCATTTAAGTCCTTAACTCATTTTCAGTTGATTTTTGTGAATGGTGAGAGATAGCAGTCTAGTTTCATACTTCCTAATATGGATATCCAGTTTCCCCAGCATCATTTATTGAAGAAACTGCCCTTTCCTCAGTATATGTTCTTGGTGATTTTGTTAAAAATAAATTGAGTGGCTGGGCACGGTGGCTCACGCCTGTAATCCCAGCACTTTGGGAGGCTGAGGCAGACGGATCACGAGGTCAGGAGTTTGAGACCAGCCTGACCAACATGGTGAAACCCCGTCTCTACTAAAATACAAAAATTAGCCAGGCGTGATGGCACACGACTGTCATTCCAGGCTGAGGCAGGAGAATCGCCTGAACTCAGTAGGTGGAGGTTGCAGTGAGCCGAGATCGTACCACTGCACTCCAGCCTGGGTGACAGAGCGAGACTCCGTCTCAAATAAAAAAAAAAGAAAAAAGAAATTAACTGTAAATATATGGATTTATTTCGGGGTTCTCTATTCTGTCTCATTGGTTTATGTGTCCGTTTTTATGCCAATACCTTGCTTGCCATTTTGGTTACTATAGCTGTATATTTTGAAGTCAGGTACTGTGATACTTCCAGCTTTGTTCTTTTTGCTCAAGATTGTTTTAGCTATTCAGGGTCTTTTGTGGTTCCATACAAATTTTAAGATTTCTTTTTCTATTTCTATAAAGAATGACATTGGTATTTTGATAGGTATTGCATTGAATCTGTAGATTGGTTTGGGTAGTATGGTCACTTTAACAATATTAATTCTCCCAATCCATGATAATGGAATATCTTTCAATTTTTTGTGTCCTTTTCTATTTGTTTCATTAGTATTTTATAGTTTTCATTACATACTTGGTTAAATTTATTCCCATGCTTTTTTATAGTTACTGTGAATGAGATTTCTTTCTTGATTTTTCATCATTTTGAGTTTGCCTCTATGGCCTTTATTGTGTTTAGGTACATTCCATCTATACCTAATTGGTTGGAAGTTTTTATCATGAAGTGATATTGAATTTTATCAAATGCTTTTTCTGCAGCTATAGAGATGATAATATTAGTTTTGTCTTTCATTCCACTAATATGCTCTATCATGTTTATTGATTTGTATGGAAAGTCTACAGTTTTTTTATGTTGATTTTATATTCTGTAAATTTACTAAATTTGTTTATCAGTTCTGAGAGTTTTTTGATGGAGTCTTTAGGTTTGTGTATAAATAAGATTATGTCATCTGCAAACAGCAACAATTTGACTTCCTCTTTTCCAATTTGGATGCCTTTTATTTCCTTCTCTTGCCTAATTGCTCTGGGTCGGACCAGTACTATGTGTTTTTGTTGTTGTCATTGCTGTAATCTTTTAAAATTTTCTATCCATTTCCATAGGAATCAGTCTAGTACTATGTTAAATTTGGTAAAAGCAGGCATCCTTATCTTGTTCCAATTCTTAGAGGGAAATCTTTCAACTTTTTTTCCATTATGTATGTTGTCAACTATCGAATTGTCATATGCAGCCTTTATTGTATTTAGGTACATTTCATCTATACCTAGTTGGTTGAGAGTTTTTAATCATGAAGTGATGTTGAATTTTACCAAATGCTTTTTCTGCATCTAGAGATGATCATTTTATTTTTGTCCTTCATTCTGTTGATATGATCTATCACGTTTATTGATTTGCAGATATGTAACCATTCTTGCATCCCTGGAACAAATCCCATTTGATCATGGCATATAATCTTTTTGATGTGTTGTGGATTTAGTTTGCTACTATTTTGTTAATTTTTGCATCTGTGTTTATCAGCGTGTAGTTTTTTTGTTGTTGTATCCTTCCCTGGTTTTGATAACAAGGTAATGCTTGCTTCCTAGAATAAATTTGAAAGAACTCCTTCCCCCTTCAATTTTTTGGAATAGTTTCAGATGAATTGGTGTCAGTCTCTCTTTAAATGTTTGGTGGAACTGAACAATGAAGGCATCCAGTACTGGGCTTTTCTTTGTTGGGAGACTTTTTATTCCTGATTCAAGCTCATTACTCATTATTGGTATGCTCAGGTTTTTAATTTCTTCTTGGTTCATTCTTGGTATATTTTATGTGTCCAGGTTAAACTTCAGTTGCCTTTATAATCTAATGAGAGCTATGGACCAAAATTTTGGGTAAAGCACTTTCCGTGGCAGTTAGATTTTTTAAAAAAACTTCTTTCATTGCCCCCACCTTTTTTGTTGTTGTTGTTTCAAGTGAGTTATGGGTTTCTTTTTAACTGAATTGTATAAGCAAAATATCTCCAAGTAGCCTTGAATTAGTAACAAATCAATCTTTTGTTTACCAGTCTTGTTTGCTTAATTAGCAAATGTGGGGAGGGAAGAATTTTAGCTGTTTTTTTTTCTTCACCTTTTTCTTTTTGGCTTTTGCATGGCACAAAAAACAAAATTTTTCTGTTGAACAGGGATACCTTCTATTATTGCTCTGAGATCAAGATTTTGACCTATTTGGTCTGAGAGCCTAACTTTTATAAACATTTATTTTTTTTTTCTTTTATGTTACTAATTTTTCAATTAAGTGTTTCATTATTGTACACAGTTGTTAGGGAAACCTAAATTTATATTTATAAAAGGTGTCAGCCAGGTGCGGTGGTTCACGCCTGTAATCCCAGCACTTTGGGAGGCCGAGGCAGGCAGATCACAAGGTCAGGAGATTGAGACCATCCTGGCTAACACGGTGAAACCCCGTCTCTATCAAAAATACAAAAAATTAGCCGGGTGTGGTGGCGGGCACCTGTAGTCCCAGCTACTCAGGAAGCTGAGGCAGGAGAATGGCGTGAACCCGGGAGGCGGCGCTTGCAGTGAGCCCAGATCAGGCCACTGTACTCTAGCCTGGGGGACAGAGTGAGACCCCATCTCAAAAAAAAAAAAAAAAAGGTGTCTAGGTGGTTGATTACCATGGAGCTATTGTAATCTGTAAAGCCATTAATTTCAAAGCCTTTAAGGCTGTTTTCTTTCCTTGACTGAAATGCCATAAGCAGTGAGTTTTATCTCAACACCTGTAGAAATGTCATCATGTTCAAAGTAGGCAGAAAAAAAAGAGAGAGAGAGAGAGAACTTCTACATGTTAACTCTATAATTGCTGGTTTTTAAAAATAATGACCATTTCAGTTCTGAATTTTCCTTCATTTTGCCTATCTACTTATAAATGTGCACAAGAAAGTTAACATTGATTTTGAACATTTCAAACCAATTAATACATCATTGTATTTGTGTGACAACAAATTCCATACAGAAGCTCTTACAGCACTACTTTCAGATGAAAGCAAGTCTGGATTCATCGTAATAGATGGTAGTGGTGCACTTTTTGGCACCCTCCAAGGAAACACAAGAGAAGTCCTGCAAAAACTCACTGTGGATCTCCCAAAGAAACACGGTAAAGGTCAGTCAGCCTTGCGTTTTGCCTGTTTAAGAATGGAAAAGTGACCTAACAATGTTCAGAAAGTAGCAGAGACTGCTGTGCAGCTGTTTATTTCTGGGGACAAAGGGAAGGTGGCTGGTCTAGTTTTAGCTGGATCCGCTGACTTTAAAACTGAACTAAGTCAATCTGATACGTTTGATCAGCGGTTACAATCGAAAGTTTTAAAATTAGTTGATAGGCCGGGCGTGGTGGCTCATGCCTGTAATCCCAGCACTTTGGGAGGCCAAGGCGGGCGGATCACGAGGTCAGGAGATCGAGACCATCCTGGCTAACACGGTGAAACTCTGTGTCTACTAAAAATACAAAAACAAAATTAGCTGGGCGTGGTGGCGGGTGCCTGTGGTCCCAGCTACTTGGGAGGCTGAGGCAGGAGAATGGCGTGAACCTGGGAGGCGGAGCTTGCAGCGAGCCCAGATCACACCACTGCACTCCCGCCTGGGCAACACGGCAAGACTCAGTCTCAAAAAAAAGAAATTAGTTGATATATCCTATGGTGGTGAAAATGGATTCAACCAAGCTGTTGGGCTATCTACTGAAGTCCTCTCCAAAGTGAAATTTATTCAAAAGAAGAAATTAGTAGGGATACATTGATGAAATCAGCCAGGACACAGGCAGGTACTGTTTTGGTGTTGAAGATACACTAAAGGCTTTGGAAATGGGAGCTGTAGAAATTCTAATAGCCTATGAAAATCTGAATATAATGAGATATGTTCTTCATTGCCAAGGCACAAAAGAGGAGAAAATTCTCTAACTCCAGAGCAAGAAAAGGATAAATCTCATTTCACAGACAAAGAGACCAGGCAGGAACATGCGCTTATCAAGAGCATGCCCCTGTTGAAATGGTTTGCTAACAACTATAAAAAAGTCGGAGCTACATTGGAAATTGTCACATATAAATCACAAGAAGGGTCTCAGTTTGTGAAAGGATTTGGTAGAATTGGAGGTCTCTTGTGGTACCAAGTGGATTTCCAAAGAATGGAATACCAAGGAGGAGACGATGAATTTTTTTACCTTGATGACTACTAGGTAGTCGACATGGGTCCGGCAAAACATGCCTCACTCTCCAGCATCCAACCCAAGGAGCATACTCATGATGGAATCCAAACAGATCCCTGCCTTACAATTGGAACATTTCCAGAACTTAATCCATGAGCACTGGATATTGAAAAGAAAACAGAAACAAAACCAGACCCAACCCTACACTTTGGTTTGTCACGGTGTCAGCGTAGCAGCCTACAACTAAGTTCCTAAATGCCACTTTGGACTAATTTAAAAAAGAATCCCAGTTTTTACTTTTACTCGATGGTGAAATTGGCTGCTCTTGTATTTTATTTAAAAAATGATTTTTTTAACCTTTATACAAATAAGCAAAAATACTTTAACTGCTGTAAACCTTCAAAAGTTAATAGAAGTGAGATCGTACTGCTTTCTTATTTTGATTGGAGAGAAATTAAATTGCTACATTTTGCAGTGACCCATTTACATGGCATTCTCAGCTTAGACTGCATAAGAAGAAATATATGTGGTGAAATGTTGGAACCATTTCTCTCTTGGTCTCTGTTTAATGATGAAAGAGTGAGCTAATAGGAGGCAATTTCAACTTCACTCCCTCACGCTACCCCTTCCCCCTCCAGACTGGCCGTTTCAAGGATGAAAATTGCATTGCAAAATCAAACTGACTCATGAAGCATTTGGGCCAGTGCACTGTTTACTTCCATCTGTTTGCAGACACATTTGTGCCCGGTGTTTGGGAGCTCTTTGTATCAATGTTCCGACAAGGGTCCCAATAACCTTAACCTACTCGAAACCAGTTTGGGATGGATATGATGGGGCTTCTGTGCTATTGCTGGGATTGGGAGAAATAAAACATGCAATTTAAGTGGAAGCAAAACAATTAAAAATAAAATAAATAAATCCATTGCCTGATTCCATGTCTCCCTCCAATTACCGCCCCATTTCTCTGACACTCCTTATAGAATAATTCCTTAGTCAATTGTCTCATGATGTTTTTAATACATCAAATGGATTTATGGACAGTGTTTCAAAAGCCAAATACTTCTACAAGGCTTGTTATGAACACAGATGTCCCCAATCTTTCATGTACACCATTTCCTGAATCCTAGAGGCAATCTACTTTATTCTGCCTAATTTTTTGATCGTTACATCTGTGCCTCCAAATAGTGTGTTATAGTGCCGTTTTGTTTTTCACTCTTATGTATCATCCTTAGTGTATAGCTCCCTTTCATATACCCCTCTCCTCTCAATATAGTTATTTTATAATTTTGGTTAGCTGGGTGTTCACTATTTATATTATTATGACCACAGAAATGCTATTCACAGCTAGACTAGGAAATGCTATTCACAATTAGATTAGGAAATGCTGTTCACAATTAGATTAGGAAATGCTATTCACAAGGATTATTTTCCTTCCTGGAATTGACTTTTTAATTTCCCTGGAATTAATAAATGTTTTATCCCTTCATGTGCTTAATTTCTGTTGTACTCATTATAAAATCTCTTCCAAATTTCCCTCCAAGGCCTCTGCTATAGTTTGAATGTGTTCCCCAAAGTTCATGTGTTGGAAACTTGATCCCCAATGCAGTGATATTGGAAAGTAAGGCCTAATAGAAGCTGTCTGAGTCATGAGCGCAGAGCCCTCATGAACAAATTAATATCATTATTATGGGAGTGAGCCCATAATAATAATATTGTCCTCTCTCTTGCCCTTGACCCACTTGCCATGTGAAGACACAGCAAGAAGGCTCTTGCCAAATGCTGGTGGCTTGATCTTGGATTCCTAGCCTCACAACTGAGAAAACAAATTTCTGTTCTTCATAACTGACCCAGACTATGGCATTCTGTTATAGCAGCATAAATGAACTAAGACAGTCTCCATGAATATATTCAACCATGCCCCGTGTTCTACCAACCTCATCTTTGTGAAGACACTTCCCTTGGTCCTGCCACACGTGGACTGGTGCATGCACATCTGGGCTGATTTCCAAGATCGTCTTCACCTCATCCTGGGCATCCCTCTGCCTCTCTCTTATGCTGGCTCTCCTATTGCCTGGATCCCATGTGTCCCCTTTTTTGGTTTTCTCCATCATTTTTGTTTCTCATTTCATCTGTGTTCCTAAGGGAACATGGAAAGTAAAATCTGAAAGCCTAAGCTTCTGAAAATGTCTTCGGGCTACCCTAGCACTTATTCCAACCTGGACTTGGTATGGAATTCTGTATTGAAAACATTTTTCCTAGGAATTTCCATGACATTCCATCAACATTTTTTAGCTTCTAATGTTGTTTTTCTTGCCTTTTGATGTTTTTGGGATTTCTTCTTTTCCACCCACCTTCTAAAATTTCATTGTGATGTGTCTTGGTGTGGGTCTGTTTTCATCTACTATAGTAAGAACTTGGTTGGGGCCATTACAAGTTAAATTTTTGTCTGTAAACTTGGAGAAATTTTTTTATTTTAAATAATTTCTATCTTTCCATTCTTTTAGAATTTGTATTATTAAGTTGCAGGAAATCCTTGACTGATAGCCTAGTATTCGTATAGTTTTTCTGTCTTTCTTGACATTGTTTTTCCATTTTTAATATTTAGTGGTAGTACAAATTTACTCTTCCAAGTGATCTATTGAAATACTTATTTAAATGATCACTTTTTGATTTCCAAGAGTGCTTTTTGGTTCTCTGATTGTATATAATTTTATAAAATCCTATTCATCATTTATAAATGCCATATCTTATTATTTCTTTTAGGTATTATTGAGAATAGTGGTAGTGGACCTGTTAGATCTCCTGGTTATCTGCTTTCATGGTACCATGAACTTTTCTTCACCACACTTAGCTCAGCAGTAATTTTATATTTCTCTTTGTAAGTTCTGCTAAATGTGCATCTCCTTCATGACAGTGCAAACATCAAATTGCCAGCATCTTACTTTTGCTCTTCACTGTATCTTCAGGGTCTAGTAGATCACATGATTCATCAGAGGACTTGAAATACATGCTGAATGAGGAAATATAAGTGTGGTTAGGCAGGGAAATCAGACTTCCTTGATCAATTGCCCCTTGATGTTCTCCTGAGCACTGTATCTCATGACCTCCTGTCATAGAACATTCAGGGACATTGAAAGAGTTCACTGGCATGGGATACAGCGTCATATCCACCACCAGATGGACAGGGAATCAGTGAAAGATGATTCCATTAAGAGAAAATTCCCTGGGTCCACTCCACCCCCACCACCTGCTTAACCTCTCTGAGTCTCCCTTTCCCTGTCTATACAAAGATATCACATATCGGGCTTCTCATGGGTTTGCATTGAAGATCAAATTTGACTCTCTCAGTAAAACACATGGTATTATACCTTGAGGTATATTAAGTGTTCTGCTACTCATAGCTACTATCCCTATATTGATTACAGCATTTGGATTCTTTCAATCATTTTGCTTTTATAAACCAAAATTCAAGAAACATCCTTGAACATATATTTTTTAGAATGTGTGCAGTTATCTTCTTAGGAAAAATTCTTGAAAGAGAAATATATGCATTGAAATGTAAGTCCATTTATATTGTTAACATGTTTCGCAAAAGTCCCCTCTAGAAATTTATACCCCAGTGTTTTTTGTTGTTGTTTTGTTTTGTTTTGTTTTTGAGACAGAGTCTTGCTCTGTTTCCCAGGCTGGAGTGCGGTGGCACGATCTCGGCTCACTGTAAGCTCCGCCTCCTGGGTTCACACCATTCTCCTGCCTCAGCCTCCCAAGTAGCTGGGACTACAGGCGCCTGCCACCACGCCCAGCTAATTTTTTTTTAATATTTTTAGTAGAGACGGGTTTCACCGTGTTAGCCAGGATGGTCTTGATCTCCTGACCTCGTGATCCACCTGCCTCGGCCTCCCAAAGTATACCCGTTTTTCATCAGCCTTCATGACAGTGTATTTTCCCTACCTCTGGATAATATGCTTATCATTTACTTTCACATATGCCAAACTGACAGATTTTAATTTTCATTCGCATTTCTAATGTCATGTTCTCATTTTTCCTCATATTCATTAATCAGAGTATATTGTCTGATATTTGATTTATTCTTTCCCATATTGCTTTCTAATATTATTATTTTTCTATTGGGATGACTTAAAAATGTTGAATTTGACTAAGAAAAAAAGCAGCTCTTGACTTCTGACACTGACAGTAGGTTTCAGTACTGTTAGAAGCTGTCCTACTGCTCAACACTAGGCCATATTATTCTTTTCTTGGACATAAACCATATTACACAACATCAGACAAGGACACTCTGGGAACATGATAAAACAAGACAAAACAGGGGCACTACATAATTTAGTATAAGCACAGACAAAAACCAAGGCACTGTGTACCTCACAAAATACCAAACCTCTCCCCCTGCTGGCTAATATGAGTGACGGCTGTTTCTTTACCAGCCACAACTTTATCCTTGCTCTGCTCTGCATTTATTATGGGTAAGATTTATTGAGACAGTCGTAGAAATGTTCCTGCTTTTTGACAACACCCCATCTACAGTCAACCCCTACCTCGTTAGCTCTCCCCAAAAACATCCACTAAAAGACCAAATCCTATATTGCATTTTTTCTAATATCCTCACGCTAAGATGGTGTGCATTCTCTCTTGTGACAATGAGTAATAAACCCCAGTTGTTCAGCTATAGATGTTCCTGGTGGTCTTTGGCTGAAAGACATTGAAATATGCTACCTTTTGTCTTTCCAATTATTTATGTGTCTTTGAATTTGATCACAGGCATATGTTTGTATATTTGTGAGTCTGTGGTTGACATAGAGAAGTTTTATTTTTTTATTTATGGCTTTTCATATTTGGGTCATGCTTACAGAATCCTTTTCTACCTCACAATTGTAAAACTTAACATCTATTTTCATCTAGGTACAGATGATATGAAGAGAGGGAAGTCCCAGAGTGAAGAGAAACACACAGATATGTTTGATTTGGGGAGAAAGCTGGGGGGAATGAGCAAGAAGCAAAGAGTTCTAAGGTGGAGTTTTAACATTTAAAACCTGGTCAGGTGTGGTGGCTCACGCCTGTAATCCTAGCACTTTTGGAGGGCAAGGTAGGCAGATCACTCGAGGTCAGGAGTTCAAGACCAGCCTGGCCAACATGGTGTATTCACCAAAAAATACAAAAACTAGCCAGGTGTGGTGGTGTGTGCCTGTAGGCCCAGCTACTTGGGAGGCTGAGGTGGAAGAATCACCTGAACCTGGGAGGCGGAGGTTGCAGTGAGCCATGATTGCCCAACTGCAATCCAGCCTGGGTGGCAGAATAAGACTCTATCTCAAAAATGAAAAAGTTTAAATCATTTGCTTATAATTTTAAAATATGTCTACAAAGCCTATAAGATATTTTATATGGCAACTTCAATAAATACTTTCTCTTGGGCTAAGTAATGACTTATATACCTCCTTGTGTTCACCAGGTTATAGAAAACAGTAACACCAAGAGTCTCAATGAAATATTGACAAGGATTAGCTCTGGTGATAAGCATTTTTGAAAATGTATGACCTTGAGTTGATAAATCATGTTTTGGTAATCTATACGTACACTCTAATTGTTAAAATACATATTGAACTTTCTTGGGCCTGCTGTATTTTAGGGATATGTCTAAGACCCACATAGCCAAATCCATGGGTTCTATGTGAAGGTAATTTTAATGTATTTCAATCTGGGAGTCACAAGGTATCTTTTTTTGTGGGGGAGATTGAAAACTAAGAGCACTCTAGATAAGCACTATCAAAAATGGTAACTACTAGCTACACATGGCTATTTATATTTCAATTAATTGAATAAAACTTTTAAAAAATCAACTCTTTATCACACTAGCCACATTCCAAGTGCTCAATAACCACATGTAACTAGTGGCTCCCATATTGGACAGTGCAGATATAGATCAATTTCATCATCACAGAATGTTCTATTGAACAGCACTACTGCTATAGAGATTTTTATGCTCCTCCCAAAATAAAACCTAATCCCCAGTGAGATGATATTTGGAAGTGGGTTTGTTTTAGAGGAAGTGATTATGTCATGAGGTCAGAACTCCCATGAATTGAACTTGTACCCTTATAAAAGAGATTCTAGAAAGCTGTCTTGGCCCTTCTGCCATGGGAGGATGCAGTGAGAGGACAGCTATGAAGAAGCAGGCCCTCACCAGACACAGAGTTAGCTGACACCTTGATATTGGACCTCCCAGCCTCCAGCACTGTGAGAAATATCTTTCTTTTGTTTATAAGCCACCTAATCTAGGGTATTTTTGTTATAGCAGCCTGATGGATTAAGATAACTGCTCTTGGTGCTATGTGGGCCTCAAGTCAAGTGCATTAGACACATCTAAAATGAAAGGGTGACTGGTTGTGGTGACTTACGCCTGTAATCCCAGCACTTTGGGAGGCCAAAGCAGGAGGATCGCTTGAGCTCAGAAGTTTGAAACCAGCCTGGGGAACATAGCAAGATCCCACCTCTACAAAATATTTTTTAAAATTAGCTCTACAAAATATATAATTTTTAAAATTAGCTGGACATGCTGGCAAGTGCCTGTAGTTCCAACAGCTTAAGAGTCTGAGGTGGGAGGATGGCTTGAGCCCCCCGAGAGTTCGCCACTACAGTGAGCCATTATCATGCCACTGCACTCTAGCTTGGGTGACACTGTGAGACCCCATCTTGGAAAAAACAGAAATGAAAGGGCCAATATTATTTCTCATAGAGACTGCAAATTCAAAGTGGGTCAGGAGTGAAATCTCTATTTTGTGCTTTTAGGCGCAAACCATTCCCAGCTCCAAAATGGAAACACATTTGCCACCTCTGTTCCCAGACTAAGGACACTCTCTGCATCCAATTTACAGGTGATAGGTTCTCTTCTATAAGAGCCCAGGGCAAGGCAAACTTAGCGCTAGCTAAGTTTTGGGATGCAGGGAGTCCTGCTCGGGGAGAAAAATTTGGGAAAATGAAGAGGCAAAGGGGCCAGTCAAGAACTCTCCACAGCTTACCCAGAACAGGATTTCTCAAAGTGCAATCTGTGGAACCCTTGTGGGCTGCTGAAACCCCTTCATAGATCCACAAGGTTAAAAGTATTTTTATAATACAATGAAGACATTATTTGTACTAAAGTAAAACTTGACAAGAAGGGAGGCTATGGTACCAAACTGAAATAGTAGTTATTATATTCTTAACCACTTCTTAATTATAGAAGAAAAAACAGGTTTCACTTAAATATGTCCTGGTTGAAGTATCAAAGAATTATTAACTTTATTAAATCTCTATCCCAGAATCCACAGTTTAATATATCTTAAATGAGTAAGTGGGAAGTACGCATAAGGTATTTCTACTACATTCCAAATTAGGATGTTTGAGGCCAGGCGCAGTGGCTCCCACCTGCAATTAATTCTAGCACTGTGGGAGGCCTAGGCAGGTGGATCATTTGAGGTCAGGAGTTCAAGACCAGCTTGGCCAACATGGTGAAACCCTGTCTCTACTAAAAATACAAAATTAGCCAGGCATGGTGGTGCGCACCTGTAGTCCCAGCTACTAGGGAAACTGAGTCACAACAATCACTTGAACCCGGGAGGTGGAGGTTTCAGTGAGCCAAAATCATGCCACTGCACTCCAGCCTGGGTAACAGAGCGAGACCCTGTCTTAAAACGAAAACAAAAACAAATTAAAATGTTTGTGTCCACAAAATCATTTTGTGAGTTGTACTAGTCTATTTTTTATGGAATATCCTTTTTACTTGAAAGAATGAATGACAGAAATGATTATCATTTAGACTTGAATATTTGGCTGACACTTTCTCAAAAACGAACATAACCCTGTCCCTTCCACATAATCAACTGATGGTATTATTCCCAATGATAAAAGGCAAGCTCTCAAGAGAAAATTAGAATCCTGGGGAACTTGTATCCACCATCATAAGCCTGATGGCTTCCCAATACTTAACAATCTTTTCTGGTAATATCTGTGGTAATATTAAAAAATGTGATTTTTTGATAACTTGTAGTTAAATGTGTCAACACTGGAAGACATAATGTGGTGAAATTGTGTTTCTTTTTTTAAAAGTCATGTATTATACAAGAAGCATTCAATGTGGAAGTCGGACCTATATATTTTAATGTAACAGCATGTGAAATAGTTATTGATAGTTTCATGTTCCACATTACAAATAACCTTTAAGAAGCTAACACTTCTATCATTTTAGTGTAGTATCAAGGATGAATATCCAGTTTTCTAAAAATGTTATTAAAAACATTCCTGGCCTAGCGAGGTGACTTATACCTGTAATCCCAGCATTTTGGGAGGCCAAGGCAGGAGAATCATTTGAGCCTAGGAGTTCCACCCAGGAGTTCGAATGAGACCCCCATCTCTACAAAAAATAAACAAAATTAGCTGCGGTGGTGTTTCGTGCCTGTGGTCACAGCTGCTCATGAGGCTGAATTGGGAGGATCACTTGAGCCCAGGAATTCGAGGCTGCCGTGTGCTATGATCACACCACTACACTCAAGCCTGGGTGATAGCATGAGACCAAAAGAAACAAACAAACAAACAAAACCCCCCAACAAAACCCAAAACAAGAACAGCAACAAAAATATCATTGTGTGAGGATGGATTTTTTTTCATACACTTCAACCAAACATAACAGATTAACCAAAATAACAGATTAAATGAAGGAGAAGAAAATTCATTAATCTTCTAATGAGACACATAAGAAAAGGATTTACAAACATACAAAATGTAAAAAGATGCACTCTTCTCACTATACTGTTTACTTTGGGAAATACTGACTTTGCATAAAAATATTTCTAACATGCAATGCATTATTAATATTCTAAATGAATAAAATAATTTAAGTGATTTTAGTTTCTAATATGGTAAATATTAACGTATATAACTCACATAAAATTATCTTCAGAGTCCTCACTAATTCCTAAGAGCATGCAGAGATCCTGAAACCAAAACGTTTGAGAAACGATGACGTAACTCCTAGCTCTGGATTAAGGGAGAATGTGTGACAAAGAGCATTTGGTATAGGAGGAGAAGGGCCAGGCCTTATCCTGTCTCTAGGACTGTGGCAAGGGCTTTGTGTGACCAGGTCAGCCTAGGCTCAGGCTTAGGTCTGGCCCTCAGCCCCCATCTTGTTCATTGTTTTGTTTTGACAGAAGACTATGCCTGTTCTTCTTCTTGTATCTGAGTTCTGGTCTCCAAGTCTCCAATCTCCTCTAGGACAGCCGTAGGAGTTACTTTTTCTGTCATTGTCCTCACAAGCCCTGGGGTGGCCCCTGCACACAGGAGTCTCTGTGGTATCAAGAGACCAATTTTTAGACCCACCCAGCTCTTGTCCTTCCAGGGCTGTTTCCTGGACTATTCTTCGCATCTTTTCCCCAATCTTTTTCAGGAAATCAAATTCTGGAATTAGAGATCATATCTCGGTTTCTCACCTTAGATAAACTCCTGTTAGGTTTCTAACAGGAATTTATTTTTGGCTCACCTACCCTCTCTCCCTGCCTTTGGCTGTAATAATCCTAGTGCTGGCTCAAATCCAAACTCATGGATGTCTAGACTCTAATTTAATTCACAGTTGGTTGGAAAATAGGGTCCATAAGCCTAGGATCATTTTTTTTTTTCTGAAAAGGGAACTATAATTGTCTGCTGTGGTATATGAGGATTGGTGTGGGAGGGAGGCGAGAACAGCATTTGTGAGAAAAGTACAGGCAGCATTGATGTCAACATGAGTGGTTGTTTCACTGTAGCTGCCACAAAACAGCATGTGGTCTGCAGCTACATTAATAAAGATACTGTTTCTAGAATAGGGAGGTGCTGTACACTGGTCATTCATTTAGCCAATATTTGTTGAGTGCTGGCTGTATGAAATGCTAGTTTTACATCTGGAAACTAAAAACAGGCAAAAATTGCTGGCCTTGAGGGGCACATGTTTTAGTGGGAAAACACAGACTATGTACTATAAGCAGAGTAAATAAGGAAAGTGTTTCTGTCAAAAGGTGCTGAGGGGTGTGAGGCAGGTGATCCAGATTGTGGGTGTGTGGGGACAGGGAAGATGGCTGTTTTACTAGGGTGGTCTATGGTCTCACTGGGAATGTGACCTTAAGAGAAAAGATGAATTATCTATGAGGACGTCTGGGGCAGGTTCTTTCCAGGCAGGGGAACCCCCAGTGCAAAGGCACTAGAACAGGAGCACATCTGGGTTGTGGGAGGAGTTGAGGGGGCTCAGATAGCTGCAGCAGTCATTGATATAAGGTCAGAGATTTGGGGAGATCATGTAGGCTTGAGGATACTGGAAGGGTTCTGACTTTGCTCTGAGTGAGATGGGGGAGACACAAACAGCTGTCAGCAGAGTAGAGACTTGGCACATCTTTTAAAAGGATCATCCTGGCTGCTATGCTGAGAACAGAATTGAGAGATGAGGGGTGAGTGAGAAAGTGGGAAAACTGTAGGAAACTAGTGCAGTATTTCAGATTAGCAACTCTGGTTGCTTTGCCTGGGGTGTGAGCAGAGAAAAGAGTGGGAAGTGATTGGATTTCAGACACATTCTCAATATGGACTTCACAGTACTTCCTAATAGATTAAGTCTGGGGTATGAAAAAGAGGAGTCAAAGAGGAACCCCAAAATTTCAGACTGTGCAAGTAGAAAAATGAAGTTGTTGTCAGCACAGATGGGGAAAATTCTGAAAGGGGCATATTTGAGGAGGGGGCACTATAGGCATTCAATTTAGGAAATGTTGAATCTCAGATGTCAGACATTCAAGTGAGGTTGTTGTGTTGGCAGATGGATATGCAAGTTGGAAATGTAGGAGAAATGTCTGGGCTGGGAAAATAGATTTAGGAGTTAATGCCATATTAATGATATTTAAAGCATAGAGCATGCATGAGTCGCCAAGGGAAAGATGGCTATAGAAGAGAAAAAGGACATGGACTGAACCCTGGACCTTCAGTGCTAAGGGATTTCATCAGAACACACTCTGACAGCAGACTGCACAGTTCTAACACCACATCTAGAAAGTAAGTAAATCTGAGAATCTCAAATTTTAGTGTGCGTAGGAATCACCTGGACAACTTTCTAAGATTCAGGTGGTCTGGAGTTGAGAATGAGATTCTGTGTTTATAAAAAAGTTGAGGCAGACACTGATGGTCTTCAGATCACACTTTTAGTAGCAAGAATGTAGACCAGGATTCCCAGGTGGCTGTGCATCAGCCTCACCTGTGGCTTGTTATTCCTGGGATCCATGTTCCACTTCTGAGATGGTGGGTATGGGGAAAGGCCTGAGTATTTTTGTAAAAAATCTACAAGGAATCCTGGTGATCAGCCAGATTGGGAACCACTGAGGTCAGTGATCAACAGTGCCTAGGGTGGGAAAGGGTCTTAAGTCCACATTTAAATGCTATTTTTTCTAATTTAAACATAAAGGACTTCTATCTGTCTATCTATCTATCATCTATCTTCATTAGGCTGGTGTTTATTTTATTTTGGGAAGGTCTGTGAGAATAGGCTTAAAGCTACATAGCTAGAAGCAGCATCTATAATCCCATCCTAGGTGGAGTCTCACATAGGAATCACTGCCCCTGATGCTGGGCACAGATGTCACTGTTCATACCAATGACACTCTAAAGCTAGACACTGGACCTTGCAGATAGAACTGCTATCACGACTGCTCCTGGCAACTGGACATTGCTGCTGCAACTCACACCACACTTACTAAAATGTGTGCACAGTACCAGCTTATGTCACCAGGCTGAGTCAGAATCCAGCAAGTGGTTATCTGCCTGGTGGAACCTAAGCCTCATCCCATATCCAGCTGCCAGAATATTTGGAAAAGTGAGTTTTTCTTTCGTGGAAGAAGTTGGTGTCTGCTTCCTACAATGACTCTTTAAGTATGAAATTCTTTAAGTATGAAATCATACTCTTTAAGTATGAAATTCTCCCTAACATGGAGAGGGTTCAGGTGCTGGGACACAGGAAGATAGAGTGGAAAAAGAATGAAAAAAAAAGTCAATTCCTAGAGCAGTAATCTGAGACTAGAACCTTATCTGGTATATCATAGACACTTGGGTTTTGCTGAATGAATCAGTGACTAATTAATTACAACTTTCAATTTATTTCCTTGATAGTCTGTTATGAAGTACAACTTTTTCCTGATCAGTTTATACTCAGATAAGTAGAGTGGCACTGTGGGATGGTGAAATGATTGCTCAAAACTTATCTCTTGTTAGGATTTTTTAAAATCTAGATGTCTAAGACTTCAGAGGACCTGTGTATACACTAAGATTTTATACTAATATTTATATTTCTTTGTATATGCACATATTTTCTGGAAAGAATATCTGTGACATTTATGTTTTTGTAACCCTATTTTAGGAAACCCTCTCTCAAACCACATTTTCCCTCTGCTCTCATACCACAACAATCATCAACACAGAAGACTTCTGTGACCAAAGATGTGGAGGTTTTTCCCCACACACCAAGCAGTGGACACCAGCTGGGTATCCTCCAGTTCAATGTCAACACTGTCTACCTGGAGATAGCATCATATCCCACAGATTGGGGGCTTAGTCCCCAAGACTACTCCACATCAGACACCAATCGCAGAAGTTCCCACCACCCACTCTGGGCTTCACTAATTTGCTGGAGTAGCTCACAGAATTCAGGGAAACATTTATGTTTACTAGTTTATTATAAAGGATATTACAAAGGATACAGATGAAAATACGTGTAGGGTGAGGTATCAGGGAAGGAGCATGGAGCTTCCATGCCCTTCCTGGGCACACCAACCTCCAAAAACCTCCACTTGTTCAGCTACCTGGAAGCTCCCTGAACCCAGTTCTCCTGGGTTTTTATGGAAGCTTCGTGACACCAGCATTCCTTCTCCCAATGTATAGTGTGGGACCCTCTCCAGAGAGGGTCTTAAGACCCATAATCAGAAAGGCAGAAGATTAGAGTCCTGCCTTGGGGCAGGTGAAATGAGGCCAGAAGAGAGATTCTGATTCCTGAGGCCTGCCGAGGCCGAACACACCCAATATTATTACAAAAGACCGAAACAAGGGAATATAGGAGCTAGGAACCAGGAACTGTGGCCAAAAACCAATCTATAACACCACACACCCCCACTGTCTTAGTCCACTCAGGCTGCTATAACAGAATACCTTAGACTGGGTGGCTTATAAACAACATAAAAGTATTTCTCACAGTTATGGAGGCTGGTAAGTCCAAGAGCAAGGTGTTGGTTAATTTCATGTCTGATGAAGGCCCCTTTCCTGTTTCATAAACGTATATCTTCTCCAAGTGGCCTCACATGGCAGAAAGGTGAAGAGAACTGCCTGGGGTCTTTCTGATAAAGGCAGTGATCCCATTCATGGGGGCTCTGCATTCATAACCTAATCACCTCCAAAAGGCCCCACCTCTAAGTATCATCACACTGGGGATTAAGTTTTAAACATAGGAATTTGGGTGGGGGATTGGAGACACAAACATTCAGTCTAGAGCATCCATAAAAGTCTAAAAAATTATCCTAGGTTTGTCACCATGCTACTCAAACTCTGATCTATGAATAGCTGATATCAAACCATTTCTTCACAAACTCTCCCAAAAAGGAGAAAGGAACACTGCCCAACATATTCTATAAGGTATGTTCTATAAGGCTGGTACCAAAAGCAGACAAAACAATCACAAAAAAACTACAGATCGCTATTCATGAATATAGATGTGAAAATCTTCAAGAAAATACTAGCAAACAACCCAGCAATGTACAAAAATAATTATACACCATGACAAAGTGAGATTTATCCTAGGAATGCAAGATGGGTTTAATATCCAAAAATCAATTAATGTAATATATCAATAGAATAAAAACCCACAATTATCTCAATAGATGCAGAAAAAGGTTTTGATCAAATTCGATACTCTTTCATAATAGAAACAGTCAACAGGTGGGCACATTGGCATGTGTCTATAGTCCCAGCTACTCAAGGAGACTGAGGAAAGAGAATCACTTGAGGCCAGAAGTTCGAGGGCATCTTGGGCGATGTGTTGAGACCATGTTACTTTAAAAAAAAAAGAGTCAACAAACTGGGAATTGAAAGGAACTTTCTCAGCCGGATAAAGGGCATCTATAAAAAAGCTACAGCTAACATCATACTCGTATTAGTCCATTTATGCATTGCTTTAAAGAAATACATGAAACTGGATAATTTATAAAGAAAAGAGGTTTAATTGGCTAAAGGTTCTGCAGGCTATACAGGTTTCTGCTCCTGGGGAGGCCTCAGGAAACACAATAATGGTGGAAGGTGAATGGGAAGTTAGTACATCTTACATGGCTGAAGCAGGAAGAAGAGAGAAGGGGGAGGTGGCACACATGTTTAAAAAGCCAAATCTCACTACAAAATCTCAATGAAAATTCACTATCATGAGAACAGCAAGGGGGAAGTCCACCCCCATGACCCAATCACCTCCCACCACACCCTTCCTCCAACACTGGGGACTACAGTTTGACATAAGATTTGGGCGGGTACACAAATCCAAACCACATCAATATTTAATGGTGAAAGACTGGTTGCTTTCCTCCTAAGATCAGCAATTAAAACAAGAATATCCACTCCCACTATGTCTATTCAACATTACCAAAGGTTCTAGCTAAGATAATTAGACAAGAAAAAAGCAATAAAGTATATTCAGATTGGAAAGAAAGAAGTAAAACTATATTCACAGATGACATGATCTTTTATATAAAAAAATGCTAAATGATCCATTAAAGAGCTATTAGAACTACTAACTTCAGCAAGGATAAAGGATATAACACCAGTATACAAAAATCAATTGTATTTCTAAACCCTTGCAATGACAAATCCAGAAATGAAATTAAGAAAACAATTCCATTTGTAATAGCTTTAAAGGAACAAAATACTTAGAAGCAAATTTAACAAAAGAAGTGCAACTCAAACATCAATGAAAGAAATTAAAAATCTAAATAAATGGGGTAAAGTTCATGGATTAGATTTAATATAACTCAATGATTATATTTCCAAACTGATAGATTCAGCACAATCCCTATCAGATTCCTAAATGACTTCTTCGTAGAAATTTGCAAACTAATTGTAAATTTATAAAGAAATTAAAGGGACGCAGACTACGCAAACAATCTTGAAAAAAAGAACAAAGGGCCAGGCACAGTGGCTCATGCCTGTAATCAATCGCAGCACTTTGGGAGGCCGAGGCAGGAGGATTGCTTGAGGCCAGAAGTTCAAGACCAGCCTGGGCAACACAGCAAGATCCTGTCTCTACAAAAAATAAAAATTAGCGGGGCATGGTGGTACACACCTGTCATCCCAGCTACTTGGGAGGCTGAGGCAGGGGGATTGCTTTAGCCTAGAAGGTTGAGGCTGCAGTGAGCCATGATTATGCCACTGCACTACAGTGTGGGTTACAGGGTAAGAAACTGTCTCTAAAAAATAAAAAGAAGGAAGAAAAGAACAAAGTAGAACTCATTCTTTCCAGTTTCAAAACATCGCATAAAGTAATGGTAATCAAGACAGTGTGGTACTTGCATAAGATAGACATAGATCAATAGAATAGAACTGAAATTCAGAAATAAAACCATGTGTCTACTGTCAACTGATTTTCAGCAAGGGTGCTGAGCACATTCAACGGGGGAAAGCACAGTCTTTTCAACAAATGGTACTGGGGAAACTTGATAGCCACATACAAAATGATGGAGTGGACCTTATGGTGGTTGAAGTGTGTACTCCGAAAGGTTTGTCTAAGACCTGACCACCAGTACCTGTGAACGTGAACTTATTTAGAAATGGTGTCTTTGTATATGAAATTAAGTTCAGGTTCCCAAGAAAAGATCATCCTGGATTTAGGGTGGGACCTAAATCTAGTGACTGGTGTCTTAATAAAAGAGAAGGAGATATGACATAAACAGAGAAGAGACACAGGCAAGAATGCCATGTGAAGATGAAGGCAAAGATTTCAGTGATGTATCTCCAAGCCAATGGAGCAACAACTACCAACAGCTACCAGAAGTTAGGAAAGAATCATGGAATGAACTTTCCCCCAGAGCCTCCAGAAGAAACTAATCCTGCCAACACCTGGATTTCAAACTTCTGGCCTCCAGAACTGTGACAGAATACATGTTTGCTGTTTTAAGCCATCAAATCTTGGCAATGTGTTACACAAGGTCTAAGAAACTAATACAGGCCTTTACTTCACACTATATACAAAAATAAGCTCAAAATGGAAGAAAGATCTAAATGTTAGTGGTGAAATTACAAAATTCTTGGAGGAAAACCTAGGTGATAAATCTTTATGAACTGGCCGGGTGCGGTGGCTCATGCCTGTAATCCCAGCACTTTGGGAGGCCGAGGCAGGTGGATCACAAGGTCAGGAGTTTGAGACCAGCCTGACCAACATGGTGAAACTCCGTCTCTACTAAAAATATAAAAATTAGCCGGGTGTGGTGGTGCACACCTATAATCCCAGCTACTCAGAAGGCTGAGGCAGGAGAATGGCTTGAACCCAGGAGGCAGAGGTTGCAGTGAGCCGAGATCACACCACTCCACTCCAGCCTGGGCAACAGAGTGAGACTCCGTCTCAAATATATATATATATATATATATTTATGAACTCAGGTTGGACAATGGATTCTTAGATATTATGCCAAAGCACAAACAAAAGATATTAGATAATATTGAGAAAAATTAGATGTCATCAAAATTAAAATGTTTATGCTTCAAAGGACACTATCAAGAAAGTGATCCACAATATATACATATATCAAAACATCACATTGTACCCCATATGTGTATTATTTACTAATTAACAGTAAACATTTAGATCAAAAAATTAAAATAGTTTTAAAAATTAAGAATTTTTTTAAAAGTGAAAAAAACCCACAGGAAAGGAGAAAAGATTTGCAAATCATACATTTAACAAGAGATGTTTCTAGAATATATAACAATCTCCTACAACTTGATTGCAAAACACACATAATCCCAATTTTAAAATGAGCAAAGGAGTCCGAGCGCAGTGGCTCACGCCTGTAATCTCAGCACTTTGGGAGGCTGAAGTGGGTGGATCACTTGAGGTCAGGAGTTCGAGATCAGCCTCACCAACATGGTAAAACCCTGCCTCCACTAAAAATACAAAAATTAGCTGGGTGTGGTGGCACACACCTGTAGTCCCAGCTACTTGGGAGGCTGGGACACAAGAATCGCTTGAACCCAAGAGACGGAGGTTGCAGTAAGCCAAGATCGCACCACTCCACTCCAGCCTGGATGACAGAGCAAGACTCCGTCTCTAAATAAATAAATAAAAATAGAATGAGCAAAAGATATGAACAGTCATTTCCCTAAAGAAGATATACAAATAGCCAATAAGTTCATAAAAAAGATGATCGACATTATTAGGGAAATGCAATTTAAAACCACAGTGAAGGCTGGGCATGGTGGCTCACACCTGTAATTCCAGCACTTTGGGAGGCCAAGGTGGGTGGATCGGAAGGTCAGGAGTTCCAGACCAGCCTGGCCAACATGGTGAAACCCCATCTCTACTAAAAATAGAAAAAATTAGCTGGGCATGGTGGCAGGTACCTGTAATCCCAGCTACTTGGGAGGCTGAGGCAGGAGAATTGCTTGAACCTGGGAGGCAGAGGTTGCAGTGAGCCGAGACCACACCACTGCACTCCAGCCTGGGCAACAGAGCGAGACTCTGTCTAAAACACACACACGCACGCGCGCACACACACACACACACACACACGAGATACCACTTCCCAGCCAAAGAATGGCTAGAATCAAAACATCAGATAATAAGTATTGTTAAGGATATGCAGGAATGAGAACCCTCAGACACTGCTGGCAGGAATGTGTAATTATGTAGTCACTTTGGAAGGAGTCAGGCTGTGGCTCAACTGATTAAAAATGAAGATACCATACGACTCACCCATTCTTAGGTATATGTCCAAGAGAAATAAAAATGTGTCACACAAAAATTTGTAAATGAACATTCATAGATGCATTATTTGTATTAGCCAAAAGACAGAAACAATCCAGATGTCTATAAACCGATAAATAAACAAATGTGATACATCTATGGAATACAGTATTATTTGGCCATAAAAAGCAATGAAATACTGATACATGCTATAATATAAATGACACTTGGAAACATTAAGTGAAAGAAACTAGTCACAAAAGACCATATATGATTATATTTACATATGAATTTTCCAAAATAGGCAAATCCATACAGGTAGGACATAGATTAACTCTTGCTTAGGGTTTGGGGTGATGGGGAAGGGGGAATAAGAGAGTAATAGCTATAGGGCATGGGGTTTCTTTTTCAGGCGATGATAATATTCTAAAATTGAATGCAGTGATGGTTGCACATATTTGGGAATATACTTTAAAACTTTGATTGCAAACATACTTTATTTTTTTCCAGATTTATTGAAGTATAATTGACAAATAAAAATTGTACAGTGTGACTTTTTATTTGTACATAATATTTGCACATATTTATGGGGTACATGTGATATTTTGATACACACATAGTATCTAATAATGAAGTTAGGGTACATAGGATATCCGTCACCTCAAGCATTTATTTCTCTGTGTTGGGAACATTACAAGTCTTCTAGCTATTTTGAAATACACAATATATTGTTGTTAATTATAGTCACCCTACTGTGCTATCAAACACTAGAACTTATTCCTTCTATCTGACTGTACGTTCGTACCCATTAACCTACCTCTCTTCATCACCCCCCTCACACACCCACAAACACACACACACACACACACACACACACACACACCCTTCCCAGCCTCTGGATACTATCTTTCTGCTGTTTACCTCGATTAGATCAACCTTTTAAAGCTCGCACATGAGTGAGAACATGCAATATTTGTCTTTCTGTGCCTGGCTTATTTCATTTAATATCAGAACCTCCAGTTCTGTCCATGTTAGTGGAAATGACAAGATTCCATTCTTTTTATAGCTAAATAGTATTCCATTGTGTATATATGCCGTATCTTTTTAATCCATTCATCCATTGATGGACAGTTAGGTTGATTCCCTGTCTTTGCTATTGTAAATAGTACCACAGTAAACATGGGGGTGCCAGTATCCCTTTGATGTATCGATTTCCTTACCTTTGGATAAATACCCAGTGGTGGTATTGCTGGATCACACAGATCTATTTTCAGTTTTCTAAGAAATCTCCATACTGTTTTCCATAGTGGCTGTACTAATTCACCTTCCCACCAACCATGTGTAAGAGTTTGTCTTTATATCCTAGCTACCATTTTTGTCTTTTTAATAATAGCTATTCTAGCTAGGGTAAGATGATATATTATTGTGGTTTGCTTTAAATTTCCCTGATAATTAGTGATGTTGAGCATCTTTTTCACATACATGTTGGCCATTTGTATTTCTTAAGAAATTTCTATTCAGATCCCTTGACCATTTTTAAGGGGATTTTTTTTTTTTTTTTACTGTTGAATTGTGTTCCTTGTACACTCTGGATATTAGTCCCCTGTTGGATAATTTGAAAATATTGTTCCCATCTACAGTTGGTCTCTTCACTCTGTTGTTTTCTTTGCTGTGCAGATTTTTAGTTTAATATAGTCCCACCTGCCTATTTTTTGTTGTTGTTGCCTATGCTTTTGATGTCTTAACCATAAAATCTTTGCCTAGACCAATGTTCTTGAGCATTTCCCCTATATTCTCTTTTAGTAGTTTCATAGTTTCGGATCTATCATTTAAGCCTTTAATCCATTTTTGGTTGATTTTTTAATATGGTAAGAGATATGAGCCTAGCTGCAATCTTCTGCATATGGATATCCAGTTTTCCCAGCACCATTTATTGAAAAGGGTGTCCTTTCTTGGTGCCTTTGTTGAAAGTCAGTTGGCTGTAAGTATATGAAATTATTTCTGGGTTCTCTATTCTTTCCATTGGTCTATGTGTCTGTTTTAGGCCGGTACCATGATGATTTGGTTTCTACTATAACAGTTACAAAGCTATTACTATAGCTTAACTATTGGATGGGGCTCTTTTGTGGTTCCATATGAATTTTTTTTATTTTTGAGATAGGGTCTCACTTTGTCACCCAGGCTGCAACACAGTGGCGCAATACCAGCTCACTGCAGCCTTAACCTCCTGAGGTTCAAGCGATCCTCCTGCCTCAGCCCCCTAAGTAGCTGGGACTACATGCACAACCCAGCTAATTTTTGTTATTTTTGTAGACATTTCACCAGGAACAAATAGAAAACTTGAACAGACCAACAATGAGTAATAAGACTGAATCAGTAATTAAAAGTGTCTCAATAAAGAAAAGCCCAGGACCAGATGGCTTTCCTGTCAAATTCTACCATACATACAAAGAAAAATTAATACCAATACTTCTCAAAATATTTAAAAAAAACTGAAGAGGAAGGAATTATTCTTAACTCATTTTATGAAGCCTGCATTGCCCTGATACCAAAAGCAGAGAAGAATACAAAAAAAAAGAAAATTACAGGCCAATCTTCCTAGTGAAAATATACACAAAAATCCTGAACAAAATTTTAGCAAACTGAATCCAACAACATATCAAAAATATACCACAATTAATTGGGATTCATCCCAGGGATACAAGAGTGGTTCAACACACACAAATCAACAGACATTAACATTTTTTAATCTTATTTGAAAAGGTGGATAAAACTGAATTTGGAATTGGAAGATTTGTTTTGGGTCCCCACTCTGCCATTTCCAAACTCAGTACTCTATCAGAACTAAGTCACAGGGTGCTTGAGGGCTCAGAAGCTTTTGTCCAGCAGACAAGAAGGAACTGTTATTACACAGCCTTTGACCCTCTAGGGACTCCAGCAACCTCGTACTGAAAGGAGACTCCTTGTCTCCTTCTCTGGGGACCCTTTTGTTCAGAAATAAAACTTTCGTGCTGCAGGTGCCTTGAGGAGATGACATGTGGGTGATCTTTTCTAGAAGGCAGTGGAGTGAAAGTTTTGGGAAAAGTGACAGAAAGAGAAACAAATCCTGTACTGGAAGCTCACTGAAAACCAACTAAGTAAACAAATATTTTAGTACCTCAACTGAAATATAAGCATAAACAGAGGTTGACTATGATTGTACCTGGACAAGATGAGTAAAAAGCTAAAGTGGTCTGTTATCAGCTATTTATGTATTTTGGGCCTGTCTCCAGCAGTTAACAAATGTCCTTTCTTTCAACAAATATCTATTAAGAGGCTAACATGTGCCAGACTCTACAGAACAGGCTTACAGGCATAATGCCACAAAGGAACAGAAATCTAACAGGCTTCAAGATCAGGCCTGTCAAATAAATGTACCACAATTTATATATCATACATATATCTAGTACACAGTCACCAGAACATAAGATTAAACATGTTAATGTTTATCTAAGTATCATTTTTAAAAGAAAAATAAAACAAAAACTGGAAACAACTAAATGACATCAACAGAATATATAATTAAGTTGTGGCATATTCATGTCATGGAAATGAACTACAGTGTCACACATCAACATGGATGAATCCAAAAATAATAATGAGCAAAAGTAGTCAGTCATATACAGTATAATTCTATTTATATAAAGGCTATAAATAAGCAACTGTTAGGGATACACAGACAGTAAAATCTATAAAAGCTAGGTGACAGTTATACAAAATTCAGGATAGTGGTTGCCTCTGGCTGCAGGGGAGAGAGATATGAATGAGAGCATACGAGGCTCCTGGGATGTAGTAATGTTCCATTTCTCAGTCTGAGCAACAGGCACCTGGACATTTATTATTGTTCTTCTAAATATACATTTTCATTTGTGTATTGTATATTCTATTTCACATTAAAAAGAAAAAAGACCAAAAAAAAAACATTAAGTGTGACTCAAGATTTAAGCAGACACAGTGCAAAGAAATGAAAAGGTGGATATAATTTGAGGTAGATGATGGATGCAGGTTTGGACAAACTGAGTTCCTGAAACATAGACTTTTATTCTTAGCCGTATTAGGTGTGAAATTGCCCTGAGAGCACCAGTTGCTTTTATGCTAGATTTGGAGGGGAAAGAGGGCAGTTGAACTCAGCAATTTATGTGTCCAGCACTGAAAACCTTCATGGTAAACAATTACTAATAGGTTATATGTTAGGTTACTTTTCAGTCCCACTCAGCTCAAAGGGCTTGTCATTACCCTACTGATTTGCACTTCTAAGTCTTCTGCCTGTTGCATTCTGATGATCCATTTCTATGCAAAACATAGAATCTAAAGCTGAGACATAGCAATAGAGGACCAGAGAACAGACACAGCAACGAAGTTTCCATGAGGCAAATCAGGAGGGTAGGAATGAGATTTTGATGTGCATCCTGGCCAAATTCCAGAACTAGCAAAGAGAGGTCAGTTCCTAATTCCAATCAAAGCAAATTCAGTCATCTTATTTTCACACAGAAGTGGTCTACATTGATTTTTAAATCTCTTTAAGGGATTAGGGAGCCTCTGAAATGCAAAGGAAACTAAACTGATAGTAATGTAAAATGAACAGTGACCTATCATACCAGCAAACACTGTCAAAAACAGAAAGCTAATGGTGGGACTGGAATCTAGAACACAGAAGTTATGTTTATCCAGTGCTACACTGTGCAACAGGGTAGTCACTTGCCACATGTGGCAATTTAAATTTAAATGAAATTCAATTAAACATTCCATTCCACAGCTGCACCAGCCACATTTTAAATGCCTCAACAGCCACGTGTAGCAAGGGCTACTGTACTGAGGAGCACAGACACAGAACATTTGTATCAGTGGCTGACCTAGCAGTATCCAGGGTAAAGGGTGTTCTGCTAGTAAAGCAAGGTGGGCATCAGAATTATCACAACTTAAGCATAATATTCCTGAGGGCATCTATTTCCATTTATTTGCTTCTCTGCTTACCAACTCTGAACCCCTGCTTTCCCAACTTTCTGGTATCTGGGAAGAAAATAAACTGACTAGAAAACACAAATTTCATTCTGCTTGACAACTGTAATTCTCACTAAATTTATAAATTTGCTTTCTGATTTATCAATGAGTGCCAAAAACATGAGTTTGAGAAAGGCTGAGTTTGATTATCCCTGAGTGGATCCAAGCATTAGGAAGGTCTTGCTTAAGTGGGTGATAGGAAGTGACAAAAAAAGCTGGAAGAAACATGACAGACTATAATACTCCCTTCCCTAACCTTCCTCCTTTTCACCCTGCTCACCTGGGCCAGGTTAGAATCCGTCCTTTGTAAAGCACCCTGTACCTTTCTATTGTAACCTTTATTTACTACATTATCTGTTTATAGAGTGATCTATGCCATTAGTTGAAAATTATTCAAGGGCAGAGACTTCTCTTTATTCACCTTCAGTAACTAACATAATGCCTAGCATGTAGGAGGCTCTCAAAATTAAGTTTCTCATTCAAATAAATTGTACAGAGCAAGTTACACTTTTAGGGGCTGGCTAGTAGTTATCTGATGAAGGTATGATATTAAAGACCATATACTAAACTATAGCAATCTCATCAAAATAACCTTGGAGGGCTGGGAACAGGGAGAATAAGAGAAGTAGATTAGAACAATTCTTTATTCACCACCATTGCCCAACCCCGGTCTTTCCAAGTGGGGAAACTAACATTTATGAAACAACTAATACATACCTACACTTCACAAAAAAAACAGTCCTTCCATAAATGCCATCAAATATTATTGCCATTTTAAAGATGAGGACACTGAACACTAGAAAGGATATGCAACTTGAACAAATGCAAGTCAACTAAAAAAGTTAAGCTAATTTTCAAGTGCAGAACTATCTATCTGTATCTGATACAAATGGGAATATTCACTGAACCCTGGAGAGAACGAGCATTTGAAAAAAAAAAGGGTTCACTTAAGAGATATGATTTTATCATAACAGCATTGAAACTTTAATCTCTTATTTTTCCTATTTGACTTCTTAAAAAGGGTGGCATTGCCAAGAATTTTCTTTGATATGGTTTCACAATTGTATTCACCTTCTCTCCATTCTGAGACTTATCCATAAGAATACTCACTTTAATCCGACTTCTACTGCATGGTTGGAAAAGAAGATACGCAATAACTCTTTCAAACTCCTTTATCTCTTTTACTCTCTCATGCTTCTCATATGTAAGTAGCTGGCTCTGGCTTCTTCTCAAGATTCTCTCCTTGAGTCTTTGTTCTGCAAGTTCTCTCCCTCGAATCATGCGTTCCTGGTGATCCTTAGTCTGCATCTGTTCCCTCTCATTTACCTGCTTTCTTCTCTGTGCGTTCTGGATGCCATGCCCTTCTGGCATAATTTTTGGTAATTTTGTTTCATTGGGGGGTTGTAGTACTTGTCTAAATGGTTTGTTCTTAAATTCTCCAGCCTTTCCTGTTTGATGTATGTGCCTTTCTATGTGTTTCATCTCTCTCTCAGGTACCAAACAGTACTGTTTTAGTCCTTCTACGCTCTGGGTTGTTTTCTCCTCCATTTTTTTCTAGATTTCATTGCCTGTCTCTTCTTTCATCATTTCCACTATTATTTTATTATAATAAGACTCTGCTTTGGCAAGCCAGTAGTCAAGAGAAACAGCTTGCTCCCTACAGAGTATTTCACACTCCTCCTGATATTTCTGCATTATCAACTGTCTTGCTGCTGTTGTATGCACACCACCTAGATTCTGTCAAAGTGAAGTCAGAAATTTATAATGTGATCATCTTTTTCCTTTGAACACATTTAAACAGGAGCCAAGCCCACCCTCCCTAATGACACCAGGAAAAGCTACATGCTCTTTACTTTAGCTTAGTTGTTATTTTATTCCCATCACTCCCAGGTGAGCCTGGGAGCTCTGAAAGTATTAAGTACTCACCACCACAAATCAGTAACTAGGTTTAAAAATGTATGGTGTTGGAAGTTTCCAAAAATGATACTTTGTTTTGCAACTATGGATATAGCTGGGTAACATTTGCCAGTGTAGACATACTACCTGAATGTGTCACTTGGGCAGAAGGATTTTAAACCTAAGATTCCTTCTCTGTGTAGTTCCAAACTGTATGATGTGAAGATAATTTACTTACCAAGATCTTTTTTTCCAGTGGAGACTGCTGACCTGCAGCAATCCTAGGATCTTTAGATGATGTACCCCAGGCCAATCTGGAAGATAAAAAAGGCAAGGTAGATTCAAATGTAGGAGGTGTCAGAACAAATCTGCTAATAGGGAGGACTACAGCAGGGCCATTTCCCCCATGGGAAACCACTGCATTCCTATGGTAGAAAATAATGAATGCTCTTTTAATAAGAGGATCTTTCCTTTCATATGAACAAGCATACTTTTCCTGTGGACTCAGCGTGAACCACTGTGAATCTCGTATTGGGGATTGTGAGTGGGAAGAGACATGCTCCTTGGTGAGGTGTTGTCCAAGTACATCTATGTCAGTCTGCTCAGTCCTCAAGCCTCCTTTGTGTTCTGAGACGATTGTAGGTTCTAGTTTTCTAGACGATTCTAGGTTTCTAGTTTTCTCTTCCTGCAGTTTCTTGATCCGGGCCCTCTCTGACTCTATCAGCACATACAGCATTTCTGCCCTCTAATCTTTTGTTCTGAAATTCTGTTATTTGACTGCTCAGCCCTCTGCTTGCCTGACTAACAATGCCAATCATCCTTCACTCTAAATCCATTATGAGACTATTCCCTGTTGAACCCCTCAGGATGGCAATTTGTGGTTACTCTGGGTTTATTTATAGAGGAGGCTGATGGCAACACAAATGAAAACTATCATCTTTTATGTGTCATCCCTGGTCTAGCCTGAGTTTACTGTGATGTCGTATTTAAGCCACTGAGGATGCCTGGCATTTCCTCTGTATGTCTTTTATACCATTTAGAGTTCAAAGGATGGTCTTTACAGTCTGACAGAGCTAGATCTGAAATCTAATTCTACCACTTCCTAGGTGTGTGACTCAGGGCAAGTAACTTCTGTCAGCTTTCTCATCTATAAAATGGAGATGTAAGACAAAAATCTGCCTCTCAGGGTTATAAAGAACAAATATGAATTAGATGTAAAGAGCTTGGTAAGTTCTCAATAAATTCTATCTATCTGTCCTTCACAGGTCAAGCTCCTGATTATAAAGTCTTTCCAGTCTACTCTGTCAGTGATCTTCCCTTCCTCTAAATACTTGACATATTTTAATTCTACAACTCATTTGAAAATTAATCGTGGTTTACACTGTGATATCTGTATTCACATATCACTTTTAACATTTTGATGCTGAAATTTAGGCTCATAAGGAATGAAAACTGTAATTTATATCTACAAATATGATGCCTCTATATTGTTGGAAAGGATCTGATATCAAATATTTGGTCTCACTGACCTCTTAGGAACATTCTTATTTGTCTACGTAAGCTTATTTTGAGATTGTAAACGTATGATCATCTTACTTTTACTTCTCTGTACATGGCTTCTAGCACAATACTTAACATTAGAGTCTGTGATCCCAAGTTCTCAAAATTAATGATTTGCTGATTGCTGATGATCCTTGACACATATCTGAGCATCTTTTTTAAATATCTGCCATAACATTGTATCTATTTTTATTAAGCCATTTCCCAGTCTTCCTTGAAGTTTACAGATATGTTTGCTTTATATGCATGTTCTGGGCTCTCACATTTTGTACCTACTAGCACAGTTTTATTATATTCTAATTATTCATTCATGTTCCTTGAGGTCAGAGAACACAGATTTCAACTTTGCAGGCTCAGCCTCAGCTCAAAACCTGGCATAGTTGCTCAATAAATCTTTACTGATTAGACTGTGAGCTTTTGTTGGGAAAAGGATATGCCTTTTAATGCTTTGTTCCTTTACTGCAATTCACAGGGGATGTTGGCTGTTTTTCAAATTAAAAACAGAAAACTGAGGAGGGTAGAATTTCAAGTTCCATTTTCAAAGGAGACACACAGATAAGTGAGAATAAAAACTGTCTACGACAATCAGCTCAACAACACGTCTCCCTTTGTAAGACAGAATAACAAGCAATTTCACAGTTAAGTGATAGGGCTTGTCACTCTTCAGCAGTTTGCTGAGTTTTAACCCTTTCACTATGGCGTTCTCTCCATTATTACAGAGAAAGGCAGATGGGAGCCTCTCCCAGCGAAAAGACTACAGCTTGTGTCCTTCATAGGAGAAAACAGTGATGGCTCCAGAACTTTTATATGAATGAACTTAGCACAGCTATCAGAGTGGATGGTGGTGGGAGGGCTAGCAGGAAACTAGTAAACAACTACAAGCTGCCCCTTCAGGGAAAGTTTCTACTTGGAATATAAGTTACAGATTAATGAAAATAGAAAGATTTCCCAAAGATACTTATTCTCATGTTTTATAAAAGATCAGGGAAATGTCAGCTGTCCACTTAACGGATGACATAATGAATTAAGAGTTCGATAGGCGGCAGGCACAACTAAAAGCCAAACTCGACCTAAGTCTTATGAAATCCTACTTAATGAGCTTTCTTGACTACTGCTAGCCTCACTTATCTGGCAGGAGTCGAAGGAGAGGAAGCCCCAAGCTCCTCTGTTCCACCACCTCCAAAGTCCTGAACCCCTTCTCAAGTGTACCACTTCATCCCTGCTTCCTTTCGTCCCGTGGGACTAAGCATTCCTCGGGCCTTCACTCTCACCACTTGCTGTCCCTCAAAAAGCCGACTCACCCCTTTCCAAGCGCAGTGAACCGTCCGCAAAGCACGAGGCCGGTTGCGAGCTGCAGAAAGCCCACGCTCGCCAGCGGGACCCAAGGAACGCTAGAACTATACGTCCCAGAACACTTAGCTTTGTTTTTAACTACGGTGCAGCCGCAAAAGGGAAATACCGGCTCAGGACCCAGGGGAGTTGTAGTTCTCTAATCCAAAGAAATCATTATTTGGCAACGTACGGTTTTCAGGGGGATATACCCCGCGACTGCGTTCCTGTAGGATGTGAGACAAAGAGAATAAATATCCCAGGATTGGGTGCTGGTGGGAAAATTTGCTGGAAGCGCAGCATTGGTTACCAATTTTGTGCTCAACCTCTCAGTACCAGGGTGAAAGTGGAGACGCAATCTCCCTTGGAAGACGTTAGTCTCCATCTCTAACGCTCCCGAGACACGGTTCGCAATTAATTATGACGTCACAGCCAATCGTCAACGCGAAAGCCTGACGCTCTAGCCGGCTCTATCTCGCTGCCCCGCCGCGGGCGCAGAGCTGGCGCTCTAGCCCACGGAGTTGGTTAACTCCTCTCACCGGCCCCTGGAAAGGGTTCCAAGTCCTTTAGTACCCGACGCTGTCTGGGAATTCCGGGCGTTTCGGCTCCTTGGTCGCAGAGGCAGGAGGCGTGCGTGGCAGGAGGGTTCGGGTTATATACTCCTAGGTCCTGGGACAGAATAGTTACGACCTCTGGGACAGGAACTCTTCTCTCTTTTGTTAATAAACTTCCAACTCCCTCCTCAGACCCGACCGCATGTCTGTCATGGACCTCGCCAATACTTGCTCCAGCTTTCAGTCGGACCTGGATTTCTGTTCAGATTGCGGCTCGGTCCTGCCTCTGCCCGGGGCTCAGGATACGGTCACCTGTATTCGCTGTGGCTTCAACATCAACGTTCGGGGTGAGAGGCTTGTACGCAGGGGTCCTGGCGGAGGGCGCAGGGTCGGAAGCTTGGGGAACTCAAGATCGGTTGGGTTGAGGAGGGGATCCTAGAGCAGGACATCAGGCGGTTGTACATTTGGTCTAGCGATGAAAACTGAGGGAAAGGATGTAGGGCCTCCTGGCCTAACCAGCCAGGGGAAAGGGGAGGTTTCCGGTGTCAGCTCTCTCTGGTTGTCTCCATAACCAGTTCTTACTTGCCTGTGCAGACTTTGAGGGGAAGGTTGTGAAGACTTCGGTTGTGTTCCACCAACTGGGGACAGCCATGCCTATGTCGGTGGAGGAAGGGCCTGAGTGCCAGGGACCTGTGGTAAGCTAATGAGATCAAGAACTGGCTCCATAAGGTGGGTAGGAAAGAAATGGAGGAGTGATTGCAAAGCTCTGGAGAGTTTTGTGCCCAATTCCAAGAGGGAAAAGAGATGTAAACCATCGACGTTTGAGAGGCGTGATCGCCTGATTCCTGTGGGAAGTAAGGGGATATGACCAGGCCTCCCTAACCCACCAGTTTCTTCCCAGGTTGACAGGCGCTGCCCTCGATGTGGTCATGAAGGAATGGCATACCACACCAGACAGATGCGTTCAGCCGATGAAGGGCAAACTGTCTTCTACACCTGTACCAACTGCAAGTGGGTATTCTTTCCCCTCCCTCTGCTCAGTCTGTTTGCTAACTAAACAAATCCAGTGATTTATTTTTTTGTACGAAATGGCCGTTTCCCTTGGTCCCATCCCTTATTTCTGTGCAGTTCTGGTAATAGGGAGATTTGTAGTTGTTTTTTATTTTTTTAAGTTACACTTTTTTAAACCTTTTTATAACCAGTGAAATAAACCTTTTAGGATTTTTTTTTTTTTTTTTTTTTTTTGACAGGGTGTCGCTCTGTCACCTAGCCTGGAGTGCAGCGAGGCAATCTTGGCTCACTGCAACCTCCGCCTCCTGGGCTCAGGTAATCCTCCCACCTCAGCCTCCAAAGTAGCTGGGACCACAGACACATGCCACCACGCCTGGCTTTTTTTTTTTTTTTTTTTTTTTTTTGTATTTTTAGTAGAGATGGGGTTTCTCTATGTTTCCCAGGCTGGTCTTGAACTTCTGAGCTCAAGTGATCCACCCACCTCAGCATCCCAAAGTGCTGGGATTACAGGCATGAGCCACCCCGCCTGACCTACTTTTAGGATATTTAAAAGGAAATGAAGAAAAAAAAAAAAAACATAAGAAGCAGGTATTGTTTAGTGGTCAGCATCTTATACTGCAGTCTTCAACCGCAGTCAAGGTAGCTTTCTTTGGAGAGAATTAGTCACACATGACTTAGAGAACATGGGCTTTCTGAATGCTTTTAAGACCTCATTTTTGTCTTTGGTGTTCTGCAGTCACTATAGTATATCAAAATACGATTTTCTTTTATTCTGTTTGGGATTTGTTGGACTTTCTGAAACTGAGAGTGGACTTTTTTTTCATCAACCTTGGAAAATTATCAGCCATCATCTCTTTTAATATTCTCTTTCCCCCATGTTCTCAGTCCTCACATTCTGGACCTCGAATTAGTTACTAGAAAGAGGTTTCTCTCTTCTGTCCTCCATTTCTCTCACCTTCTTTTCATATTTTCAATTGCTGTTCTCTTTATGCCACCTTCTGAGTAATTTCTTCAGGTCCCTCTTCCATGTCACTAATTCTGTCTTCAGTTTATTTCAAGTATTATTATTTTTTACTATTGTTATTATTTTGAGTTCTATTTAATTACTTTTCAAATCTCCTTAATTTTTAAATAATTATCAGTTCTTTAATCATATTTTAAATTGTTCCTTTTATTATTCTTTAAATATATATTTAAAATATTAAATATGGTTATTATATTCTATGTCTTATAATTCTGATATCTGCGGATTTTGTGTGTCTGATGCTGCTGTCTTTTGTTTCTGCTGTCTCTCTCATAGTGCTTTTTTTCTTTGTTTTGTGATTTTTGACTATAAATTCGAGTTTTTTAGAACTTGAACTGTAGGAATTCTTTGAGGCCTTGGGCGAGTGCTGTATTCTCAGCATTTGTGTTTCTTTTCTAGGTGCCTTGAAGCACTATCAAGCTGGAATTACTTTAAATAAATTCTTGGCTTCATGTTTTTTGGAGCAGACAGATAGTATGAATTTGAGCTGCAAATCCATGTAAGGGCTAGCTTACAGTTAGAAATTCTCAGGAGAGAGTTTTCTCTCTTTCTACCTACTGAGACAGTCAAATTCCCCTTCTATAGAGTTGAATTTTTTCTTTTCTTGTTCACTTTTACAAGAAAGGGCAGCCTTTTGCAGTTCCCAAATTTATGCACGGGATCTCCTATCAGACCTTATACATTTTGTCCCTCATTTCCTATGCTTCCAGTGACTGTCAAAACAGTATAAAGGGCACCATAGTGTCACTGTCACGTTTCATAGGGACATTAGTTTTAACTTCCCTGTCTGGATTTCTGGTTTTACAGAACTTTTAACCAGTGTGCAGATTGCCTTTACTTTCTTGCCATCTCATCAAAGGATTAAAAATATTCATAGTCAGATATATCTTTTAAAAGTATTTTTTTCCTATCACTGGTTGTCATTTTACCAAAAAAAAAAAAATTTTTTTTAAATAAAAAGAAGATTTTTTTTCCCAGCGTGTGGCTTGCCTATTTTCTTAACCCTCTTTAAATGAGCAGAAGTTTTAAGTTTTTATAAGGTTCAGCTTATCCTTTTTTTTTTCTTTTACAGCTAGTGCTTTCTGTGTCCTAAGAAATCTTTGCTTTGAGGTTATAACTCATTGGATATATTTTTAATCCCAGAATTTTTAGTTGTCTTGGAATTAGAATTGGAAGTTTGTTTAGGGGAGCCAGTCCTCAATGATGTCATAAATAAAAGTCCTTCCTTGATTATTTGATTGCATATCTTATCTTATACTACTAGAAACTCATCTTTTGGTGAATATAACAAGTCCTTTCTTTCCTCATAGGTTCCAGGAGAAGGAAGACTCTTGACCTTTTTCCTGGGCAACTCTACAGTCCCTCCCTCCTTTCGGAAGGTGAAGGATACTGGGTTTTTAGATGCCTTGTCCATCCTGTCTGGTTGCAATGTTTTGCTCCCAGAAGAGAATCAGATCATCATGTGGGGATTACCATTGTTCCTGGAGTACTCCTACCCTTAGTTGAATTTCCTTATTAAAGTTATATTTTTCTATAAGACCCTGACATATGTATGTTACTTATAATCTGTCTTATTCCAAAAGGAATTTAAATGAGTTTCCAGAGATATATTTATATGAAAAAGAAAAGGGGGAAAAATTAGGACAAAAAAGTAGAGTCAGGAATGAGGCTAATATAAACAAAAAGCAATTGTAAGTATTGCCATACTATTTAAATCTATTTGGTTCCTGAGTTTAGGTTAAGAAAAACTAGGAATTTGGATAGTGAGACATTTAACAGAAATTTTAACCAGATCTCTTTAGCATATAAATTTGGACAACAAAAAATCTGATACTAAGTAATGCCACTAAGTGATCACTATAGGTGAGTATTTTATTAGTATTGAGATAAATACAATACACAGTTGACCCTTGAACAACACAGGTTTGAACTGCTTGAGTCTACATATATGTGGATTTTCTTCTACTTCTGAGACCCATAAGATAGCAGCACATTTAAGCCCTCCTTTTCCTCCTCCTGAGCCTACTCAACATGAAAATGTGATCCACTTCTACTTAATGAATAGTAAATATATTTTCTTTTCCTTATGATTTTCTTAATAATGTTTTCTCTAGCTTACTTGATTGTAAGATTATATGTATTATAAGTATATAATACATATACAAAATATGTGTTAATCAACGGTTTATGTTATTGGTAAGGCATCTGGTCAACAGTAAAGTTTTGGGGGAGTCAAAAGTTATATATGGATTTTTGGCTGTTCAGAGGGTCAGCACCCCTTACCCCCATGTTGTTCAAGGATGAATTGTATATCTATTATAATAGATTCTTATATAGAAAGAAAGAAAAAAGTAAAGTCACAAGGAATCCTACTCCACAGAGATAACCAAATTATACTGTATATCTGTGCTTGTGTATATGTATGTGGCTCTGTATATGTGTGTTGCTATATATGTGTTTGGTTTTTTTAATGGACTAGACATGCTGAACTATATCTTGCTTTTTTCTGTTTGAACTAAAAACTTTCAAGGGGAACAAATGCATACTCAGGTCCCGCATTCCTTGGCTCAAATAGTGATCAAGGGGTTACTGTAATAATTATCATATAATTGTGTGGCCCTTTATATATATTCAGAGCTCTCAAACATAGCTATCTTGTTTGACCCCCACAGCAACCTGGAGAATGGGCAGGGCAGTCTTCCCCACTGTACGTTTGAACTGTTCTGGCAGTTGACTTTCCTGACCCACTCCTGAAATCTGAAACAAACCTGTTCATGTTTCTACCCTACTTTAAGCCTTTCTCTGGCCCATAACAGTGATTGGATTAAGCTTAATTTCTTAGCAAAGCATACAGGTTCTTCCATATAACCACTGCCTACCTGTCAAGCTTCATCTGGCACTCCCTCAGATCCAAGCGGTACAAAACTCCATTTCCTGTAGTGCACACATCTACAACTTTTTAAGCTGCTCTTCTAAAAAAACCTACTTGTCGGCCTTCCTGGTTCTTGTTTTACCACTTTCTTTTGCTCTCTAAGAAACGTGCATATATTTTTATAAAATAGCCTATACTGTAATTTACGACCATTTCTCTGCTTCATCCTACTCATCACCCCAGAGAGAACGAATATGTTGGCAGTATGTAACTACATTCAGATTTACAAATCAGACATGGCATTTGTTAATGCCCCAGTGTTTCATATTTTTGTTAGTTTTCAGCATGCCTGTCTTTCCTACTAGAGCTAAAAGGCAGGGTCTGAGCGTCTTACGCGCCTCCATCTTCAAGGCGTAGCACAGTGACTGAAAAAAACTGACGTTGAACGTGCACTAAACTGAACTGCTCAAACACCTACAGGCACAGGGCGAGGGGTAGAACCACATCGCTTGACTCTTAAGTGTGTTTCCAACTGCTCCCACTTCCCGTTTTCTTTAGAGAAACCCAGACCAAACAAGGAAAGGGAAATAGGCCACGGTAGGGTCATTACTATTGCTCCTTAAGCTTCCTCGCCGGTCCACCTACCCAGACAAGGCAAACGGAAATCTGCAGCAGGACTCAGCTTGGTGCACACAACTCCGCCCTCGCCACACCCACTCTGCAGCGTCTGGCCCGGCAATACCCATCTGGGCGCCCCTCCTGCTTCCTCTAGGCTGTGAGTACGCGTGCTGCCCCAGACTCTCCCTCCTCCACCCACACCCGCAGTGACACCCCTTCCGCCAAATTTGTTTCTCTTTCTTTCAGCGCCTGCGCGCTGTCACGTTACGGCGGAACTAATCCAGCGACGCCTGCGCTTTGACGCATTTGGTGCCGTGGAAGGGGAAAAAGGGGGACTGCAGTATGCGTCACACCCGGAAGCGGCGAGCCGGAAGTGGGGTTAGCCAGGTTATCCCCAGGGGTGGAGAAGCGGAGGCCCAGGAGGAGGGGGAATAAAGAAGGTGGAGGATCCTGGCTACCAATCTGAATCCGATACCGCTTCTCTTAGACCTCAGCGACAGAAAAAGGGAAGGGTGTCTCATCCCCCTTCCTCCTCTCCTCCCTGTCCTGAGCCTTAGCCATGGCCGAGGCAGGGGCTGGGCTGAGCGAGACCGTCACTGAGACAACGGTTACCGTGACAACCGAGCCCGTGAGAAAGGCGGGGGGGCGGTGCTGTTTAGGGGTCTGGGAGATACTGGGAGGGAGGGGACAGGGATTAGAAGAGTTGTTGGAGGAGCTAGGCCTAGGGATATGGGAGGTGTGGGGTTGAATATCTAGGGCTGGGAGAATCGGAAGGTATTGGAGCTATTTGGAGTGGCAGAGATGGTGCAGGAGGCAGGTCAAGGAACTTGTAATAGGGAGGTACAGTTAGGATATAGGTGTTGCTGCTTGGGGTGGTTATGTGTGTAAGTAATAAACGAAAGGGAAATTGAGGATTAAGGAGCCAGGAAGATGTTGGGAGGAAATCAAAGGTAGTGTAAGAAAGCATGGTTGGAGGCCAACTTATCAATATTATCAATATTGATATTCGAATAAATATTTATTGAATGGATGAATGTAAAAGGAAGTGGCAGGAATGAGGAAACAAGAAAAGGAGATGAAAAGAGGTATTTTGAGAAATCAGAGAGCAAAGATGTAAATGGAGAAACAAGAAGTATTTATCCAAAAACATGTTAAGTTGCCTTCAAAGGGAGAAGGTTGCATTGGGCTTAATACTCTTGGATTAAAGGAAGTTTAGTAATTAATAGATTAGTAATACTTGCTACTAGAGATGCCAGGATGCCAGAGAATAGGTGGATAAGAGGTAGGGAGGGCTGGAGCTTGAGAATGAGAGAGGTTTTGTTTGTTTTTTTAAGAGAAAAAGAATAGGGGATCTGGAAAAAGGAAGGGAGATCAAAGATTAGGTGCTGGGGACTGAAAAATAATTTTCATGTATTAATACTACCAAGGATGATTTGGGGAGGAAGACGGAGAAACAGCAAGGATTATATTTTCCTTTGAAGAGTTGCTGGGACCTTTCCTAGGTTAGGAATTGTGTCTTCTCTTATACTGGTGGTATAAGAACAGGAAATAATACTTATTCCTCAAGGGACTATCTGAGGTAAAAGACCTGTTCTGTTTTATCTTCTGTCAGCTCCTCTGGTGCTATGCCTATGGTACTGATTGAGCTAAAGAAGAAAAGAGAGGAGGTTCCCTGGGAGGGAGTGGGAAAGGTTAGTAAGAGGGGACTAGATAGGTATGCTCATCCTTAACCTTCTAGGAGAACCGGAGCCTTACCATCAAACTTCGGAAACGGAAGCCAGAGAAAAAGGTAGAATGGACAAGTGACACTGTGGACAATGAACACATGGGCCGCCGCTCATCCAAATGTGAGTAATTGTTGGCCCGCAGTAGCCCTGGAGTTCTGGCTCCCTTCAGCATATCTTGTATCTACTCATATCCACTGGCTTTCCAGAAGCCCCCAGATGTTCATAGTTCTGTCACTTTTTTGGTGGTGCTGTGGTATCAGGGAAAGAGGTAGGGAAGGGCTAGAACTGGAATTGCCTAGGTCTGACAGCAAGAAGTGTCAGAGGTGGGAGAAGTGGGGCTTTGAATTCGTGGCTCTCTAAGAGGACAAGAGGGGTGGGGCCTGAGTCCCAGAGGGTGGGCCTGGGGAAGCTGGATCCTGGAAGGTAGGAGAAAATAGGAATTTTCACTGAGTTTGAGTGGGAATGGAACTGACTATATATCTTACCCTTCCTCCTCTTTAACTGGGCTCCTCCCTCTAAATCTAGGCTGCTGTATTTATGAGAAACCTCGGGCCTTTGGCGAGAGCTCCACGGAAAGTGATGAGGAGGAAGAAGAGGGCTGTGGTCATACACACTGTGTACGTGGCCACCGCAAAGGACGGCGTCGTGCAACCCTAGGACCGACCCCCACCACCCCTCCCCAGCCTCCTGACCCTTCCCAGCCCCCTCCAGGGCCAATGCAGCACTAAATCCCTCTCTCCTCCAGCATTCCTGTGTCTGTCTGGCCCTAAATGTATCCATGTGGCTACTTCTCCAGCCCCCTCCTTCCCTCTCTTCTGCCTGATAGAGGGAAGAGGAAGAGGAGGACGAACAGAGATCCTGAAATTCTGACTTGCTGCTATTCCAGAACCCAGCCTCCTGGGTTTCCCCAGTCCTCATTTTTCCTCCCAATACCCACCCTTCTCTCTCGAGGGATCTAGGCACCTTGGTCCCAGTGTCTTCCTTTTGTTCTCACTGCCAAACTGCCTGTCCTGGGATCTAGTTATCTTGGCCCTGCACTCTCAACATGAGTAGCGAACACTTAAATTGGGTTTTCAACAGTCCCAGCTTTCACTGCCAGGGTCCCAGTCAGATTCCAGGAATTTGCGCCCTAACTTTGCTTGCTAATCCTGGTTTAGAGCTATCCCACTAAAATATTTAATCCTAATTCTTAGTCCTTGCCTGTGAGATATGAGGTCTTACAGGAGACCTCAGAGCTCCCAGCCCTTCTCCTCCTGCTAACCCTTCTCACACCCTCAAGAGGAGTTAGAAAAGAGGTCCTTGTCATTCTCACCTCTTATGGAAAATGGAATAAGAAATAATCATATCCTTTCTTCCCACCCTTCTCCTGTTATTTAGGATTTCTGACAAAGCTGGCTTGAGATTGGTCACTTAGAGCCGACTGTCTCCTCTGCCTTTTGTTTTTCAGCTTCAGAGACAGATCCAATATAGTCCCAGGGACCTGGGTCTCTGGGAGAGGAAGGAAGAGGGAGGGAGCAAAGAGATTGGGGTATGTCCCCTGTAGTACACTCTTACCTCTTACTTCCTAGACTTTGATTTCTCCGGCAGCCCAGATGTTCAGTTCTCTTGGCCCCTCTCTACCCCTTACTGGGATCTGGTTTTCATTTTCCGGTCCTTTTGCCATACACAGTTACAGAGATCAGTCAAATCCATACCACCACTGAGATCTCATTTATTGCCACAGATGCACAAAATAAATAACCCAAAATCACAAAATGTGTTAAATATGGGCCCATTTATACTTATGGGGAAGGGTGTGAGACTATACACAAGGATGAGTTTGGAGATGTCTGAAGTATTCCCAGGTTGAGGAGGAGAGAGGGGAAATAGCACCATTGGTTCCTTTCCGTGAGTATGTGCGGGGAGAAGTTTCAAGAAGGTTCTTATGGAAAAAAGGCTGTGAGCATAGAAAGCAGTCATAGGAGGTTGGGGAACTAGCTTGTCCCTCCCCACCCCCAGATCCTGCAAAAGAGGTACAAAGCTTCCCAGAGGGCCACAGGGCCCAGACCAGAGTCAAGCCTCTTGTTTTAGGAGAAACCTCAGTGGACAGGCAGGGTAGCCCAGTCCTTAGATCTGTGGGGAAGGCCCTGAGCCCTTCTGGAGCTAGGAGTGGCAAGAGTGGGAGTCAAGTATTTGACCAGCAGAGCCTCTATGTAGGAATCATGGTCACTTTACCAATACTGATGGGGAGGGCCTGTTCCCCATTGCAGGCCTAGAATGGTTTGAATGGGAGAAGTCAGGAAGTACTGTAGTAGCTGTAGGGGAGAGAAGATTCTGAGAGCCAGAAGGCAGGAATGGATTTGGTTTTGAGCAGGGACGTGGAAACGTGGAGACCAGGTGAGGTCTCATTATTTTGGGGCGAAAATGTGGGTTGCTATTAATACTCCTGCAATGGGCGTGTGAATGTGTTCCCAGAAATGAGTGGGGAATTCCACCCCCAAAAAGCAGCTGCAGGGCCAGTGGCCGGGCCAAACTTCTAGTTGGAGACGAGACTCAGCTTTCCGCTGGTACAATGCGGAGCGGAGCACGAGGGTCGCAGGTGCAGAACAGCGGGAAGATGCGCTCCCCCAGGGGGCCAGGCGCCTGGAAGGCGTAAAGCAGGTCGAGTGAGCGGCCGTCGTAGAAGGCCACGCGGCCCCGCTCCCAGTCCAGGTCCACGCGAATGCGCCGCGGCGGGGGCTCAACACCGCCCAGCAGGGTGGGTTCGGGTGCCGTGAGGGCCCACAGGCGGCCGCCGCGGCCCTCCACGGCCCACACGGCCCCCGCAGGGCACAGCCTTACGCAGCCCTTGCGTTGCACTGATTCCCCGGCCGCGCCCACTGCATAGTGGCTCTCCTCGTCGTCCGCATCCTCCCCAGAAGAGTCTCTGCAGGAGGCGGCGTCCGCAGTCTCCACCTCCCAGCAGTGGCGGCCGGCCCCGAAGCCCTGCGCACCCAGCACAGCTGGGAGCTGATTGAAGCGCTTGGGGCCGTCAGGGGGCGCGGGCGTCCCTGGTGGGGCCAGTTGTACGCTGCGGCGGTCGGCGGAGATGAGCAGGCGGCGGTGTGCGGTCCCAGGGTCCAGGGTCAGGTCGGCTGGAGACGGGGAGGCAGGGAGAGGACCTCATGAGAGAGTTTTCTAAATCACAGGCGGGGTAGGGTGGAGAATAGTCAACGAAGATCACGTAAAAGACTGAGAGCTAGTGACCACACAACAGCTCAAAAGGCGACTGCAGGACCAAAAAGAAGGAAGGCATATGAAGAGCAGACCTGGGCAATATCAGACCTTGTACTGATGCACCACTTCTGTAGAATTGGACCTGGGGAAGGATCATACTGGCCCAGTGCAGGGAGCACAGCAGGAAGATCAAATGAGAGGTTGTCTCGTTTGTGGGGTTGGGGGAGGAAGAGTGAGGCTGATCTGACTTCGAGGGAGGAGTAAGGACTGATACCTCAATCTGCATCATCTGGGGTGGGGCATGGGAGCTGGGTCAGCAAAATGGGGAAGGTTCATCTAAAGAGAAAGTCGTACTGATACTGGAACCTCAAGTAATGGGAGGGGCACAGGGAGGAATCCAAGGTATCCTGAGAAACCAGCCCACCCACCCACAGGAATTGGGGGGTGGGGTGGACAGTCCTATTTCTGTAGGGGTTGTGGGGCAGAGGAGGAGAGCAGGTGGTGATAGCCAGAGACCAGAAAAAGAACCATTGGCCTTATATGTATGGGGTGCTTTGAAGAAAAATTTCTGGATTAGGGGTGTCAGAAGCAATCTGGACTGGGCAAGATGGTGGATGACCAAGATGGTGGACCACCTTCTCTAGGCAGTTTAAAGAAGGGTAGAGGCACCCTTCTTCTTGGGAGTGAGTGAGGAAAGAAGGGTCAAGGAGATGCTGGGGTCCCCTTCCAGGGAGGAGTGACGAGAGGTGGTGGAAGCAGAGATTTTTGAGAGGCACCTAACCTTCAGGGATCTGTTGTTTGAATGTATGAAAAAGGAAGAGGGAAAATGGCTGGAATATGAGGAATCGAGGATAGACATTGTTATAGGCTGAACTGTGCCCTCCCCCACTCCACACACACACACAAAGATAGGTTGAAGTCTTCCAAACCTCAGAATGTTACCTTGTTTTGAAACAGGATCTTTACATAGGTAATCAAGTTAAAATGAAGGTCATTAGGGTGGGCTCTAATCCAGATTGCTGACTTACAAAAAGAGGAAATTTGGACACAGAGACAAATGCATACAAAAGAAAATGTGCAGACCTATCACCCAAAGAACATGTGAGGCTACCAGAGGCTAGGAGACAGGCATGGAACAGATTCTGTCTCATGGCCGTCAGAAGGAACCAACACTGCTGACACCTTGATTTCAGACTTCTACCTCCTGAACTTTGAGATAAATGTCTGTTGTTTCAGCCACCTACTTTGCGGTGCTTCATTAGAGCAGTACTAGGAAACTAATGCAGACATCAAAAAGGACCTGATCACTTTTTAGGGCTAAAAGGAAGAAAATCTAACACAGACTTTCATTCAATTCCCTTCCCTCCCTTCTTCTTTCCTTACCTGTCAGTCTATGAAGCATTTTTTTGACCACTGGATAATCTTCAGGGAGATCATCCTCTGAATTAGATGACTTGGATGTTGGGACTTCAAATCTACACAGATGAGGGGAAGGGTCAGGAAATCAGCCCTCTGATCCTAATGCCCCCACGCATACCCCACTCACATCTCTGGAGGAAGAAGGGATGAGACTATACCCCAGAAAACCTGCCTATTAATGGGAACAAAGGTGTGGGCCCAGTGAGAACGTGATGGCTATGGCAGCTGGTGAGAAAAGGAGGGAACAGAAAAGTGGAACTCACCGTCTCCATGTCTTCCTCATATCCTAGGATGGGCAGAAACAAACATGGATGTGAGCTCTGGGCTTCATTCCCTGGGGCATCCTTCCCTATCTCTCCCCTCCTCAGGTGAGTTCTGTCTGAGTTAGCAGTGTCCCTCCTCACCTTTCAGAGTGATCTCACCTCTTTACACACTGTGCTCCTTTCCCTCTCATTCTCCTCCTTCACCTTTCATGATCCCTCCTTCCTCTCACCCCATCACTTTTCCCTCATCCTCCTAACTCCATCCCCACTGTCCTCCCCCTTTCCACTCCCCAAGGGTTCTCAATTCTCTTTTCCCAGGCTCGTCCATGACTGTTTCTTGTCCTCAGAGCCCTTGCCTTCCTTGCTGCCTCCTCAGTCCCATTCTCTGTCTCTTTCAGCGGCCCCATCCTTATCTACCTTCCCCAGTGCATCCCAGAAAAACATCTGTCCCTTCCTCCCTCCATCACACAGACCAAACACACACCCAGAGCCCTCGGGCTAAGAGTTGGTATATAAAAGCCTTACAATAAAGCTGCTTCCCCTCTTGCAATAAAAGCCCAGTGGCATTTATTGGGCCCTTTGCTTTGTGTCTCTGGACCCTGGCCAGGGAGGCAGCTAGACTTGAATGTGTCCCAAAAGGCCCAGCAGATCCACAGAGTACTATGGGAGCCAGGAGAGGGCACTGGATGCTCCCCTCCAAACACTGGGATACCGACCCCTCCACTTCACTGTCTAGTGCTGATGGCTGGAGCAGGCCGATATGGTGGAGCGGGGGAGAGAGAAACAATTTGCATAATTGTGCCAATTACTTTCAGACTAATTAGGTCTATGAAGACTTCAAAGGGCAGAAGCAAGACCCAAGACCAGCTTGGCTGCTGGGAAGAAGCCAGTCAGGAGTCCCAGACGCCCAGGGGTCGGTCGGGCAAGGGAATGGGCTGGTTAGTGGCCAAGGAGCCGGGGCCCAGGAGAGGCGCGGGGGGTAGATGGGTGGTAAGACTGGGATGTGGAGAGGAGCCAGAGGCCCCAGCGGCTGTTCTCCCGCACCTCGCCTCCACCCCTGGCCGCTCCTGCCTGGGGCCTTGGGAGGAGCCGAAATAACAATAACAAACAACACAGGGCTTAGCTTGAGCCAGAGTCCGAGACCAACCCCCACGACGCTACGGGGAGGTTTGGATATGCCCCAACCCCTTGCTCCCTTCCTCCATCCTCTTGTCAGTCCCCTCCTCCCCAGCTTTTTCTCCGCCCCCAACCCACCAGCCCAGCCTCCTGCTCCCGCTCCTCTAAGCAGGTTCTGCCGTCGCCCACCATCCTCCCAGGACCCCTCCTCACCCTCAGCTGGGTCGGCTCTCCCTTCCGCCCGCCGCTCCCTCCCCTCCGCCAGCTCTCCTCCTCCCGGGCGCCTGCGGCTGCCCTGCCAAAACTTCTGCAGTTCCCATGCCCTTCGCGGCGACTCCAGGGCTCTCCGCGTTCTATCCGGTACCCCTTCTCTGCCTCCCCAGTCTCTTCTCTCCAGCCCCTCTCACAAGGCTCAGGCATCGGTCCAGCCTCCTCCCCTGTGGACCAAGTGTCAACTCCATCCATCGTCCTTCCGGGCGCCTCTCACCTTGAGGACCCAGGGTCCTCGCCCCCTCATCCTTTGCTTTTCTCTCCCCACCCCATCCTTTGCCTAAACTTCCACAGGGCCTCCGGCTCCAGACGTGCCATTCCCGGCTTCCCCGGGAACCTCCCGCTTCCACCAACAACTCCGCGACGCGCGCCCAGCCTCACCTCTCCGGGCAGGTCCAGGCAGCCCATGGTGGGGATGCGCCCCCCTCGGCGTCTCCCCGCACGGGCCCCAGGCTCAGCCAGCTTCTCTCGCAGCTCGCGGCTGATTCGCACCTCCACCGCCAGCCGCACATTAGACCTCAGGCTGCGGCGGGGACACGGCAGGCCGCAGCAGGGACAGGCGGTGGGGGAAGCCTCGGTGCCGGTCGCCGGCGGAGTCCCCCAGCGGCGGGCCAGACACGCGCGGCAGAAGCTGTGCTCGCACGCCAGAAGCACCGGGTCCTCGAAGGAGCCCCCGCACAGAGGACACGTCGCCAGCTGCTCCAGACGCTCCACCAGCCCCGGGCCCAGCTCGGGCGCATCCATGGAAAGCCAGGATCTGGACGCCGCCCCTTCCGCGACCACCGTGACCGCCTTCGAGCGCGCAGATGGCGGGCCGCCCCTGCTGCTTGCTGTGTAGATGCCCTTCTCTCCGACTCCCGCATTAACTTTTGCCGCTTTCCGCCCCTCTCCTGGGATTGCCTCTCTCTTCAACCAGAGTCTCAGTCTCGTCAAATCTCTCCACCACATCAGGCTTTATAGGGAGGGAGGAGGCTCCCACGGGAGGTAAACACCAGGCCTTGCGTAACGCCTCATCTGGTTCTCCTGCTTCCCGGGTAAGGTTTGGGGGAGCAGGGAGGGGAGAATAGCACACCTGGTTCCCAGAGCCTAGGAGGCGGTCACTAGAGGGCGCTCTGGGGCGGGGTAGCCCTGTGTGGGGAGGGTAGCCCCCTGTGACCCCCCGAAGAGCCCCAATTTTACCTTCCCCTCCGCCTGTGGTACGCGCATGGGCCGGGTGCCCAGGCTCACTCTTGGCATGTGCGCCCACATTGCCAAGGTGCGAGTCATTCCAGGTGGCTGGCACACCTACATCTGGGGGCTGGGGGCCGGAAGCACAGATCCTGGTTTGTGTGGCTTTGGCAAGCCTCTGAGTGTTGATGTGTGGTTTTCATTCCTGGTGCCTCTCGCCTTTCCATCTTCCTTCCTTACCTATTAAGGGCTTAAGGGCATTCTGCAGCTCTGGGGTAAGGGGTGGGGAGCAGGCGCCCACACTTCGGCCTCAGGGAGTCGGGGCAGAGCTCTTTCAGCTCTACCTCTGGCCAGCTCCCAGGGCCTCTCCTTACTTTCTTCGTAAGTCTCTCTTTCTGGTTCTTTCTCTCTGTTTTTCCCCGTGTGTGATTTTATTACCAGTTTTCTCTTTCCTTCCTTCTTTGGAATGTACCCGGTATTATCTATTTCAACTCTGGTAGTTCACAGAGGCCCAGAGAACTGGAATAGCCAAGGTCACATAGCAAGGGAATGACCAGAAGTGGAGCCCTACCCTGGTCTTCTGACTTGTGTTCTTGCTGTGACTCAACCCTGCCTTTTTCAGTTGCAGATCCCTGGGACCCCCTCCTGCTTCCTGATTTTTTTCTGGTGTTCCTTTGTGCCTTCATTCCTCACCTCCATTCTCTCTTTTTCTCCTTACCTGCTCCTCTCCCCACCTCTCCTCTTCCTCCCTGCTCCCTCCTCTTCCTAGCTTCTCTACCCTTCCAATGCCAGGCCTAGCTAACTGGATACTCATGGGGGTTTGTGCATAAGTAAACATCCAGATGTCTACAACTATGATCACCCACACTGTTATATAACATGTGTCTGCATCCATCAGTGTCCAAATGCCCAAATGTGCACAAACTTGCAGACAGAAGCATTCATGTAATACAAACATCACAGCTAAATATAATGTGTATGAATAGCCTCATATGCATTGAATATCACTGGGATAAATGTCCAGTATTATTTAGGAACAGACGGACATGCTCAAAGAAAACAGGCAAAGAGACAGATACTCTATCATCAGTTTTATTATTAATAAGAATAACAGTATAACAGCAGTAAGTCTTTATGGAGCAGCAGGACTTTATTAGGCACCCCCTCCAGGCACTCTTCTTCTGCCTCCCCCATACTTATCGGGGAGACACTCAAATATGACACCCTGATAAACAAACCTACACAAACAAACACACGTACATTCATCTTGGAACAACCCTCCCGGCTCAGTGCTCATAAAACACACAGATACCCAAGCATAAGACTACAGTTGTGACTGAAATCTATTTTGTAAAAGATGCACTTCTATGCTCTGATAGGTAGCATAGAGAGATAGCAGCATGAGAAGTGATCGGCCTGACATTGCTGGCTTTGGAGACTGAGGCAGGAAGCCACAAGCTAAGGAAGTGGGTAACCTCTGGAAGCTGCAAAAGACGAGGGAATGGATTCTCTAGCAGACCATTCAGAAGGAACCTAGCACTGCTGACACCTTAATTTTTGCCCAGTAAGACCCATTTCAGACTCTGAACTACAGAATAATAAAGTAACAAATGTGTATTGTTTCAAGCTCCTAAGTTTGTGGTAATTTGTTACAGTATCAATAGGAAACTAATACACAAGATTGCCTTTTCTCCTCCAGTCTCTGACTCTCTGAGTCTGTTTGCACTTCTGTGTTGTTGCACCTTCCAGTTTGTCATATTTTCTGGATGTCTCTGCCTCTCTTGACCTTCTTTTCAGTCTCATGTTATCTCTTTTCCTTCATTGTCCTGGCTTATCCCCAACTCCAAGGCCTCTCAGGATCTTTTTGGATCTGGGCTTGAAGTACTGGAGAAATGTCTCTGAGACTCCTCAAGAACCTCAATTGCCACCAATCCAAGTGCCTTGCTATGGCCCTCATGGGCTTGTCAGCGGTTAACAGCTTCAGTTGCACATTAGAATTATCTGGGAAACTTTAAAACTCCTGATGCCCAAGTGACACCTCAGACCAATTAAACGGACACCCTGGGGGTGGGTCCCAGGTGTCAGTACTTTTAAAAGCTTTCCAGATGGTTGCAGTGTTTAGCTAACAGGAGAACCATGGTCTTGAATGACGGCTGTTCATGTGGGCTGGTCACTCCATTTTGCTCCTTGTGCTCTGGCTGCAGTGCCTTCTACTTCTCGTTCCCCGAGCCACTGCTGGTGCGGCTGCACCGCCTTTGCACTCACTGTTCCCTCTGCCTGGGCCCCTGCTCCTCCAGAGCTTCACATGGCTTTCTCCATTTTCTCACTCATGTCTCAACCCAAAGGTAACATTCAGAGAGGACTTCTTTTACCACTTGTATCTCAAGTGGTCTTTCTCAAAGGTATTCACTATCTCTTTACCCATATTTATTATCTTCATGCTATTTATTACTGTCTGCAGTGATCTATTTATGGACTTTTGATGTGTCTCTGTCCAATAGAAGGTGAGTGAACAGGGACCTAACCTTCATGTTTGCTGCTGCTTTCCCTGCACCTAGAATAGCACCTGGCACACAGTGAGCCTTAATAAACTTAGGTCCAGTTGTTGAATTGCTCATTACACTGATTGGACAACCTGAGAAGGTCATTTGATTGACTCTGCTTAGACCTTCTTATCCTTCTCAACCAATAGTCATGCCTCACTGGCAGATGCCAGGCATAGTGCTGGGAAACGCTCAGGTGTTATAAGACATATGGTGCTCAGTCTGGCTAGGAAGTTCATGACTAGTTGTCATTTGCCTTCCATAACCAGATGGTGAGGATTCCTGCTAACAAAGCATCAGCTCAACCTTTACGTCCAGGTTACAATGAGTTCATACCTAATGGTTCCAGGACACCAGTAAGGGAAAAGGCATTTGGAGACAGACTCTGCCTGGAAACATCTCACTTCTCAAGACCTTCTCCCTCCCTTTCCAGAATCCCTAACAACTCTATACTTGATGCTCTAATCACCACTGAGTTCATTCTATTTCCAGAGAGCCAGAAGGGTGGATGTGATTTTACGTGTGTCAGCTTGGCTTGGCTTGATCCAGTTGACCATGACGGGATCCTGTCTCTCTGCTAGGATCCACATCTTCCTTCCTTAATGTAGGTGTCTCCTAAATAACTGTTCCCACCCCTTTCCAACTCCTTCCAGGATTCCTACTTGTGGTGTTGTGGAGTGTGACAGCTTGATACCCATGCATGGCACTAGGGAATGTCAGAGGTGGGACAGGCCTTGACCCATCCCTTCTTTTCCTTCTCTTCATTTTTTTCTTCTATCCTTTCATTTATCCTTCAGTCTCTCTCCTCCATATTAGCAACATCCTCATGCTTTTAAAAGCCCCACTAGTCTTTAGAAGCTTTCCAGAGGGAGAGATAAGTATGATAGAGGAGTTTGGGAGACTGATCACAGGACAGTCATGGTCCCTGCCCTTAGGAAGTGTGATAAGGCAGGTAAAGTGTATCCATCATCAACAAAATTTAGCATTACTGAATTAGGGTGTGTAAGAAGGCAGATAAAGTGTATCCATCATCAACCTAAATCTGTCATTACCAAATTTTAAAGGTGCAGTGACGGGGGAAGAGTGAGGGAGGATTCTGTTGACAGATTGAAGGACAAGTGGGAATCATTTCAGGAAGTCTTCCAGGAGGAGGTGACCTGTAAAAGAAGTGAAGGTTGTGTTGACTGGAAGAGAAGTGAAAAGGCCTGAACAAAGAATGTGAAGCATCTCTGGGGAGAAAACTGGATTGGGAAAAGAAGGGCTAGGAGGTAAGAAATCAAAATGAAGGAGACCATAATTCTTTCTCAATTCCCACTCACTATGCCCTTCCCAAAGATTTTCTTCAATCTTGATTGTTTCTATAATGACTCATTTTTTTAAGGACTTGGATGTTTACACTGTGCTTTAACATAGCTGGAAATTCTATTAGACCAGAGCAGTTTTCCTATGCAACTACTCCAAGGACTCTGAGTAAAACTTGCCCTGATGGGGGAGGCAGTTTTAGGAGGGGTGGCTTGAGGCAGGGATAGAGGAAGAATATCCAGCCAGATTAATCCAATCAATCTTGATACTCAAATACATGACTATGTTATAGAAATGTCACCTTCATAGTCCATTCTCTCATTTAACCCTATAACAGCCGTGAGGCCAAGTCCAGCCATGTTACACTGAGGCCCCTGGGATTCTGGCATGGTAAGGGATTTGACTAGGCTCAAACAGCCGGCAGGAGGCAGAGCCAGGACTGAAATTCAAACCTGCTGGCTCCAAAGTCTATATTCTTTTCCTTAAATATTAATTTCTTTCTTTTGAGACTTTACTTTCTCTTTTCTGTCCCTCCTGGAAGGCTCCTTCCTTTCTCTCCCTTTAAATCCCTGCTTAGGGCTAACAGTTTCTCTGAAATGTTGCCCATCCTTCAAGTTCATGTAGGTGCTCACTTATTCTCTTTCCTTCCAACAACCCACCTATCAATGTCACTAATATTTCTATCCATCATTTAAATTCTCCCCTAAATGTTCACTATTTGTCTTCTCAGTTTTCTTATTTATTTATTTATTTATTATTATTATACTTTAAGTTTTAGGGTACATGTGCACAATGTGCAGGTTAGTTACATATGTATACACGTGCCATGCTGGTGCGCTGCACCCACCAACTCGTCATCTAGCATTAGGTATACCTCCCAATGCTATCCCTCCCCCCTGCCCTCACCCCACAACAGTCCCCAGAGTGTGATGTTCCCCTTCCTGTGTCCACGTGTTCTCATTGTTCAATTCCCACCTATGAGTGAGAATATGCGGTGTTTGGTTTTTTGTTCTTGCGATAGTTTACTGAGAATGATGATTTCCAATTTCATTCATGTCCCTACAAAGGACATGAACTCATCATTTTTTATGACTGCATAGTATTCCATGGTGTATATGTGCCACATTTTCTTAATCCAGTCTATCATTGTTGGACATTTGGGTTGGTTCCAAGTCTTTGCTATTGTGAATAATGCCACAATAAACATACGTGTGCATGTGTCTTTATAGCAGCATGATTTATAGTCCTCTGGGTATATAACCAGTAATGGGATGGCTGGGTCAAATGGTATTTCTAGTTCTAGATCCCTGAGGAATCGCCACACTGACTTCCACAATGGTTGAACTAGTTTACAGTCCCACCAACAGTGTAAAAGTGTTCCTATTTCTCCACATCCTCTCCAGCACCTGTTGTTTCCTGACTTTTTAATGATTGCCATTCTAACTGGTGTGAGATGGTATCTCATTGTGGTTTTGATTTGCATTTCTCTGATGGCCAGTGATGGTGAGCATTTTTTCATGTGTTTTTTGGCTGCATAAATGTCTTCTTTTGAGAAGTGTCTGTTCATGTCCTTCGCCCATTTTTTGATGGGGTTGTTTGTTTTTTTCTTGTAAATTTGTTTGAGTTCATTGTAGATTCTGGATATTAGCCCTTTGTCAGATGAGTAGGTTGCGAAAATTTTCTCCCATTTTGTAGGTTGCCTATTCACTCTGATGGTAGTTTCTTTTGCTGTGCAGAAGCTCTTTAGTTTAATTAGATCCCATTTGCCAATTTTGGCTTTTGTTGCCATTGCTTTTGGTGTTTTAGACATGAAGTCCTTGCCCATGCCTATGTCCTGAATGGTAATGCCTAGGTTTTCTTCTAGGGTTTTTATGGTTTTAGGTCTAACATTTAAGTCTTTAATCCATCTTGAATTAATTTTTGTATAAGGTGTAAGGAAGGGATCCAGTTTCAGCTTTCTACATATGGCTAGCCAGTTTTCCCAGCACCATTTATTAAATAGGGAATCCTTTCCCCATTGCTTGTTTTTCTCAGGTTTGTCAAAGATCAGATACTTGTAGATATGCGGCCTTATTTCTGAGGGCTCTGTTCTGTTCCATTGATCTATATCTCTGTTTTGGCACCAGTACCATGCTGTTTTGGTTACTGTAGCCTTGTAGTATAGTTTGAAGTCAGGTAACGTGATGCCTCCAGCTTTGTTCTTTTGGCTTAGGATAGACTTGACGATGCGGGCTCTTTTTTGGTCCCATATGAACTTTAAAGTAGTTTTTTCCAATTCTGTGAAGAAAGTCATTGGTAGCTTGATGGGGATAGCATTGAATCTGTAAATTACCTTGGGCAGTATGGCCATTTTCACGATATTGATTCTTCCTACCCATGAGCATGGAATGTTCTTCCATTTGTTTGTATCCTCTTTTATTTCCTTGAGCAGTGGTTTGTAGTTCTCCTTGAAGAGGTCCTTCACATCCCTTATAAGTTGGATTCCTAGGTATTTTATTCTCTTTGAAGCAATTGTGAATGGGAGTTCACTCATGATTTGGCTCTGTGTTTGTCTGTTGTTGGTGTATAAGAATGCTTGTGACTTTTGTACATTGATTTTGTATCCTGAGACTTTGCTGAAGTTGCTTATCAGCTTAAGGAGATTTTGGGCTGAGACAATGGGGTTTTCTAGATATACAATCATGTCGTCTGCAAACAGGAACAATTTGACTTCCTCTTTTCCTAATTGAATACCCTTTATTTCCTTCTCCTGACTAATTGCCCTGGCCAGACCTTCCAACACTATGTTGAATAGGAGTGGTGAGAGAGGGCATCCCTGTCTTGTGCCAGTTTTCAAAGGGAATGCTTCCAGTTTTTGCCCATTCAGTATGATATTGGCTGTGGGTTTGTCATAGATAGCTCTTATTATTTTGAAATACATCCCATCAATACCTAATTTATTGAGAGTTTTTAGCATGAAGCATTGTTGAATTTTGTCAAAGGCCTTTTCTGCATCTATTGAGATAATCATGTGGTTTTTGTCTTTGATTCTGTTTATATGCTGGATTACATTTATTGATTTGTGTATATTGAACCAGCCTTGCATCCCAGGGATGAAGCCCACTTGATCATGGTGGATAAGCTTTTTGATGTGCTGCTGGATTTGGTTTGCCAGTATTTTATTGAGGATTTTTGCATCAATGTTCATCAAGGATATTGGTCTAAAATTCTCTTTTTTGGTTGTGTCTCTGCCCAGCTTTGGTATCAGGATGATGCTGGCCTCATAAAATGAGTTAGGGAAGATTCCCTCTTTTTCTATTGATTGGAATAGTTTCAGAAGGAATGGTACCAGTTCCTCCTTGTACCTCTGGTAGAATTCGGCTGTGAATCCATCTGGTCCTGGACTCTTTTTGGTTGGTAAGCTATTGATTATTGCCACAATTTCAGATCCTGTTATTGGTCTATTCAGAGATTCAGCTTCTTCCTGGTTTAGTCTTGGGAGAGTGTATGTGTCAAGGAATTTATCCATTTCTTCTAGATTTTCTAGTTTATTTGCATAGAGGTGTTTATAGTATTCTCTGATGGTAGTTTCTGTTTCTGTGGGATCGGTGATGATATCCCCTTTATCATTTTTTATTGTGTCTATTTGATTCTTCTCTCTTTTTTCTTTATTAGTCTTGCTAGCGGTTTATCAATTTTGTTGATCCTTTCAAAAAACCAGCTCCTGGATTCATTAATTTTTTGGAGGGTTTTTTTGTGTCTCTATTTCCTTCAATTCTGCTCTGATTTTAGTTATTTCTTGCCTTCTGCTAGCTTTTGAATGTGTTTGCTCTTGCTTTTCTAGTTCTTTTAATTGTGATTATAGGGTGTCAATTTTAGATCTTTCCTGCTTTCTCTTGTGGGCATTTAGTGCTATAAATTTCCCTCTACACACTGCTTTGAATGCGTCCCAGAGATTCTAGTATGTTGTGTCTTTGTTCTCGTTGGTTTCAAAGAACATCTTTATTTCTGCCTTCATTTCGTTATGTACCCAGTAGTCATTCAGGAGCAGGTTGTTCAGTTTCCATGTAGTTGAGCGGTTTTGAGTGAGATTCTTAATCCTGAGTTCTAGTTTGATTGAACTGTGGTCTGAGAGATAGTTTGTTATAATTTCTGTTCTTTTACATTTGCTGAGGAGAGCTTTACTTTCAAGTATGTGGTCAATTTTGGAATAGGTGTGGTGTGGTGCTGAAAAAAATGTATATTCTGTTGATTTGGGGTGGAGAGTTCTGTAGATGTCTATTAGGTCTGCTTGGTGCAGAGCTGAGTTCAATTCCTGGGTATCCTTGTTAACTTTCTGTCTTGTTGATCTGTCTAATGTTGACAGTGGGGTGTTAAAGTCTCCCATTATTAATGCATGGGAATCTAAGTCTCTTTGTAGGTCACTCAGGACTTGCTTTATGAATCTGGGTGCTCCTGTATTGGGTGCATATATATTTGGGATAGTTAGCTCTTCTTGTTGAATTGATCCCTTTACCATTATGTAATGGCCTTCTTTGTCTCTTTTGATCTTTGTTGGTTTAAAGTCTGTTTTATCAGAGACTAGGATTGCAACCCCTGCCTTTTTTTGTTTTCCATTTGCTTGGTAGATCTTCCTCCATCCTTTTATTTTGAGCCTATGTGTGTCTCTGCACGTGAAATGGGTTTCCTGAATACAGCACACTGATGGGTCTTGACTCTTTATCCAATTTGCCAGTCTGTGTCTTTTAATTGGAGCATTTAGTCCATTTACATTTAAAGTTAATATTGTTATGTGTGAATTTGATCCTGTCATTATGATGTTAGCTGGTTATTTTGCTCATTAGTTGATGCAGTTTCTTCCTAGTCTCAATGGTCTTTACATTTTGGCATGATTTTGCAGCAGCTGGTACTGGTTGTTCCTTTCCATGTTTAGTGCTTCCTTCAGGAGCTCTTTTAGGGCAGGCCTGGTGGTGACAAAATCTCTCAGCATTTGCTTGTCTGTAAAGGATTTTATTTCTCCTTCACTTATGAAGCTTAGTTTGGCTGGATATGAAATTCTGGGTTGAAAATTCTTTTTTTTAAGAATGTTGAATATTGACCCCCACTCTCTTCTGGCTTGTAGAGTTTCTGCCGAGAGATCCGCTGTTAGTCTGATGGGCTTCCCTTTGAGGGTAACCCGACCTTTCTCTCTGGCTGTTCTTAACATTTTTTCCTTCATTTCAACTTTGGTGAATCTGACAATTACGTGTCTTGGAGTTGCTCTTCTCGAGGAGTATCTTTGTGGCGTTCTCTGTATTTCCTGAATCTGAACGTTGGCCTGCCTTGCTAGATTGGGGAAGTTCTCCTGGATAATATCCTGCAGAGTGTTTTCCAACTTGGTTCCATTCTCCCCGTCACTTTCAGGTACACCAATCAGATGTAGATTTGGTCTTTTCACATAGTCCCATATTTCTTGGAGGCTTTGCTCGTTTCTTTTTATTCCTTTTTCTCTAAACTTCCCTTCTCGCTTCATTTCATTCATTTCATCTTCCATCACTGATACCCTTTCTTCTAGTTGATCGCATCAGCTCCTGAGGCTTCTACATTCTTCACGTAGTTCTCGAGCCTTGGTTTTCAGCTCCATCAGCTCCTTTAAGCACTTCTCTGTATTGGTTATTCTAGTTATTCATTCTTCTAAATTCTTTTCAAAGTTTTCAACTTCTTTGCCTTTGGTTTGAATGTCCTCCCATAGTTCGGAGTAATTTGATCGTCTGAAGCCTTCTTCTCTCAGCTCGTCAAAGTCATTCTCCGTCCAGCTTTGTTCCATTCCTGGTGAGGAACTGCATTCCTTTGGAGGAGGAGAGGAGCTCTGCTTTTTAGAGTTTCCAGTTTTTCTGCTCTGTTTTTTCCCCATCTTTGTGGTTTTATCTACTTTTGGTCTTTGACGATGGTGATGTACAGATGGGTTTTTTGTGTGGATGTCCTTTCTGTTTGTTAGTTTTCCTTCTAACAGACAGGACCCTCAGCTGCAGGTCTGTTAGAGTACCCGGCCGTGTGAAGTGTCAGTCTGCCCCTGCTGGGGGGTGCCTCCCAGTTAGGCTGCTCGGGGGTCAGGGGTCAGGGACCCACTTGAGGAGGCAGTCTGCCCGTTCTCAGATCTCCAGCTGCGTGCTGGGAGAACCACTGCTCTCTTCAAAGCTGTCAGACAGGGACATTTCAGTCTGCAGAGGTTACTGCTGTCTTTTTGTTTGTCTGTGCCCTGCCCCCAGAGGTGGAGCCTACAGAGGCAGGCAGGCCTCCTTGAGCTGTGGTGGGCTCCACCCAGTTCGAGCTTCCCGGCTGTTTTGTTTACCTCAGCAAGCCTGGGCAATGGCGGGCGCCCCTCCTCCAGCCTCGCTGCCACCTTGCAGTTTGATCTCAGACTGCTGTGCTAGCAATCAGCGAGACTCTGTGGGCGTAGGACCCTCTGAGCCAAGTGCGGGATATAATCTCCTGGTGGGCCGTTTTTTAAGCCCGTCGGAAAAGCGCAGTATTCGGGTGAGAGTGACCCGATTTTCCAGGTGCCCTCTGTCACCCCTTTCTTTGACTAGGAAAGGGAACTCCCTGACCCCTTGTGCTTCCTGAGTGAGGCAATGCCTCGCCCTGCTTCGGCTCACGCACGGTGCGCGCACCCACTGACCTGTGCCCACTGTCTGGCACTCCCTAGTGAGATGAACCTCAGATGGAAATGCAGAAATCACCTGTCTTCTGCGTTGCTCACGCTGGGAGCTGTAGACCGGAGCTGTTCCTATTTGGCCATCTTGGCTCCTCCCCCCATCTTCTCAGTTTTCTCAAGGCCTTCTTGTTCTCCAAGCCCTTAGCAGTTTCCATTTTTTTTTTTTGTTTGTTTGTTTGTTTGTGACAGAGTCTCGCTCTGTCACCAGGCTGGAGTGCAGTGGCATGAGCTCAGTTCACTACAACCTCTGCCTCCTGGGTTCAAGCGATTCTCCTAGCTTAGCCTCCCAAGTAGCTGGGACTACAGGCACATGCCACCACACCCAGCTAATTTTTGTATTTTTAGTAGAGATGGGGTTTTGTCATGTTTGCCAGGCTGGTCTTGAACTCCTTACCTCAGGTGATCTGCCTGCTTCAGCCTACCAAAGTGCTAGGATTACAGGTGTGAGCCACCGCACCTGGCCAGCAGTTTCCTTTTAAGAGCTGTGCATTCATTCATCCATTCATTTAATCATTCAACAACTATTTACTAAGCACCTACTATGTACCATGCGTTGTTCTAGGAGTTAGGAAGAGTGGAGAGCAAGCCAGCCATAGTCCCTTGTCCTCTGGTAATTTAGATTCCATTGAAAAAGGCCAACAATAAGCAAGTAAACAAATAAATTAACAAGATAATTATAGATTGTGATCAGTGCTTTGAAGAATACAAAGTGGGTAATATAAGAGGAATTAACTGGAGGAGGTGTGCACTACTTTTAATAGGATGTTAGAAAAAGCTCCTCTGAGAAGGTGAAGAGAGGGAGCCAGCAATGAGAAGAGTTGGGAGAGAGCAACAACAGCAGATGCAAAGACCCTGAAGTGGGAAAGATCTTGAACGTATGAAGTGGGATGACAATGGTTTGATGTGAGATTGGAGAGGTACTAAGAGCCAAGCTGTGTAGGACCTTAGGGACCAGGATAAGGAGTTGATCGTTGTTCTAAGAGCAGTGGAATGCCACTGAGTAGCTGTAAGTGTGATATTTACGTGGTCTAATGGATTGATTGATTGATTGATTGATTGTAGAGATGGGATCTGGCTGTGTTGCCCAGGCTGATCTCAAGCTCCTGGCTTCAATCAATCCTCCCACTTTGGCCTCATCTCCCAAAGAGCTGAGATTATAGGCATAAGCTACCACACTCAGCATGATTTATGTATTTTGAAGCTCATTTTGTCCTAGTAGTCTTTTCTCTCAGTTTTCTTTTTCTAATTCCTATTCCCCTTCACATTATTTACATTCAAGACGATCATCTCATTTCCATGTCCACTTCCCCATCGGGGAGAATAGGTCTTCCAAACAAGTTATTTATTAACCTGTACAAGGATCGCTAGTAAGTGCACCAAATATAGCTAATTTGATTCTGGCTCCCACCTCTATTAAAGACTTCAAAGAATCATAGATTTGTAGAATGCTAGAGTTGTAGGGAACATTAACAATGTGTAGTCTAGCCCTTACAATATGGATAAGAAAATTGATTCCCAGAGAGATGATCTTGCTGGTGTGTAAGTAGGGAAAACTTTCGGATCCTCATCTGTCAAGAATGCAGGAGCAGGTTCCTTCCTGTCTTTTAGGCGCCTGTTTCAATTAAGAAAAAAAAATATTGGCTGGGCACGGTGGCTCATGCCTGTAATCCCAACACTTTGGGAGGCTGAGTTGGGCAGATCACAAGGTCAAGAGATCGAGACCATCCTGGCCAACATGGTGAAACCCCGTCTCTACTAAAAATACAAAAGTTAGCTGGGCATGGTGGCACATGATGTAGTCACAGCTACTTAGGAGGCTGAGGCAGGAGAATTGCTTGAACTCAGGAGGCAGAGGTTGCAGTGAGCAAGATCACTCCACTGCACTCCAGCCTGGCGACAGAGCGAGACTCCGTCTCAAAAAAAAAAAAAAAAAAAAAAAAAAAAAAAAAGTCAGGATGTCCTAACTGGTTTATTGGCTTCAAGGTCAATCACCATAGGTCAGTAGTGCTGCAGCTACTGCTAGCATAGCAGCCACGGGCCCAGCTGCCCTACCCCCATGCACATTTCATGTTTATTGGGGCTCATCCATGCTCTTCTATAGGAAAATAGCCTCTACCTCACTTCTGCATTTCAAATCTCATAGAAATACATTTAGTTGGAAGGACTTAATTCATGTCCAGAATCCTAGCTCCAAAAATTCTGAGAAATAGAGTTTTTTACTTTTCAATCTCTTCAATAGAAAGGAAATGAGGTCATTCCATATATGTAGGTTTGGCAGATAAAATGCAGAACATCCAGTTAAATTTGAATTTCAGATAAACAATGATTTTTTAGTATAAGTATCTCCCAAATACTGCATGGGGCATACTTACACAAAATACTTGTTTATTATTTATCTAAAATTCAGATTTAAATGGACATCCTGTACTTTTATTTGATAAATCTGACATTTTGACAAATCTCCAGCACAGAGACTGAGAGCAGAAGTCCTTAATTTAGATGGGGGACATTGAGGAAGGCCCATCTTCCAAGGTGATATTTAAGGGGAGACCTGAGAGATGAATAAGAGATCATCATGCTCAAAGAGGAGAGAAGGGCATTGCAGGCACAGGTAACAGCTTTGCAACAGCCTAGAGGCAAGAACAATTTGGGCTAATTTAAGCAAAGTTGACACATGATGAGTTAGGAGTAAAGATGGCACAAGATAATAATGAAGACGTAGGCAGAGACTAGAGCAAGTGAAATCTTAAGTTTTAGTAGTGGAATAAACAAGAGTGGAATGGGGGAGACCCAGGGTCACTACCTGCTAATGGCATTCCCAGAGTTGTATACGGCAGTCATCCCAAGGAGAGAAAACTATGCCAGTAATTTAGGTGAGAAAGGATGATGGCTTGAGATAGTGGGATCCAGTGGAGCTGAAAATGAGCAGGCCAATTTGAAGTGTATTTTGTAGATAGAATTGACAAAAACATTGAAGTGGCCTTTGGGTGATGAGGGAGGGGAAAATCAATCATGAATTTCTAATTTCTGGAATGGATGACTGTGTAATTGCAAGGCTGTTACAGAAATGGGCTACATACTTAATGAGCTTTGGATGTTGAGATGGGATCACAAGAGAGGGGGTAAAGACAAAGTGATGAGATATTTTGTTTCAGTTGGACCACAGTCCACAATAACTGCTTCTCCTCTCTGCAGAATATTCACTAACATGCACGAGACCTGTTTGCTCTGTCCTTCTCTCCTTCCTCCCTGCCCTCCCCTTCATCATTTTCTCCTTTTTATTCTCTGTCCTTTCTTTCTGTTCTGTAGTCATCCTATTTCCTTGACAGAATCGAAGCCTCAGCCAGTGAGATAGATGGAGTGTAGGCAGCTAGAAATGGAAAGGATTCCTGTGCTTCTGTGATTCACAGTCTCCCAGTGGGCCTTTAAACCATTTAACCTCTGTTGTCCAGACCCCAGGAAGAGGGGAGGCTGGAAGAGGGAAAAGAACTTGGACTGGAGCAGCAGGGGAGGCCCTGGAGGAAGGAGCAGGTATCATCCTCCAGCAAATGGGCAATCCATTAGTCCAAACTCCTCATTTTAAAATTGAAAAAACTGAAGCCTTTGCCCATTTTGACTAAACCAGATAAGAAATTATACAGTATGAAGGAACATTGACACCACTTAGAAACAGTAGGGTGTCAAGATTTGACTTGACTCTTGTTAGTTTTGTGACTATAAAGTGAAAACAATTATATCAAAAAATTTGTTTTAGGGATGATAAAAGTAATTTATACTTATTCGTTCAAAAGTACTTATTAAGGACCTACTATGTGCAGATACAGTGTTGAAAGCTAGGGACTCAGTGGAGATCAACACAGACAGGAACCTGGCCTCATGGGAATTCTAAACTCTAGCGGGGAGAACAGCTCATTAACAAATAAATAAGTGTAATGTATGGTAGGTACCACGAAGCAACATAAAGCTGGGAAGAAAGACACAAATGCTAGCATAGTTTTCTCTCTTTGGGATGACTGCCTTATACAACTCTGGGGAATGCCATTAGCAAGTAGTGGCCTCGGATCTTCCCCCATTGCACTCTTGCCTATTCCACTACTAAAACCTAAGTTTTTGCTTGCTCTAATCTCTAAGTCTTCATTATTATCTTGTGCCATCTTTACTCCCAACTCATCATGCGTCAACTTTGCTTAAATTAGCCCAAATTGTTCTTGCCTCTAGGTTGATGCAAAGCTGTTACCTGTGCCTGGGATGCCCTTCTCTCCTCTCTGAGCATGATGATCTCTTATTCATCTCTCAGGTCTGCCCTTAAATATCACCTAGAGAGATGGGCCTTCTCAATGCTGGATGGAGTGCTGGATGGAGTAGATAGAGTTACAATCTCAATAGATTCTATTTGAGCAAAGATTTGAAGGTGGTAAGAGAAGTCGTCAAGTGCTTATCTGAAGGAAGGATCATCCAGATGAAAGGAAAGGCAGAGGCAAAGGCTGTGATGCTGAAGCTGCTGATGTGTTTGAGATTTAACATGAGGCCATGTGGCTGGAGCAGAGGGAGCAGCGGGTGTGGAGTAGGAAGTCAGAGATGGGACTGGCCGACTGTGCAGGGCTTTGTCATTGTCAGGACTTCATTCAGTACTGGGTGAGGTGAGCCTACCAGGGGTTGGAGTTGGTGGGAAGGGGCTGACTTCTGGACGTGAGTTACTGCATTGGTTGTGGAGTGTGAGAGCAAAGGAGGAGGCAGGAAGCTCTAACGAATTTGGCCCCACCATGGGGAGGATGGAGCTGCCAGTGACTGCAGTGGGAAGAACTGTGAGGAGCTGGCCTGGGCAGGAATATCAGGGGTGGCATGTTGGACATGTGAAGCCAGGAGGCCTGTGGGCCATCCAACAGTGCTGTGAACTGTGCAGCCCGATGTAAGCATATCTGACATTAGGAGTGGTGGAGAAACAAAAAGAACAAGGATAGTTCATTTTAACACAGTAATAATTTTATAATTTTATAATTTTCAAATCATTAAAGATTTTACTACTTTCTTAACTACTCCAGGAGCCTGTGTCACATTCCAGTCACAGGGAGGAAACTGGGGGCCATGCAGGATAAAGGTCAAAGCCTGCATGCTGGGACTCAAGTGCTTCCTCCCCAACAGTATTAGAACACCAACTCCCAGGAGCACAGAGACTTGAAGAGAGTGTCCGGGTCGTGGACTATGAGTCAGAGAAACCAAGCCAGGGGCATGCAAGGCAGCACGAGGCAGAGCAGGGAAACCCAGCAAGGGAGGTGGCAACGCACAGTGACCTAGAAAAGCCTGATGAGCTGAGAGCCAGCCGACAACAGGCCCCATGTGCCTCTGTGTCTTGGTCCACATGATAGACTCTCCCTCCCTCCCTTCCTTCCTCTCCTCTGGTGACCAGTAGCTAAAACATCACTGGCACGCTGCTGGCATCCAGCCTGCCAATTAGTTCAGGAGCCACTCCCTCTGACTGCCTCCTGAGCCTCAGATGTTACCTCCCCTGTCTCCCAAACACACCCCTCCAGCTCTGTCCTGCCTGCCCTGAATCTCTGGAAGGAAAACTTGCCCTGGGACCTGCCTTGGACTCTCTGGTTCCCCTCATCCAGCCCCTCCCTGCGCAGAACATGGCATCTCGTGCCCTTTTATCTGCCATTTCTGGCCACCTTTGCAAGCGTCCTTGAAACCAGCGCTTGGTAGAGTTATCCACGCCCATGTGAGGCTCCCCTGACCCCTGGGTGGTGTATGTGGCAGGAGGAGCAGGGAGGAGCTTCAAGGAAGCAGAGGGAAAGGAACCTATAAGAGTTCTTGGGATGGCTTCCAGGAAGCTGTGAGGACAGAGCTATGCTGAAAGGAGAAAGGCAAAGGCTACAGAAAAGTGAACACTGAAGAGGAATTAGGCAAGAACAAAGCCTACCAAGTTAGAAGAAGGGAATGAGAGGGCGAAACAACAGCACCAGAAAGGAATGAGGTTGCCGGGCACGGTGGCTCATACCTGTAATCCCAGCACTTTGGGAGGCCGAGGCAGGCGAACCACCTGAGGTCGGGAGTTCGAGACCAGCCTGACCAACATGGAGAAACCCTGTCTCTACTAAAAATACAAAATTAGCTGGGTATGGTGGTGCATGTCTGTAATCCCAGCTACTCAGTGAGGCTGAGGCAGGAGAATCGCTTGAACCCGGGAGGCGGAGGTTGTGGTGAGCCGATGCGCCATTGCACTCCAGCCTGGGCAACAAGAGCAAAACTGCATCTCAAAAAAAAAAAAAAAGAAGAAAGAAAGAAAAAGAAAAAGAAAGGAATGAGGATCAGGAGTCGGGGGGAGAGACATGATCTTACAGAACGGGCTGGACCTGGGGAGAGGATTTTGTCAGAACTATGGAAAGTTTGAAATGAGGTTGAAGAAGGAGTGATGGTAATACTTTTTACATTTTTAGAACATCTTCTTATATTTTATTTCATCATTCATTCCTCATAGATCTCATTACCCCCATTTTACGGATCAAGAAACTGAGGCTCAGAGAGGTGATGTGAGTTGTCCAAGATCACACAGCTAATAAGAAGGTACATTCTCCTCTATACCACAGAGCACCTCTTCTGTGTGTGGCATATTACATAGAAAAATGAGATTAGACATTTAGAAGTTGAGGATTCTCATCCCGCAAACACTTATGGGGGCACTTTTTATGTGCCAGGCAACATGCTAAGCACTGAAGATACTAAGACGCCCTGCTTTCAAAAGACTGACCTTCTGGTTAAGGAGTGATATGAGTGGTGCAAACCAGGTGGGGGGCGGGGCTGCCCATAGGCTGAGGGCTCCTCTGGGAGAGGGCAGCTTAGGGAAGCTTTTACAGCGGATGTCTGGGAAGAAGGGAACCACTTCCCCAGTGGGTGGTGGAAGGGGATAGCAGAGGGCATTTCAGGGAAAAGCAAGCAAGCAGAGTGTGTGGGAGAGCTCCAAGGAGTTGAGATCCACAAAAGAGGGATGTGTAGGGAGCTGGATGGAAAAGCTAAAGAAATAATGGGGAGAATAGTGATATTAATTAAATTCGTGATCTGTTTAAAACCATTGCATAGGGCAAGGCACAGTGGCTCATGCCTATAATCCCAGCACTTTGGGAGGGTGAGGCAGGAGGATCACTTAGCCCAGGAGTGAGAGACCAGCCTGGGCAACATAGCAAGATTTGTCCCAATGAAAAAAAATACTAAATGTTTTTAAAAGGCACAATGCATAGCTGTAATAACAGTTGAGGAGGAATCTTACAACTACAGTGTTAAAGGAGACAAAGGGTGTTTCTTCATTATGTTGCGGTGATGGAAACTTAAATGAGATAAGGATATATTTGAGTCTTCCTATATGCCAGATGGCATGCAAAATGTTTTTATATACATTATGTAATTGAATTCATGTAACAGTGAAAAATAGTGAAGATGACCTATTTGGGTTGACATGAGAAGATCTATAAGATCGTGGTTAAAAGAAAAAGTCAGTGCAGAACATTATGTACTATAAATTATGACCCATAGTAAAGAAACACATACAGGGGAAGGGTTTTGGTCAGAGGGAGTACAGAGCCAGGGCAGCCAAGAGAAGGAGGTGTGTCTGAGCCTGGTGCAGGCTGCGTGCCTAGGGCTGGCACTGAGAGGGACATGGAGCTTGTCATACTGAGGGCATAACTCAATCCTGTTACACTAGGCAAGTCTCAGAGAATTTTCAAGTGGAAGTGAAACACACTCTGGTGACACAGGTTGTAGAGATTGTTCTGTCTGCAGGTGGATAGATTGGAGGCAGGAGGAGAGCAGTCAGGTAGGAGAGATCCCGAGGGGTGGACAAGCCTGGCCCCTGGAAACAGAGGAAGCAAGGGTGAGAAACTGGGCTGAGGAAATGAGTGGGTGACAGATCTTCACATGGCTGGTAGGGGGAAAAAAAAGGAACACAGAACACAATTAGATTATTTTCAGGATTTTCATCGCAGTTATATATGCAAATAAAAAGTTAAACAAGTTGATGAGTTAATTTTTTAAAATGGCAGCCCTCACCCCCATCTCCACTACTTTCAACTCTTTTAGCTGTTTTGGTGTTCACCTTCACATCTGTAAATACAAGGATTATATTATTACTATTTGCTCTTCTAATTTTAGGCATTATCTATTATTGATTTGCTGTTATCAAAGATATAGCTTTTTCTTGTAACCACAACCTCACTTGATCCCACAAACACATATCCTCACTATTCCCACTGTCCCTGGTTTATAGCTATTTCAAATACACACACACACACACACACACACACACACACACACACATTTCTATGTGTATAAAACACAGATATGTAAATACACACAAACATGTCCTGAAGGATCAAATCAAACTAGGATTCAGGAAGATCATAGCTAAAGAAGACTTTCGGCTTGCACGGTGGCTCACACCTGTAATCCTAGCATTTTGGGAGGCCAAGGTGGGCGGATCACCCAAGGTCAGGAGTTCGAGACCAGCCAGACCAACATGGCAAAACCCCATCTCTACTAAAAGTACAAAAAATTAGCTGGGTGTGGTGGTGGGCACCTGTAATCCCAGCTACCTAAGAGACTGAGGCAAGAGAAGCCCTTGAACCCGGGAGGCTGAGGTTGCAGTGAGCTGAGATGTGCCAGTGCACTCCAGCCTGGGTGACAGAGCAAGGCTTCATAAAAACTTCATAAAAAAAAAAAGAAGAAGAAGAAGAAGATTTGAACCAAAAGGTAGAGAAGCACAAGACAAGAGGCCATGAAAAAGCAAGTCATGCATTGGTGAGTATGTGTGTGGAGGGCAGGGATGAGGAAAATTTCAGAACAGAATCAATTCAGCCTTGTGCAGAAAGGAATAATGAAGGCAGGAGGCAGCAACTTCAGGGCTGTCTGATTTGAAGGAAATATTAAAGCCTTTATCAGGAAAGGGGAATCACTAACAGTCAGACAGAAGCACCAGACTGAAGGAAAAAAGATCACAGCCCCATATCCTTAGAGAGTATCAGAGACCTCAGATGCCAGGCATCTGCCATGCTGTTGATTTACTCTGCAGTGAGTCACTGGATCCTTGAAACTGGGGGCAAGGGTGAGATCATTACCCCAGAAGGCAGGGAGCAGAGACAACAAGGCCCTTGGGGTCCAGGCAGCTGAACCCGTCTGGTCAGAGGCCACTGTCACAAAACCAACAAAGAATTCATATCTAATAGGTTTTCCTCAGGGCTCAGATGAGTAGGTTTGGGAGTTACTGGGAGGCTGTGATACCAGGCAGGATGACAAACAAAAACAGTCAGCCAAGAAAACAAGCTTCAGAGTGTTTGCCCTGGGAGAACAATGGATGTCCGGGTAGAGCCAAAGCCACTGGCTCCTCCCTCCCCACAACTCAGAGCCACCAGGGACCTGGGCCACGTGTCCCTTTCCATGACCATGGGGTGTGTGACTGCGGGAGGCTGAAAGTGTCAGCACTGTGACCTGGAAATATATGCCTGGATTGGGGAGGTGGACACCTTGGAAATAAACTCCAGACTTCCTCTATTTGAAAAATTTTGTGGCCGGAAGCGTTGGCTCAAGCCTGTAATCTCAGCACTTTGGGAGGCCGAGGCAGGTGGATCACGAGGTCAGGAGATCGGACCAACTGGCTATGGTGAAACCCCATCTCTACTAAACAAAATACAAAAAATTAGCCGGGCATGGTGGCAGGCACCTGTAGTCCCAGCTACTGTGGAGGCTGAGGCAGGAGAATGGCATGAACCCGGGAGGCAGAGCTTGCAGTGAGCCGAGATCGCACCACTGCCCTCCAGCCTAGGCAACAGAGCAAGAGTCTGTCTCAAAAAAAAAAAAAAAAAAGAAAAAAAAAAAAGAAAAGTTTTTTGCATTGAACTGGATTCTGCACATATCTATACACATGCTCCAATCCCACTAATTCATCTTTTTTCCCAATGCCCAACCTAAACACTGAGAGAAAAAAAAAGAGCAGCCTCTGACATTCAGAAGTTGGCCTAACAGAGCTAAACCATGTTATTCACCTAGTAGGCATAAACTATATTACAGAATACCAATCTCAGACAAGTTTACTCCTAGACCTTGATAAAGTGAGACAATGCAAGGCTGCTTCACAAGTTTTTCTGAGCACAGATCCAAAAAAAGACACTGTGCCACCCACAAAATACCAAACACCCCTTCTCTTGGTTAACAGAAATGTTTGCTACTTCTTTACCAATTATAGCTTTCCCCTCGTTCTAGTCTCCCCTCCCTATAGAAAATATTTATTTGGGTATTCATTCACAGGATCTGCTCTGCTTTCTAACAGCATTAATCCAGAGCAAACCCCCACTTCCTTAGACCTTTCCCCAAATCACCTAACCAAAACCCAAACCCTATCATAGGTTTTTTCCTAACACTCTTATTAAAATGTCCCACACTCCCCATGGGGTGCATTCTCCATTGCTGCAAGGAGTAATAAACCCAGCATGTTTAATGACAGTTATGTTCCTGGGGGGTCTTTGGCTGGAAAACACGGGTAACAGTGTTCTTTGCTTCCTTCTTAACTCTCTGGGATCTACATTGAAGACCTGGCCCCATGTTGTGTGGGAGAAGCTGGTACAAAGGCAGGAGGTGCTCTTAGAAAGGACAAAACCAGTAATGCATTCACTCAACAAATATTTATGGAGCACCCACACATGCCACAGACTGTTCTAGGTACCAAGGACAATAGACAAATAAAGCAGGATCCCTGAATTTTTAGGAAGCTCTCAGTTGGGGTAGAGGTGAGAAACACACATAAACAGATCGTCTTGATTGTGGAGATTAGTGCAGTGATCAAAGTGTGCCCTGGGGACTGCTATGTGCTTATAGATGTGGTGCCTAAACCAGTGTCGGAGAGGAGTGGGGGATCAAGAAAGGCTTTCAGGGAAGGAGGCGTTTGAGGCCCTGGAAGGCTGAGGACAAGCTAAGAAGAAGGAACAATGAAAGCGGGTCAGGGAGATGTAAACAATGTGGTGAGTGGGGAATTTTAGGCAATTTGGCCTTTCTGGAGTGAAAAATGGGAAGCAGGTGGGGGCAGGGGTTAGGCTGAAGGCAGGCCAACGTGCAGTTCAGGCTTTATCCTTTAGAGAAGGGAGGCATTATTGAAAGTCCAACAAGTTCTAACATGACCAGATTATATTTTTAGAAATCATTTGAATATCTGCAACTTACTTTAAAATGCATAAAATTATAAGATGGATAGAAGGATGAAGGAATGGGTCGATGGAAACATATTTGATAAAGCAAGTACAGTAAAATGCTAATGAGAAAATGTAGGTGGTAATATTTGGATGGTCACTGTAAAATTCATTCAACTCTTCTGTCAGAAGATTTTCAAAATAAAATTTTAGAAAAGCATAGACTTTGGCCTGGGTAATGGAAGATGGATTGGGCAGAATAAGTCTGGAGGCAGGGAAATGAGAAAGGCAGCTGTCATAATCCAGGTGAGGGCTGATCTAGACAGTGCTAGGAGGAAGATGGGTGGAGTCCTGTGGTAGGCGCTAACATCAAGGAGGTTGGGGCCTCAAGGACTGTAAGAATGAGGAAGAAGAAAGAGTTGAAGATAACACCTAGGTTGGGTGACTGTGTGGGGGTTGGTAGCAACAATGAGTATAAAACAGGCAGCAGGATCAGGTCTGGGAAGGGGGACAAGATGACTTCATGACCCCAGAGTTTCTATAGGAATATGCTTTGGGAGCTTGCAGACCCCTGGCTCCTCAAGGGGGCCACTCTGGTGGGGGAAGGGGCTCAGTACCGTGGATCTCCATCTCTTGACACTTGCCCCAGTTTTCACTGGATTTCCCCAGGAGTGGAGTGGCTCTTACTCTCCCTCCCTAGGGAGCAGCTCTTCCACCCTCCTAATGACTTCTCCACTCCTGCCATGCTTTTTCCTCTTTTAGCTTTTGAAAACCATCTTTCTCCTTTCTCTGGTTTTCCAAGCCAGATACTCAAATTTGACCCTCCCTGGAGAGTACACCCTCTATGCTCACTATCTCTTTTCCCTTCTTCTCATCTTAGCATCCCCCAAGTGTTGCCCTTGGCTCTTTTCCAATACCATTGTTTCTTTTTTATGTTCTCGCTTTCCTGTGGGTGACAGATTATGGAGTTGTGGGTTGAATTTTGTCTGCCAAGGACATATTGAAGTCCTAGCCCCAGGTACCTACGTATGTGGCTTTATTCAAAAATAGGGTCTTGGCCAGATGAGGTGGCTCACCCCTGTAATCCCAGCACTTTGGGAGACCAAGGTGGGCAGATTGCTTGAGCTCAAGAGTTGGAGACCAGACTGATCAACATAGCAAAACCCTGTCCCTACAAAAAATACAAAAATTAGCCAGGCATGGTGCTGTGTGCCTGTAGTCCCACATGCTGTGTGCCTGTAGTCCCACCTACTCGGGAGGCTGATGTGGGAAGATCACTTGAGCCAGTGAGGTGGAGGTTGCAGTAAGCCGAGATCATGCCACTGCACTGCAGCCTGGGTGATAGAGCCAGACCTTGTCTCAAAAAAGAAAGAAAGAAAGAAAGAAAGAAAGAAAGAAAGAAAGAAAGAAAGAAAGAAGAAAGGGAGGGAAAGAAGGAAGGAAGGAAGCAAGGAAAGAAGGAAGGAGGGAGGGAGGGAGGGAAGGAAAGAAGGAAAGAGAGAGAGAAAAAGAAAATAGGGTCTTTTCATCAAGTTCAGATGAGGTCATATTGGATCAGGGTGGGCCATTATAAGAGGAGGGAAATTTTGACACAGACACATGGGAGACGGCCATGTGAAAATGCTGTCAGAGATTGGAGTGAGGCATCTACAAGCCAAAGAATGCCACGGATTGCCAGCAAACACCAGGAGCTAGAAGAGGCAATGAAGCATTTTTTCCTAGAGCCTTTGGAGAGAGCATGGCTCTGCTGACACCTTGACTTCAGACTTCTTGCTTCCAAAACTGTAAGAGAATGTGTCATTGTTTCAAGCCACACAGTCTATGGTGATGTGTTATGGAAGCCCTAGGAAACTAATATAGCAGATAAGTTGTGTGTGTGTGTGTGCATGTATACGTGTGTGTGTGTCCGTCTGTGTAGGGAAATACCGTGGAAAGTTACTATTTGTTATAGCCATTTTATCATATATTTTATGAGATTTTATCTTTTCAAGTCAACTTTGCATGTGCTTTGTGTTGAAAGACCTGAGTTTGAACATTCATACCATATTTGGAATATGGGAATGTAACCATACCTAATTTAAGCAGTTGTGAGAAGCAAATGGAATAATGTATCTGAATCCATTTAATAAACTGTTCAACATTGTAAACATGCTGTTAGTAGTATCATAACTGTGTGAAGAGGCAGAAAACACTTTGGACTGGGGGATGGAAATCTTGGCCAGGGTTCAGTATTCACTTGACTTCCCGGCCATAACATCGAATGAATGGCCAGGACTCTCTTTGAGTAAATGAGCTTCTGAGAGGCTCCTAAAGAGGCGACCCCCATCCCTCACGGCTGAGAAGAGTGTGATCATCGTTTAAGGTTAAGGTCCAGGTTGGAAGACCTCCCCAAATTTAAACCTTGCTACAAAGTATTCTTTCATTTACTTTGAACCCTTCCTTCATTTACATCCCTTTAGGAACCAGGCCCTGTAGTGCTCAAGGAGGGTGGGAGAGTGAAACGAAAAGGAGTGAGATGCTGCTTCTGTTCTCGAGGACTTCACAGTCAACTTGCGGTAAGTGCTGCAGGGAGATGGCTGTAGTGGCTTTGGGAGTGTGCACACTTTTCCAACAGAAAGTACCAGGAACCCTGCCTGGGGAAGGCTTCCTGGAGGAGGTGAGGTGGAGCTGGTCCACGAAAATTGAGTGGGATTTCCAAGACATCAGTCTTTCGCGGGAAAAGAGAAATTAGGGCATGGTTTTAATTTAGTAAATATTTATTAATCAAGTACCCCATTCTAGGGTCCGTGCTAAGTGTCTGGGGTTGGTAGAGTCAGGAAGTATAAAATCAACTTAAGACATTTGGGAAAGATCTCCCTTTGTAGTAAGGAAGTTGAATCTGTACACAATGAAAGGAAACAAGGTAAAAGGCGCGAAGTCCATGACCATGACGAGGGCTGTGAGAACTGTAAATAGGGATTTGGGCAGTCCCGGCTGATTCTGAATAAAAGTCCGGAGGGGCGTTACTTTCGGGTCTCGGCCTGTGTGTCCCCAGCCCTTTGTTGTCCCCTCCGCAGGAAGGTGAAGGCTGTTTATGTAATCGGCGGCGCCTCGCGGGCGACTGGGGGAACTGGATGGGGGAGCCTGGCCAGGGCTGACTGAGCGCCCCTGGAATCCGTGCTCCGGGCGTTGGCTCACTCCCGCCCCGACACCTGGGCCCGCCCTCCCGCTGCGCAGCCACGCGCCGGGCAGCAGCGTGGGCTGGCGGGCGACTCCCCACGCCTCCTGCAACACCGCCCTCTCCCTACCGGAGCGAGGAGGCAGGAAAAGCCTAGAGACGCCTGGTCCCATCCGCCTACCCAGTCCCCAGCCGGCCTGAAGGGAGGAAGAGGAAGGAACCCATAATCATCCCAAACTGGCGCAAATGGTGGGTTTTACTGTCCAGAGGTCATTTCGTCTCTGCGTTTCCAACCTCCTCGCCCTTTTACTTTTTTTGGGCTCACTCAGGAAACTGGAGCAGTCCTTCTCTGGGTTTAACTTCAGTCCCTCACATGGCAACACTAGGAATGATCAAGACTTTTGTTGCGGGTAGTGGTGATGTGGGTTTGAGAGGAGGATGCATCTGGTCGTGGGATTAATTTTGGTTTCTGAGTATTATGAAGAACTAGAAAAGTTTTGCGTATGTCGGTTTTCAGGATGGGGTTCAGATGGGTCAAAGCCCTGTGCAGGTCCACGGGGGCTGCAGGAGGTAAAATGGAGGAGGAGACAGGCGGACAAGCTGGGGTCAGTGGTCCACTCCCCTGTGTCTGTCTTAACCGAGATGCAGCTGGATGCTTGCACGTGGCAGCTTTTTCAACCACCTGTTGATAGACGTTCGTTTCCAGTCTTATCCTGTTACCAACTGTGCTGCAATGAACAGCCTTGTGTATAGCCTTTTAGTGTATTTGAGCCTTTCTTTTCGACCCAGGCATATTGTAAGGAGAGAGGAACTGAGATAGAAGGAATATTTAAAGCAGGGTCAGAGAAATCAGGACTGGATCAGGAGGAAGCCCGAAGGGTGTAACCTTCCCATAGGGCTGCTGGAAGCCTAGCTTCAACCCTTCCAGCTGCAGCACATCCCAAACTGGGGCGAGAAGCGAGTGAGGAGGAGATGCAGAGGAAGGCAAAGAACAACTCTAGCGACCCAGGGTGATCCGGGTGCCGGAAAACAGAAGCTGGAAAAAGGAGATCTGCCCCGGAAAGGAGGCATGGAAAGTGTAGATGTGGGTCCTCGAGGTGGCGTCGTAGAAGACTACCTCTCCGCCCTAGTAATCCAAGCGGACGCCCACTTTGTTCGGACAGATCGGGAGATCCTCCCGGGAACCGCTCTCGATGAGCGCCTGGCACTGGGAGCCGCTGCTGTGCAGCTCCACGAAGCCGGTCAAGGGCTCCACCTCCAGGAAGCCCCGCCTGGGAACCAGCTCCAAGGCCAAGCCCGGCACGCAGGCCCCGCCCCCGGGCCCTTGGAGCTCCGCCTCCCAGGCGCCGCGGCCGGAGCAAAGGCCCAGCGAGCCCAGCACTCAGCGGAACCTGTAGAAGCGTCGGGGGTTGCCCCGCTTCTGCGAACCGCCCTGGGATGCGAGGTTCAGCGTCACTATCTCATCCTGGGAAAGGATGAGATCCGGGTGGGCCGAGGCTGCGTCCAGTGTCACAGGGGCTGTGTGAAGATGAGGAGAAAGAGGTGGCCAACCCCGGGTCAAGTTGTCCAAACCCCCTACCTTCCTCTGATACCCCCGTCCCACCACCCGCCCCGCTCGATGCCGCCAGAGAGGCTTTCTCTTCCCAGTCACAGCCTTTGTGGTCCCCAGAGAAGTCTTAGGCCCGGCACCGCCTCCTCCTCCTCAAAGTTAATCCCTAAATTTCACAATGTGTTGTTCTGTGGGCGCAGAGAGAAGTTCTTCATTGGTGGTGGTGGTGAGATCATTTCAACACCCGAAGATGAGACCATCTCTTCCTTGTCCATTTCCCGTGGCCCCTAATTCCCATGTCTAAGACAAGAATTGAGTCTAGTATAAGAGGGTCAAGGCTCAGACTTTCTGAGGGCCAGTAATTTTCTAAAGTGGAGTTCCTCAAACACAGGGATGAGTGAAAGTGTTGGAATACAAAAGGAGGAATAGTCATCCCCCGCCACACACACATACACTTTTACTAGGATTCCACGTTCAGTCGCAGTTTATTAAAGTTAGAAGTGTCTCCATCCACCCCCTACAGAGGCTTGCGTGGTGGTTCCAGTCTGCTAAATATTTCAGAATGGGGACCTCATTCTATCTACTGATTTATCAAATCTCATTAATTAATTTCCCTTGCTGATATGAGGGGTTGGGAGAGAAGGGGGACGTGGGAATGTAAGGAAGAGCGAGAGTGGTCGGGCTCATGGGGTTTGATGGACTGTGACCCAGGCTGGCGTTGCTCCTCTCCGGATTTCACTCCTGGCTGAACTGGTGCCTTCGGTAAACAGCTGCTTAAAGAGTGCGGGGACTGCTGCAGGGACTTCCTTTTTCCACTAGGCGGCACCACAGCCAAAGTGATAAGAAGTCAAGCGTGGGGCGGGTGGCTGGAGATTGTCTCTTCCCCTCCTTTTGCTCAAGAACTCGTCCATTCCTTCTCCAACTCTCTTCACCACCACCCCCGCCCCCATCTCCACTCTCAGTAGCCCGAGCCCTCCCATTCTCCACTCCTTCGACCCAATTCCACTAAGTCAAGAACCGTGGTCGGTCTCAGCCACTCACTCAGCGCCACTCTATGCTCCGAAGTCCGTGTAGCACCACCGCTCCCCGTGTTCTCTGAGCTGGCTTAGCTTGAAGGAACCTCACAAAACCAAGCCCGGATCGCTGTCAGCCACTCACTCAGTGCCGCATGGAGCTCCTCGGACAGCGCAACGTCAAATGTCTTCGTATCCTGAGAGCTCGCTCCTTGACCAGAAATCTCATCATAAGAGGCCAGGAGACATACTGGAAAAGTGACTTTCCCAGCAGACGAGGCCCGAAACAGGGAGTGGGATGGGGCTGAAGAGTGGTGATTTGGTGGCCCCGATGTAGTTCTGCCGCCTTTGCGGGAGAAGGAAAGGAGAAAAGAGGTCAGCGGGAGCACCTCGGCAGCAATCCTCCATTGCCAGACAGCACAGCTGAGCTCTACATACAGCAGGAGGGATGGAGGTGAAACTCAAGAAAGTACACCTGAACAAGTCGGAGCGCCCTCTGTTTCCTGGCAGAGGTGTAATTTGGGGAGGAACTGAGGAAATGGAATAAATGAATTCATTCATTTATTCATTTATTCCATTTAGTGGAATTGGGTGGATACAGCATTTTGACCACCTGTAGACTTAGAGGTCCCTTAGTATTCAGAGACAGGACTCTTACCTGCAGAAGATGACCCGGGCTCTGAGGTTTTGTTCATTTTATGATTATTTTTCTGTAACAAGCCCCCTAAAAATTGGGGAGAGAAAACCTATTTGGTCTTGATAACCAGAAGCTGCAAATTAAAAACAAAAACAAGCACCCTGCCATCATCAATCAGAACAGTCAATGGTTCTCAGTGGGACCCATTCCCCACCCAGGGGGAAGTGTGGAAACCTTTCAGGTTGTCTCAGTGACAACAAGAGTGTGGTTCTCTACTGGCTTATAGGGCTTTCTGGGGCCTGGGATACTAAGCATTTAACAGGGCAAAAGTCATGGAGCATAACAAAGATGGCCTTTCTAAACACCGGTAGCTCCTTTTGTGGAGAAATGCTGGTGGAATAGGATCCCTAAATCCTGCTCTCTGGCTTTGGAATGCATTCTGTAGTTTCTGGCTTTGGAGAAAGGAGTTCTAATTCTCTCTCTTTCACTTAATGATCATATGACCTGGGTAACTTACCTCCCCTCCCGGAAGCTACATGGACCTCACTGTAAGTTGCAGATAATAACACCTATCTTGGAGGATAGTTGTGGGGTTTTGAAATATTAGATGCGCACATAGTGGTCCTTTAAGAAATGGTACTTCTACTGTTATTGTCTTAGGTGGCAGAACCATATCTAATGACTTTAGCACAGGCTGTTATTACAGTGGGTCTCCATCCCCTGAGCTGTACTGACCTCACACCCAGAGGAGTTTGCCTCGAAACCTGGTGCCCTGTAGGGGCAGCAAATACTACAGAGGTGGAGCTGCCTCCTTCTTGTCCCACTTTTTCCTCCCTGTCTCTAGGAGTGAAGAAATACATTTGTAATTTTCTATTACTTCTGAATACTTCAAAGTTTGGGATTAGTGACTGTTTTGTGAGTTACCTGAGTTTAAAATAATAAAACAACCATATGCCTGTTCTCTCAATTGGCTGAGGAATCGGCATTCACTTATATCTGGCCTTCATGTAATCATAGAGACACAATTCTTCCCCTTTTCTCACTTTCCCCAAATGGCAGAAGCAACCAACCATCATTTCTCACTTACAGCTCTTCATGTCATTTTTATTCATGCTTTTGAAGAATCTGTTTTCATCTTTTTTCCTATCAGCCTGGAGTTGGTCTGGGGAATAAAGAATGGGATGAAATGGTGAGAGTCCAGAGGGGTTGAGCAAAGAACTCACTATCACACAGCAAGGCACTAATTTGAAATGCCTGGGAGAAGTAGAAGCTGCATTTGACTCTCATATTCTTATTGGACCAGGAAGGTATGCAACCCTTGAGAGATGCCCTTTCTGCTTTCCTGTGGTGACTGCCTAGCCCAGCACTGTCCAGTATGAATGATGAATGTAATCTGAGTCACGAATGTGAGCCACTTATATATTTTTAAATTTTCTAGTAGTCACATTTAAAAAGTAGAAAGAAACTAGTAAAATTAACTTTAATTATATATTTTATTTAACTCAATATTCTCAAAATGTTATTTCAACATGTATTATAAAAATTATTGCTATCTTTTACAGTCTCTTTTTACACTCAATCTTGTGAAATTAATGATTCTTCACATATAGCATGTTTAAATTTGGACTAGCTACATTTCAAGTGCCTGTCAGCACATGTGGCTAGCAGCTACTAAATTGGACAGTGCAGAGCTAGCCCCTTTCTCACTGCCTGACAAAGGTAGGTGCTCAGGACAAAGAGTGCCTTGAGGCTTCACCCTTTAGCTTCAGAAGGCCTACTGTAGGGCTAACCACCCAGGAGCCAGGTGGGGTAAGGGGGGGCCCCACTCTCCTAAAGCCTGGATGGCAGTCCTGCCCTCTTTCCCATGAAAGAGGGCTTGAGAGGGGGAACGAAGACAGAGCTCCTGCAAGGGGAGGCCGAGTGCCTTCATCTCCCAGTTCACCCCTGCCAGAAGAGACTCCTTTTGCAGGTAGAGGATGAGCCCAGAAGTTGGGGACAATGGCCCATTCCTGGCCTAGATTTCCTGTAGGGGTGCTGGACTGAGTGGAGAACTATAGGGTGGAGCCCCTAGATGGGGAGCTACTTCTGGCCCCAGCACCCTTCCCCCAGTGTCTTGCAGCCCCAAGACAGCACAAGACAGCCTGGGGCTAGGTAGTGGGACAAGCGTGGGCAGCTTCCCTGAGAGCCACCAGCCCAGTCATGGGGACTGCTCAGGGGAGACGCGGGGGCCCTCTTAGGAGGGGTCTGCAAACCTAGAGCATAGGAAACACTGCCTGGGAGCACTTCACCTACAAGGGCCTTTAGCGGCTTCAGGGCCCAGCCACACCCTTCTCCACGTACGTGTTCCAGACCCAGTCACCCCGAGCAGGGAGAACCAACCCTCATAATAAGAACTGTGGAGATTGGACCTGTGGTATAAGTAGACTCCCTACCACCTCCTGTATTTCCTAGGCTTTAATAGGGCCAGGTGGCCATTGTGCCTTCTTCTTTGGGGTAAAAATAAAATAAAAATAAGAGAAAAAAAAAAGAAGGAAATAGGGCCAGGTGGGAGTTGGGGGACTGTGTGTGTGTGAGTTTGTGTATGTGAAAGAGGGAAAGAAAAGGGGGATACAGAGTAGAGCACACCAGTCTCCCCAACTCCAAACCTGATGAAGTGGAAAGGGCTGGGCTCCTTTATTGAAATTCCAAACTAGAACCAAACTATTCTTGACCTGAAGAGCCTAGAAAGGTGCTGGATCGGGCTGGACGTGGTGGCTCACGCCTGTAATCCCAGCACTTTGGGAGGCTGAGGCGGGTGGATCACAAGTCAGCAGTTCGAGACCAGCTTGACCAACCTGGTGAAACCCCGTCTCTACTAAAAATACAAAAAACTAGCTGGGCATGGTGGTGTGCGCCTGTAACACCAGCGACTTGGGAAGCTGAGGCAGGAGAATCGCTTGAAACCAGAAGGCGGAGGTTGCAGTGAGCCGAGATTGCGCCACTGCACTCTATCCTGGGCAATAAGAGCAAAACTCCGTCAAAAATAAATAAATAAATAAACAAATAAATAAAGTTGCTAGATCGGCTGAGATCATGCCCAGTGGGGTGGGAGGAGCTAGACAAAGCAGAGCAGTTAGTGGACAAAAGAAAAGCTCAGACAACAAAATTAAGAATAAAACAAAACATGCTTTCCTGTTTATGTCTGCCGAGTGGAGATTCCCGGCTGAATGAGTGGAGATCTTGGGGCATTGCCCTGGTCCTCCTTTTCCGTAGTCCCAAGGGGAAGTGTTTGTGTATGGGGGGCTGGGGGTTGGGGTGGGGGAGGTGGGTGTGGAACTCCAGGTGATAATTTCAGAAGATTCCATCTAGCTGTCTTTATGCCCACCTTAGACCAACACAGTCTTCACATTAAGGGGAGTCCTTACAAATACTAACCCTTCTTCCTAGTTGCAAACACAGAAAGGTTTATGAAAAATATCTGGCCGAACATCTAAAACCCAAGTCATCCACTACTGTTCTGCTGATTTCTGTTTCCCTGTAAGGCTGGAAGAGGTTTCTCCCCAGAATGTCACTGATTTTGAATTTATTTTCTCTTCTTCTGTAGGCAGGAGGAGACACCAGTGTGCACCAGAGAAGGAGAAGTCAGAGATGACAGTCCCTGCCTGAGGCCATCTCTGGTCCACCAGACAACTCATCACCAACTTCCCAACAGCCACTGCTCTAGGCCAGGTGTCCACATGGGGAATAGGTCCAGGCCCTCTATGGCTCTCGCAGGAGTCAGGGAGGCAGATAAATAACATATCACGAAGATAGAATATAAGAAATGCCTGGGAGGAGGCATACTGATGCGTGGAAAGTACTCAGCCAGAAGCCTGGCACTAGAAGGGCCCAGGGATTGTTGGCATGTATGAGTCACAGTTCCATTTCAGTGGAGTGAGCAGGGAGAGAATCTCCTGGAAGTAGGTGAATAGAGAAAATACAGCCTCTTCCTTACCTTTGAATTTTTTCAGGCTCCCTGTGATGGAGTCGTGTCTTGATTTTGCTTCACTGAGTTTTTTCTCCAGTTCCAGAGGAACAGGGGTTGGGTTGAGAAACTGAAACTCTTCACTTCTAGGAAGATGTGGTTGAGCTGGTTGGTGAGATCAGGGGATGAGGTGTGGGAGAAGGAGGATCTGAGATATGGGGTTGAGAAATGAGGGGATGAAGACCTGGGGGTAGAACTGAGAGCGGTGGCTCACACCTGTAATCCCAGCACTTTGGGAGGCTGAGGTGGGTGGATCACCTGAGGTCAGGAGTTCAAGACTAGCCTGGCCAACATGGTAAAACCCGGTCTCTACTAAAAATATGAAAATTAGCCAGGCTTGGTGGCAAGCGCCTGTAGTCTCAGCTACTTGGGAGGCTGAGGCAGGAGAATCACTTGAACCTGGGAGACAAAGGTTGCAGTGAGCTGAGATTGCACCACTGCACTCCAGCCTGAGCAACAAGAGCAAAGCTCCATCTCAAAAAAAAAAAAAAAAGAAGAAGACCTGGCGGTTAAGGGATAGTGAGCTGGGAGTCAGAAAGTCAGGGCTAGGGATATGGGGAAGGAGTGAGGTAGGGCATAGGGAGATATGGAAATGAAGATGGGAGATGGAGACAGAGAGGAGGGAAAAAAACAGGGTCAGGGAGACAGAGTAGGGGACCCAGGAGCTATTCAGTTGAGCAAGGGGGCATTCAGGAAATAGTAGAATCTGTGCTGAAGAAGGAGGAAGGCTGAGAAAACAGCTGGTTTCTTTAACAACCAACCACGTGCTAGTATGGTTGGCATAGGCATTCCCCGGCTGCAGCCTAAATGTATGAATGCAGAGTTAGAGGTGGGTGGGTATTTCTGAGAGAGGAATGTTGACCGCATTTGGATATACGCTGAGAATTGTATGTGGATGAATCAGTAGGCAAAATACATTTGGGGTGGCCCATCATACCTGCACAAGACGACTTTGATATCCTAGAAGAGAAAGAGAAACAGCACAGCCTCAGCACTTGGCTGATTCCCAGGAGCCAAGGAGGAGATACAGAGCCTGCTGGGTGTGGGGCAGAGCAGGAGGAGTAAGAACCCCTCCAAGTCTCTCTTACCCCATCCTCCTCCCCTCTCCCCACCACGAAGGGCTTCTCCAAGAAGCACTGCTCTGCCAGTAAGCAGAAAAGTGTTTTGACCTCAAGAAGAACTGAGTGAAGAAGAGAAGAGTGAGATTTAGAAGATGAATTTGGCTCTGAGACTGAACAAGGGAGCCTGCTAGCCAGGGCAGGAGAAAGGCTAGAATGGCTTTGCATGATCTTTCTTAAAATAAATAAATAGGTTTTTGAACCTGTGGGAGAATAGATGACTTGAGGAGGAATCATCTCAGCTTATTTTAAGCACCAGCTAGACTTGCACTGTCCAATATGGTAGCCACCAACCACATGTGGCTACTGAACATTGGAAATTGTGGCTAGTGTGACAAAGAACTGAATTTTTAATTTCATTTTTACTAATTCAAATTTAAATTAAAAATAGAGGCCAGGCACGGTGGTTCACGCCTGTAATCCCAGCACTTTGGGAGGCTGAGGTGGGCAGATCACTTGAGGTCAGGAGTTCGAGACCATCCTGGCCAACATGGTAAAACCCCGTGTCTGCTAAGAATACAAAAATTAGCTGGGCGTGGTGGTGGGGACCTGTAATCCCAGCTACTTGGGACTTGGGCCTAGGAGGCGGAAGTTGTAGTGCGCCAAAATCGCGCCACTGTACTCCAGCCTGGGCAACAGAGCAAGATTCCATCTCAAAAAATAAAATAAAATAAATAGAAGAAGGGTAAAGTACTTTTTCCATTAAACACAACTTTATTGATTTGGTAAGACTATATTTTACTTTAACAATTGACAATTTAGCATCTGAATTGAGATGTGCCAAAGTGAAAAATATACACACAATTTCAAAGACTCAGTGTAAAAAAAAAAAAAAAAAAACCACCAAAAACCCAGAATGTGAAATATCTCATTAATACTTTTAAAATATTCATTACAGGCTGAAAGGATAATATTTCAGATATATTGAGTTAAAATATTTTATTAAAATTAATTTCACTTTTATCATTTTAATGTGACTAACTAGAAAAATTTGTAATTCCATATGTGGCTGAAACTACATTTCTAAATCACACATGTGGCCAGAATTATATTTATGAATTACATATGTGGCTCACATTTTCATTCTAATACATGCGGCTCACATATTGCTATTGGACAGCACTGGGCTAGAGGTAGGATGGTTGGGGCAATCTCAGGTATTCTGCCAGTGGTCCATGCTCTGACCTGAGACTAGGGATGGGCTGCTACCTCTCTGCAATTCTGCCCCCAAGGGACTCACCTCCAGCAGCTGCCTGGGTGGCATGTTCTGCTTGGTCTTCAGGGAATCAACGAGCTTCTTGAGATCGTTCAACTGTGGCTCAGTGGAGGCAACATAGTGTTTCCCCGCTTCCGTTCCCTCATGACCCAGCCAGTAAATCCGTGATAGCAGGAAATTCTTCTCCTCCTCTAGGACTTGATGCAGGAGTTCAAATTCTGTGAGGATCCTTTGCTTCTCATGTTCTACCTGGTCCTAAGAAACAGGGACAGGCAGAGGGTGAGAGGATGGCCTCGAAGGTCCTTCTAGCCCACTTTATTCAGCCATTAATTTTATTAAGTTTGTGTGGAATTCCCAACCAGAGCAATGTGCCAGGGCAGACCTGGAAGAAAGGAAAGGAGAGGAGAACAAACTTCTAAAAGCACCTACTACGTGCTCAGCTTTAAGCGAAATTATTAATTTATGGTTTACCACTTGCCTTCAAGGAACTGTCTAATACAATTCCAGAAGGCTTTTCAGTTTATAATCTTTCATATAGATTTTATTCCTTTCACGCACACAGGAAAATAGGTAAGTGGGGTCACAATGTCTTCATTTTCCTTCTGTCTTTTTTTTTTTTTTTTTTGAGACAGTCTCTCACTCTGTCACTCAGGCTGGAGTGCAGTGCACGATCACGGCTCACTGCAGCCTCATCCTCCCAGGCTCAAACAATACTTTCACCTCCCAGCCTCTCTAGTAGCTGGGACTACAGGCGTGTGCTACCACGCCCGGCTAGTTTTCTTTCTTTTTTTTTTTAATTAAGAGGAGAGTCTCGCTATGTTGCCCAGGCTGGTCTCAAACTCCTGGGCTCAAGCGATCCTCAGCCTCCCAGAGTGCTGTGATTACTGGCGTGAGCCACCGCGCCCGGCCAATGTCTTCATTTTCTAATTGGGGAATCCGTTGAGGGCGCAGCTCGGCCTTAAAAACCTGTACTTGCGATTCTAAGACCAGCGCGGGTTTTCCGTGCCCCACCTTGTCTGCCGGTGGAGACTGAGCAGTCAGCCCGCTGTAATAGCGAGGCCGACGCGGGAGGTGATGCCGCCTGGCCGGTCAGGTGCTGAGGCGCCGAGGAGAGGACATGGCTCACTGGATCTTTTTCTGAGGGGTCAGTGTAATAGGGGATTCCAGGAGCTTTGGCAGAGATGTTTCTGCTTCCAGAGATCGTGGGATGGAGTTTTTCTTACCGTGAAGACATCGACCCTGTGTACACCTTGTGCCTTCACTTGTACTGTCTCCTTCTCCTTTTGCTGCAAGACTTGGATCTGCTCTTGAATCTGCCCCTGCGGAAAGAGGGCCGTTTGGACAGGCTGTGCCTGGAGATTTCTGGCCTCATAAAATCCTCCTGGTCTCTTAGGAGAGCTGGTGACACTCTCCAGGTGAGTCCTTGTGTAATTATTAAGGACTCGCCTTTCTCAAGCTGGCGGGGAAAGGGGTTGCTGAGAAGGGAGAAATCTGGAGCCTAAGTGACCTAAATGACCAGAACATAGTTATTTATGACTAACTAGGACTATGGATGGTGCTTTGGAATTATCAAAGAACTACAAACTTCCCTTCATCTGTCCTACCAACAACTTTAAGAGAGTTGTTTTGTTTTTGCCATTTGAAAGGTGAGGTACCTGAGGCTCAGAGAGGTAAAGTGATTCCTTGCAGGTTGTACAGTAAACTCACAAGACTGGGCTTGAGCCCAAACCTTCTGAGTCAAATTTTCACATCCTTTCCATTCTCCATTGCACCTTGATTTAGAGAGTCAGCAGTTCCCCAGACTCAGCTCTTTGAACCCACTGTGCCTGACTGCGAGCTGCCCACTCAAGCCCAAGGGGTGGGGGCAATGGGGTGCAAACCCTCAGTGGGAAGGTAGCAGTTTCCAGGGCCTCACTGAACTCCTGGGCTGATGGGGGAACAGGGAAGAAACCTCAAATGCCTACCTGATAATTCTGGGCAGCTTCTTCGATCAAGCTGACATTATGGGATTTGTGGTCCTTGGATTCACGACACACAAAACAGAGGAACTTCCCATCATCCTCGCAGAAATAGTGGAACATCTCCTGGTGCCTCGGGCATGTAGCCTCTTTCCTTTTGGACTGCACCTCAGAGGCTTGTAGAGCTTGGATTTTCTCCACCAGATTCCGCAACAGCGAGTTGAACCTGATTGCGTTCTTCCTTACGGAAGTTTTGCAGAGGGGACATTTGAAAAATCCACATGATGTTTCCCCAATCTGAGTGATGCATTTGAGGCAGAAATTGTGCCCACAGTCGATGGTGACAGGTTTCTGCAGAATGTCCAGGCAGATGGGGCAGATCACTTCCTCTTGCAGTTTGTTCACAAACTGCCCACTGGCCATGACAGAACAACAGGGCTGTTTCAAGACTGTAGGAAGCTGTGCCAAGTCTGTAGGAGCCCCGGAGTCCACTGTGGATACTGTTTCTAGGAAGGGAGAAGGGAGTCAGAGAAAGTGGAGGTCAGAGATTCTGCCAATTAGTTAGAAGAGCAGAGAGAGAGGAAAAGAAGAGGGAGAAAAAAATAAAGAAATGATAGAAAAGCGTAAAATTTAGGATCTAGAAAATATTATAAAGAGAGGAAAACAGATGGGCAGTCCTACCTTGCTACCTCTTGAGAACAAATGGATACTTTGAATGTGTAATAGGCTGCTTATAAAGTGAAATAAGTTGTCCTGAACTTTGGACTAAAGGTATGTTTGTATGGTGGTTGACTAAGATCAGAATGACCGGGGCACCAAACACCACTTATGGGGGATTTCCCAATCAGCTCTGAGTAGGGAGTGGAGGGGTGGGTGGTGATGCCTACTGAAAGGTCACAGCCAGTTCACTGCAATGCTTTGGGCATCTTGTATGCAAAGTTCAAGCCTTGGTAGAGCATCTGGAAAGTAGGGGAAGGGCAATTCTCTACCTCAGGTGCTTTGGCTCCTCACAGAATTTTGTGAAAATGTGGAGGTTATCATCACCTACCTTGGGGAATTTCCAGTCACAGGGTCAACCAACCACTCCCTAGCTCAGTAGGATAGGCAAGGAACTTCCTTTCTAAAGAGTTGTTCTTTGTTTTTGCACTTTGCTCTTGCCCCTGGTGATCTTCTGTCTCCCCACAACACCTGTAGTAGTCTGTCCTCTGTTGATTTTTTCTCTGTATGTCTCCAGTATGCTGGTGTCTCCGTGCCCATTCTTTGCTTTGCCAATTCTGTCTATATGTTCTTCTTCTTCCTTCTTGGTGCTTCTCTGATCCCTGACTTGCCTTCTATGGCTTTTGTTATGACTAGGAATATATCAACCAGTGTTACATACATTCCCTTCTGTACATTCATGTCCTAACCTTCCCTCCTTGCCTCTTGTCTTAAGGAAAAGGGTGCTTCCTCCCTACCCCTTCTCTTGGTATAGCTTCCACCCTCACCTCCTCACTCTCCATTATCAGCCGTCTGTCCCCAGCAAGAAGTACACCATTAATTTTTGTCTGATCTTAATCTTAGGTCAAACAGGGCTTGTGGATGATTATTATAATAATAGCCAGAGTGATCATACACTCTGCTTTGCCTGGAACCATCCTGGGTTTCACTTTGTCCTGGTGTAATTATTAATAGCACCTCCTTTCACTTTCAGAAATGTCCAGTTTGGACTATAAATTATGTGGCTCCCCTTATAGCAACTGCTGTAAACCAAAGACTTTCAGAAATGTTATACCTCCAGACCTTTCTTTTTGTTTGTTTTAGGGTTAAATTAAAACAGTCTAACATCTGTAAATTGTTTTACTTACACTCCTAAACTGCTGGCCCCTAGAAGCAGAATTTAACTTTTGACAGGTTTTGTTTGACTGGCATGATGATTTAGAAAATAATGATAATGTAGATGCCTTTAGAGAGGGTGGCTATGTTCCCCACCGCTCTGCTACCTCACGTCTCCTTGGCCCTTGAAGGCATTTGACATTATGACTCTGATTTATAGATTTATTTTGCTTATATTACCTCATTTAAGTCTCACCTGTAAGAAATTATCTTTATCCTTTCTCAAAAAAGGAACTCAGTATTCTTCAGAATCACTTGGAAAACTTGTTAAAATTCAGATTTGCTGAACTCCAGTAGAGACTTTCTCTTTCAACAGGTCCTTGGTGGAGCCTGATGATTGACATCTTAAGCAAATTCTCTGGAGAAGTCGATGCTCCTGATGGAGGCTCACACATTGATAACCCCTGGTTTAGAGACACTACTAATTGTTCCAGCTCATCCAGCTAATAAATGACAGATCTCAGACTTAATTCCAGGTTTCCTATTCCACATTAAGTCTTCTTTATTCTTTCTTGTTTCAGCATTAATGAAAACAAATAGTAATCTTTAAAAATGATAAACAAATATTTTAAAAGAACATTGGTATTTCAATGAAGCTGGGCAACCCAGCAGAGAGAATGAAAATACTCATATGAACACCACTGGAGAGTTTCAAAGAACTGTCACCAAACAGGTACTGATGGCTTCATGAGGAAGGAAATTTAGACATAAAAAATGAGAATCTACAGTGTTTCAAAGGTGCTTTACTCTCTCAGAATTATTATTGTTATCCTGGGTCATCCATCCACTGGACTGAATGGAGATATATATATACATATATTTTTTTTCTTTCTTCTTTCTTTTTTTTTTTTTTGAGACAGAGTTTCACTATTATTGCCCAGACTGGAGTGCAATGGCGTGATCTCGGTTCACTACAACCTCTGAATCCCCGGTTCAAGTGATTCTCCTGCCTCAGCCTCCCAAGTAGCTGGGATTACAGGCACCTGCCACCACATCCAGCTAATTTTTTGTATTTTTAATAGAGACGGGGTTTCACCACGTTGGCCAGGCTGGTCTTGAACTCCTGACCTCAGATGACCCACCTGCCTCAGCCTCCCAAAGTGCTGGGATTACAGGCGTGAGCCACTGTGCCCAGCCCTTGAATGGATATCTTAAACTCTTAGTAGGCTCAGTAGTCTGAAACCAAATGCCTCCAATTTGCAAGGGCTAGGGTCTTGAGATAGTTGGTATTGTGTTAGTTCCAAAGGACTTCCAAGCCAATTCTGAGGCATAGAGTTTATAAAAATTAGCCATAGAACAGGAAATGATGCAGAGCCTCATGCACATGAGACAGCTGTCACACACAAGAAAGCAGACACAGAGCCATGCAGCAGCGAGTGCACAGATCTGGAGGGGACCTGCCAAGACTAATGGGATGAGACACCTTATCAGAGGCCAGTGAAGGCTAGAGGCAGCTCAGTTGTCAGACTAGACAGCCCCACAATGTTACATAAGCCTCCCTGCATCACGATTCCAGCTACAGAAGCTTCCCCTGCCTCAGGATTCACATTTCCGGGCCTATGTGAATTGGTAGAATGTCTATGGAGGAAAATAATGTGATATGTTTCAAAACTACAAATGCTCATTCCCTTTATCCCAGAAATTCCACCTCTGGGAATTTAGTCTACAGATATACTCACACATATAAATTTATTTTGGACTTTGTGGTAATGTTTGCATTAGCAAAATATTAGAAAACAATCTAAATGTACATCAGTATGGAAATGTTTAAATAAATTATAGCCCAGCTTTATAACAGAATAGAAATAAAAAAGAATCAGGGAGTTCCTTATTTACATATGGAAAATATGGCCAAGATATGTTGTTATGTGAAGAAAGGAAAAAACAAATAATGCAGAAAAATGCATGTACTATGCTACCATTTGGGTAGAAAAAAAATACTTATTTTCTTGAATATCCAAATAAGTTCTTTCTGGAAGGATAAGAATTTAATAACTAACAATGGTTGTCTCTAAGGAGAGGGACTGACTAGCCAGGGAACAGGGGTGGAAGAGAGGCTTTTCTTTGTATGACATATTACATTTTGTGAATTTTTAATTGTATAAATACATTAAGTTTTTTTCTTTTTTAGTACTTTTTACATTATGTTTTACAACATTAAATAGTAAATCAAAAAATGGACAGAGAATGAAATGGACATTTGCAGAGCAATAAAACCAATTAACCAATAAATACTTGAAAACAGTAATCTTGAAAATGCACGCTCAACTCATTGGCTCATGCCTGTAATTCCAGCACTTTGTGAGGCCAAGGCAGGCAGATTTCTTGAGCATAGGAGTTCAAGAGCAGCCTGGACAACATGGTGAAACCCTGTCTCTACAAAAAATACAAAAGTTAGCTGGGCATGGTGGCACACACCTATAGTCCCAGCTTCTTGGAAGGCTGATGCAGGAGGATTGCATGAACCTGCGAGATCGAGGCTGCAGTGAGCCGTGATCATGCCACTGCACTTTAGCCGCCCTACTGCACTCCAGCTTGGGTAACAGAGCAAGACGTTTCCTTAAAAAAAAAAAAAAAAGAAAGAAAGAAAGAAAAAGAAAAAAGAAAATGCCAATTAAAATAAAAGAAGATATCAGTTTATATCTTAAGTTTAAGTCTGGAATATCAAATATAGCCAAGGACATGGAGAAATAGGTACTCCTATACCCTACTGGTGAGAGTATAAATTACAATAATTTAAAAATATTTAGTAGAATTTAAACGGTGTACTTTCATTTCAAGGTTCTGTAATGATAATGATGATGATGAAAATACTGCTACCAGTAAATAAAAGCTAACATTTCTTGAATGCTTACCATGTGCCAGGCACAGTCCCAAGCATTTTGCGTATTAACTCATTTATATAGAGAAGTATTATTATTCCCATTTTGAGGACAAGTCAACGGAGATCAAGAGAGATTAAGCAATTTGCCCCAAAGGTCATTCAGTAAGTAAATAGTGGAATGGGGACTTGAACCCAGGTAGCCTCTAGAGCCTTCTTACACCCTGTATGATTCTGCCTCTCTAGAGAAAACCTTGCACATGTGCACTCAGAGATGCATGTAACAGTATTAATATTGGCTGGGTGCGGTGGCTCCCGCCTGTAATCCCAGCACTTTGGGAGGCTGAGGCGGGCGGATCACGAGGTCAGGAGATCAAGACCATCCTGGCTAACCCGGTGAAACCCTGTCTCCACTAAAAATACAAAAAATTAGCCAGGCATGGTGGCCGGCGCCTGTAGTCCCAGCTACTCGGGAGGCTGAGGCAGGAGAATGGCGGGAACCTGGGAGGCGGAGCTTCCAGTGAGCCGAGATCGCGCCACTGCCCTCCAGCCTGGGCGACAGGGTGAGGCTCCGTCTCAAAAAAATAAATAAATAAATAAATAAATCCTATGTCAGGGTTTTTCAATGATAGCACTGTTGACATTTTAGGCTGGATAATTCTTTGGTGTGTGGTGGCCCTGTGCACTGTAGGATGTTTACCAGCATCCCTGGCCTCTACCACTAGATTCCAGTAGCACTCCTATCCCCCAGTTGTGACAAACAAAAATGTCTCCAAGCATGACCAAATGTCCCTGGGGGACAAAACCTCTGATGGAAAACCAGTGATCTGTATGTAGTCATATGGCTAGGTCTCAAAACAGTAATGAGTATGTGGTGATTTATATACACTTAGAAACACACAACACTTCATATAGTTTGCAGTTTCCATATATGTGATAGAAGTTTAAACACAAGGCCTGAAAGGATACATACTAAATTTATGGCAGTGTTTGCTTCCGGGAGGAGAGAGAGAAAGAGCGAGAGAGGAATGGAACTAAGAAGAGAACTAAATGGACAGAGGGATTCTCAAATTTTTTTGAGATTAAAATTTAAAAAATTAAATCTGTAATATTTAATTTTTAAAAATCTGAGGCAAACATAGCAAAATGTTTGTATTTGTTAATTCTAGGTTGTGGTTATAAGGTGCTTGTTATATGATTTTCTATTATTTTCTATATTAAGTTTTTCCAAAGTAAAATATTTTAGTTAAAATAGGAAAAATGTTGAAAATGAACAATGGATAGAAATAAAAATAGAAATTCAGAGGAATTCTAAAATAAATTCTAAAATTAAGAAAAAGTTCAACTCCTTTCCTACTACTCAGGAAAATACAAATAATGCGATACAAATACAAAAATGAGATAAACTTTGTACTCATCAGATTGGCAAAATTTTTCAAAAATGTCCAGAGCTGATGAGGATGTGGAAAAATGGGACTCTTCATATGCGGCTGGTTTCAGTGTGAATGGGCACTATCTTTTTCAAAAGCCTCAAGGCAAATGACTTAAAATGCATTTGAACGGTGACTAGAAAGAATATTATAAGAAAAGTAAAATGCACACAGGATTTCAAAAGGGTTTTTAGGCTTCAAGATAAGTCAGGGACGGTGGGGTCGAAATGAAGTCAAGGGACAGCTTACACAGAGATACCCTATAACCAGTCTCCCAACAAGAGAGCTAGATTTTATTTAGTTAAAAATAGAAATTAGAAACAGGAGGTAGTAAAAACAGGGTTTTCTTCCTTTCTTTCTTTTTTTCTTTCTTTCTTTCTTTCTCTCTTTCTTTCCTCCTTCCTTCCTTCCTTCCTTCCTTCCTTTCTTTCTTCCTTCCTTTCTTTCTTTCTTTCTTTCTTTCTTTTTCTTTTTCTTTTTCTTTTCTTTTCTTTTCGAGACAGAGTTTTGCTTTGGTTGCCCAGGCTGGGGTGCAATGGTGCAATCTCAGCTCACTGCAACCTCCGCCTCCCAGGTTCAAGCGATTCTCCTGCCTCAGCCTCCCAAGTAGCTGGGATTACAGGGCTGTGCCACCATGCCTGGCTGATTTTTGTATTTTTAGTAGAGACAGGGTTTCACCATGTTGATCAGGCTGGTGTTGAACTCCTGACCTCCAGTGATCAGCCCGCCTTGGCCTCCCAAAGTGCTGGGATTACAGGCATGAGTCACAGCACTTAGCCATAAAAAAGTTCTGTTTAAAATACCAGAATGATTAAAATGTTTGCTTTCTGTTTGCATGTATATCATCCCATTAAAAATGAGTTTAAAGTTTTCTATAGAGATATATACATGCAAACAGAAAGAAAAAAAAATAGGAGGGCCATCAAAATAAATGGAGCAACAAAGTTCAGTTTATATATAGCAGTCAATATAACATTGGGCTGAATTGCTCAACCAAAGGATCAGTCATGAGATTAAAAACCCCAACAAAATGTAAAGCTCCCTTTCTTCCTTAGAGAAACCCATTAAAACATAGAAGCATAAATCCAGAGATAGTTTAAGGGCTGCTGTGCCTGTGCAGATGGGAGAACCTCATGGTGGTCTCACTCCTCTCCCTCTGCCAGGAGAAACTGCAGTCTCCTAACACCGCGACTCCAACTTAGGAGCAAGGGCAGGGGGAAGAAGCTGAAAAGGCCTGGCCTTCACTTGACTCAGTTATCCAGATTATTTAAATTATTGGATTGGCCGGTGGAATGGTTAATTTTATATGTCAACTTGGCTAGGCCGCGCTACCCAGTTATTTGCTATGGTTATGCTGCTTCTACAATAAATGACATCAGAGAAAAGTGGTTGAGAGAAAAGTGGCAAGAAGAAATAAAAATATGCTTGGGTTTGAGGATCTAAATGCCCCCATCAGAACACATCAGACTATGTAATATTCTTGTACCACAGAAGTACCGTGTCCAGAGCCTAACACAGAGCTCTTGGTAACTCACTCTGGGAAGCGCATTTTAATAAAGGTAACCGCAAACTGGACTGCCTTGAGAGGAGGTCACTTGGATGGCAAGCAGTTTTGAAATCTCATTTCAGGAGGCATGAGGAGGATCTGGTTGGCCCTGAGAGACTCAGGAGTACAGAGTGCTGCCTTCCAGATGCGGGGAGGTTTGTGGTGGATGTCTGTCTCTCCCATGGTCTCAACACTTCTATGCAGATTTCCGCGGGCTGAATTGTGTCCCTCTCACCCACTGCTCCAAACTTGTATGATGAAGCCCTAACTCCAAGAACCTCAAAATGTGACTATATTTGGAAATAGGGCCTTTGAAAGTTGATTAAATTGTCGACAAAGAGTCAAACTCTATAAAATATTCAAAGAGATGTATTTTGAGCCAAATATGGGTGGCCATGGCCCATGACACAGCCCTCAGGAGATCCTGAGAACATGTGCCTGAGGTGGTTAGGGCACAGCCTGGTTTCATACATACATTTTTGGGAGACATGATACTTCAATCAAGTACATTTAAGATGTACATGGGTTAGGTTCAGAAAGGCAGGATGACTCAAAGTAGGGAGCTTCCAGGTTATAAGTAGATTTAAACATTTTCTGGTTGACAGTTGGTTGAGTTTATCTGAAGACCTGGGATCAATGGAAAGGAAATCTCTGGGTTGAGATAAAGAACTGTGGAGAGAAAAGAGAAAAGTTCCTTTTTTTTTTTTTTTTTTTTTGAGACAAGGTCTCACTCTGTCACCCAGACTGCAGTGCAATGGCATGATCTCGACTCACTGCAACCTCCGCCTCCCAGGTTCCAGCCATTCTCCTGCCTCAGCCTCCCAAGTAGCTGGCATTAAGGCATGCACCACCTCGCCTGGCTAATTTTTTGTATTTTTAGTAGAGATGGGATTTCTCCATGTTGGTCAGGCTGGTCTCGAACTCCCGACCTCAGGTGATCTGTCTGCCTCGGCCTCCCAAAGTGCTGGGATTACAGGCGTGAGCCACCGCACCCGGCACAAAGTTCTTAATGTGCAGAGGAAGCCTTCAGGTAGCAGGCTTCAGAGAGAATAGATTATAAATGTTTTTTATTAGACTCAAAAAGGGTGCCAGACTCTTGATTATCTCCTGGACCTGAAAAAAAGGGAAAAGGGGATTCTCTATAGAATGTAGATTTTTCCCCCACAAGAGACAACTTTGCAGGGCAATTTCAAGATATGGCAAGGAAATACATTTGGGGTTAAAATATTTTGATTTCTTTCCTTATTTGTTATGTAATGTTATGCCAGAGCCAGTTTGGAAAGTAGGCCACATTAGGGTTAAATAAAACCCCTCTGATGAGACTTTACGGTTTGTAGGGCATGACTCCCCAGGCCCCTTAGGTAGAAATTTGGGCAAGAGAAGGAAAAAGGTCAGAGTTTAGTCCTCAGAGGTAAAATAAGCCCATCAGAGCGGACCTTTGTCTAATCTGACTGGCGTCTTCATAAGAAGACGAGATTTGGACACACAGAAGGGCACCAGGGATGCTCCACATGAGGAAAGACCTTGTGAGGACTCACTGAGTAGACGGCCATCTGTAAGCCAAGGAGAGCGGCCTCACAGGCAACAACCTTGATCTTGGACTGTCAGCCTCCAGAACTTTGAGAAAATAAATTGCTGTTGCTAGAGCCACCCAGCCTGTGGTACTTTGTTACGGAGGTCCTGGCAAAAGAATACACAGATGAACTCCCATATCACCGCAGAGCCCACCTTCCATCCCCACAACCCCAGTTCTGAGTTTCCAGCTCTTCGCAAGGGATCTCCCAACCCTTACACCTCCTACTGGATGGAGCAGTGCTCATCTCCTCTTCTCTCTATTGCAAACTTCAGTGCAGGCACTCCACAATCCTGCAGCTGCAATGTGAGCCAGTTTAGCCCCTCTGGACTGTGTGTGGGCAATATACACCAAAATTATTTTAAAATGCACCTAAGACCGTTTGGCCCAGTAGTTTCATGTCTAAAAGTTTTCCCTAAGTGAAGCCATCCTCACAGGGTTAACAATAATTCTGGACAGAAATATAATTATAATTAAGCCTTAATCAGACTGCACTTTGACTCACTTCCTTGAAACCAAAAGTCATGTAACACTAGACACTGACCAGTCATATCCCCATTGTTGCTCTAGGTAGGATTTCTGACATAAGAATCAGCCAAGGCAGGAGGATTGCTTGAAGCCAGGAGTTCGAGACCAGCCTGGGCAACAAAGCAAGATCCCATCTCTACAAAAAAAATTATTAATTAAAAAAATTTTTTTAAAGAATTGCTTAAGCAGATCCTGAATTTTAGTAGAACAGCTGATGACAACTAGTTTAAGACCTCCACAAAGGAACTGTTTTCTCAACTTGATAATACAGCTTCTTCATCTCCTTGTCCCATGACTTCACCCTGCACTCTTCAGCCAGTCACTTTGGCC